>NC_000021.9:33024892-33334846 GCF_000001405.40 Homo sapiens | reverse complement strand
GATATCACCCTGGATCACCACCTGGGTCATGAATTGAGTGGTAGGATAGCCACTGATGGCACCAGTGCCCTCAGTCTGGACATCCAGCTGCCCCTCACACACCTGGATCACCCTGCGCATCACTTGACACTGGGGTCAGGGAAGGTGGCAGCTGACTGGATGCTGGCAATAGCCCCACTGGCTGGGTCTTCCCCAGAAGCCATTGCACCTGCCTGAATCTGCACTGTCCCCTCTGTCTAGTGCCCTTTCATTTCACCTTTCAGGACTTCCTTAAGCATTTCTCGCAGGGCAGTTCTAGCGGTAATGAACTCCCTTAGCTTTTGTCTATCTAAGAACATCTTAATTTCCTTATGCTTTTGAAGGGCAATTTTGCCATATACAGGGTTTTGAGTTTTTTGGTTTTGTTTTTTTTAGCACTTTGAATACACTGGTCTCCAAAGTATCAGGTGAGAAATCTGCTGATCATGTTATCAAAGATCCCTTGTGTATGACAAGTCACTTCTCTGTCTTTGGCTTTCAAAAGTTTGACTGTTTCTTGGTGTGGTCTCTTTGAGTTCACTGTACTTGGAGTTTGCTGATCTGTCCGAAGCTGAGAGTGGGGTGCTGAAGTCCCCAACTACTATCATATTGGAGTCTATCTTTCCCTTTACGTATAGTAATATTTACTTTATATATCTGGGTGCTCTGGTGTTGGGTACATGTATGTTTAGAATTGTTATATCCTCTTGCTGAATTGGTCCCTTTATCATTATATAATAACCTTCTTTGTCTGTTTTTACAGTTTTTGACTTAATGTCTGTTTAATCTGACATAAGTATAGCAATTCCTGACAGCTTTTGGTTTCCATTTGCTTGGAATAACTTTTTCCATCCCTTCAATTTCAGTTTATATGTGTCTTTATAGGTGAAGTGGGTTTCTTATAGAAAGCATATAATTGAGTCATTTAAAAAATATTCCGCACTTTGGGAGGCCGAGGCGGGTGGATCACGAGGTCAGGAGATCGAGACCATCCTGGCTAACACGGTGAAACCCCGTCTCTACTAAAAATACAAAAAATTAGCCGGGCGTGGTAGCGGGCGCCTGTAGTCCCAGCTACTCAGGAGGCTGAGGCAGGAGAATGGCGTGAACCCGGGAGGCGGAGCTTGCAGTGAGCCGAGATCGCGCCACTGCACTCCAGCCTGGGCAACAGAGCGAGACTCCGTCTCAAAAAAAAAAAAAAAGAAAAAAAAAAATATTCCGCCAGTCTCTTTAAGTATGGAATTTAATCCATTTACATTTAAGATTATTATTGATATTTGAGCCCTTACATTTGTCATTTTGTTAAAGTTTTCTAATAATATCCTTTGCCCCTTTCTTCCTCTCTTATTATTTATCATTGTGGTTTGATGGTTTGATAAGGTTTAATTCTTTTCTCTTTCTCCTTTGTGTATCTGCTCTATCAGAGAGTTTTATACTTTTCCATGTTTTCAAGATACTGACTGCTCTCTTTTCACTTCCAGATGTAGGACTCCCTGGAGCATTTCTCATAAGGCTGGTCTAGCAGTGATGAATTCCCTCAGTTTTTGCTTGTCTGGGAAAAACTGTATTTCTCCCTCATTCCTGAAGGATAGTTTTGCTGGGCATAGCATTCTTGGCTGTTTGAGTATATCATCCCATCCTCTTCTGCACTGTAAGGTTTCTGTGAAGAAATCTGCTGTTAGCTGAATGGGGATTTTCTTAAATGTGACTTGATGCCTTTCTCTTGCTATTTTTAGAATTCTTTCTCTGTCTTTGACTTTTGACAACAGATAATAATGTGCTTTGGAGAGAACCTTTTTGGGTTAAATCTATTTGGGAATCATTGAGCTTTCTGGATCTGGATGTCTGTATCTCTCTCCAGACTTGGGAAGTTTTCAGCTATTATTTCATTAAATAGTTTGTATATGCCTCTTACCTTTTCTCCTCTTTCTGTAACTTACATAGTATGAACGTTTGTTCCTTTAATGATGTCCCATAAGTCTTGTAGGGTTTCACTTGTTTTTTCTACAATTAAGTAATATCAAATGGTATATCTTCAAGTTCAGAGATTCTTTCTTCTGCTTTACCAAGTCTGTTATTGAAGCTCTTTATTGTATTTTTTAAATGTAATTCATTGAATTCTTCAACTGTAGGATTTGTTTGGTTGTTTTTCATCATGTTTTAATTTTTTTGTTGAATTTTTTGTATTGTGAATTGTTTTCCTGATTCATTGAACTATCTGTATTTTCTTGTATCTTGTTGAGTTTCCTTAAGATCATTAGTTTGAATTCCTTTTCCAGCAATTTGTTGATCTTCTTTTCATTGGGCCACCATTAGAGAGTTCTTACTTTCCTTTGGTGGTGTCATATTTCCTTGCTTTTTCATGTTTTTGTGTCTTTGTGTTGATAGGATAATTACCTCTTCCAAACTTTACAGACAGTGGCTTTCAAAGATAAAGTCTTTTATTAGCAGTTGGGTTTCAGTATGCTGGTTTCGAAGGGTGTGGTGACTGTTTCCTGACAGATGCAGTGGTATGGTAAAGCAGCTGCTTTACCTGTGTTCAATGTCAGTAGTAAATGGGTGCCTCAGGGGCCTAGGCTGCAGAAGTTTGTGGCAGTGGTAGTGTAGGTTGTTAATGTTCTCAGTGTTGAAGGCTTTTAGGATCCTCCTATTCTTGTCTTCCCCACAATGGGGAGACTCAGCCAAGGCAACACCTCTTGGTGTCAGGTCTGACAGGGGCTATATATATGCAGCTGCAGCAGCTCTTGATTCCAGATGAAGGTATTCAGAGTGGCTACTGGGCAAAGGTCCTAGGCTCAGGATCTCACAAACCTACTGAGACACTTGGTTGCTGAGGTGGGTTTGCTCTCTGTGGCAGGGCTTGGACGTAGTTGCTCACAGAGCCAGGATTTGTGACCTGGAGGTGCTTCCTGGCAGCTTAGGCCCAGAGAATGGGTTGTAGCTTTGATTCTACCCCTATGGGGGTCAGGGCATAGCACTGGCCTGACTATAAAGAAGGGGTTCTCTGGAGGTTTGGGCCTGGGGAGCAGGGTATGGTTTTAATTTGGGAATATGAGCTAATAGGGCTCAGTGGCAACACAGGTCCCAAGGGATGAGGCACCATGAAGTCATGACTCTAAATCTTGGAATAGCTAGGGATAAGCAGTACCCCAGACTGTGAGGCCAAGTGTAGCAGCAGCAGCAAGTACTACAAAATGGTGAAGCATAGCTGTTGTCTGGGCTGGGAATGGGGGGTAGGGAACAGCACAGTGATGACTCCACTCCTCAGAGTGTCTCAGCAGCTCAGGCTCTAGAGGACTAGTCCAGCTCCAGGGAAGCGGGGTACTACAGTTATTTGGCCTGTAGAACAGGGTGTCTCAGCTCAGCCACTGCTCTGTTTCCCTGAGACATAGGATACTACATCAGCTCAGCCCTGGGATGCATAGCTGCTCGGTTTGGCCAGGGCACTGATTCTGCAGGGAGTGATGTGCTCCTTCAGCTGAGGCCCGGGGAGTGTGACTGCTCTGGGTGGTTCAGGCCCTGTTTCCCTGGAATGCCGTATACCACTTCAGCTTAGGCACAGGGGTGCATGACTGCTCTGGGTGGCCAAGGTAGTGTGTTCCCAGGAAATAGGATACTGCTTCAGCTCTAGCCCAAGGGCAGTGGGGTAGGAGTAGGTGGAGTAGTTCCACCTCTGCTTGACTCCACAGGGAAGGGTGTAACAGCTGCTTAAAGTTTAGCTTAGGGATGTTGAGCCACCAGCCTGGCGTGGTTCAGATGAAAGGAAGCCATGGCTACAAGTCCCCGAAGCAAGACACACTCCAGAAGTAGTTCCAGTTCCAAGGTGGAGTGGCACAGTAGCTGTGTGGGCCACAGCAGGTGGAGCACAGTGTTGGCTCCTTCTCTGGAGGGAACACAGCTGTGCAGACTCTAGGCAGCTTCCTCAGCTTGGCTTAGTTGCTGTCTGGACTCTAAGGAACCCCAGTGGTGAGATCTGTTGGTGCCCATGGTGTAGCTGGGATCTTCTTGTTTATCTCCTTGCCATAGGAAGAAGTTCCTCCTCGTTCCCAGATGATCCTAGGAATCCTGGCATTTCCTCCCATTCTCCATGTGGCCATCCCACTTTTCTCTGCTCACTAGGATTTCTGTTACTTCTTTGATGCACTCTAGCACTCTTAGTTAAGTTTGCTAAAATGTAGTTGTTTATTTGTTGTTCTGGCTGTCTTATGAGGGGATGAGCAGAAGGGGCTTCTAGTTGGCCATCTTGCTAACATCACTCTCCCAGACTACATTGTGTGTGTGTGTGTTTGCTTTGTTTAATTGCTGTGTAATTGTTGTTAATCCTGTGCCAAGGATCAGCTTGAGCTATAAACTTAAGGTCTCTCCTGAGCCTTTCCCTAGGTATGTACAGTGACTTTCTAATTTTCCCCATAAATGCAGTTGTTTTTAAATGTCCTAGTCTTTAATATCCGGCTCCCAAAAGTGAAAGAGAAAAATGAAGCAGAGGGAGATTTCTAGCCCTTTAAATCCATGGGGCAGGGGAGTGAGTGGGGAGGGGGTTGTAACAATGAGTAAGGTGTAACAACAACAACCGCCCATCTCTTTGCGCTTTTGTGACGAGAAGGAGCAATGACCAATCAAGAGCACAGATCCCAGATATCTGGATGGTGTGTTTCTTTTTGCCCACCTGATTCCTGTAAGTTGTGTGCAGATTGCTCTAATAACGTGCACAGCTGTCTGCTAAGGGTTGAGAGGTGGAAGATGGGTAGCTGCTACTGTACTAAGAGCTCAAATAGACCAAAATTAACTGCAATTTACCATCTAAGTCTGTCCCCTGGAAGTTGCAAGCCTGCAATAGACTCCAGAGTTCCAAAATAGTTACATCAGATTCTGCCAGTACAATTCTTGTCTAGGTGAGGAGACAGATTCCTGGTGCTTTCTACTCTGCCATCTTCCCAGAATCCTCAAAAGAAGTATTTGTAAAAACTGCTTCTTTGTGTTAAACATAAATCTCCAACTAGATTGCAAGTTCCTTAAGGGCAGAATTTATATCGCTTCATACTTGATTTGCATTTTTTCAGAGTATCCAGCATAATGGTGCATTCACAGGAACTCCTTAAATATCATAAAGGACTGATCTCTCACTTTGATAAGTTATATATTTTTTAAAAGATCAGCTTTTAAATTCATTTATGGTTCCTACAATATTTCTTTTACTTCTGCCTTGGGGCAATCATGTTATCTTGTTGTAGACTTGTTCTACCACAGGGGTTCTTGTATAGAACTTTCTTAACTGAGACAGCTTCTTGCTCTTTCCAGTTAGATCTTATAGTATGGGGTCAAAAGGGGAGACAGCTGAGAAAACACTTTTTTTTTTTTTAAACTTAATGTGGTACCCATCAGGTCTCCCCATCCTCAATTTTCTGTTTCATACTTGGAGTCTCTAAAACTTCATCCCTGAATAGAATACATCACATCCCCTTATCCCACTCTAGAATTCTTAACTTGGTTCTCATCCATTTGTTAGAATTTATAGATTCTATGCAGCCAAAGGGTAGCAACTGGGTTTACAGAGTTTAACAAAAGATCTGATGGCATTTGTAGTATTTACAATATCTTGTGCAGAATATTATAATTCTAGTAATTTTGGGCCTTGAGACAAGAATAGAAAATGTTATAGGGTACAGCTAGTGATTTCCTCAGGGAGAAAAAAAATCCTTTACTGCTAAAAGAAGGAGACCCTGAAGTTACAGGCATGTTGGCATTTGGAAGACCAACAAATAACTGACTGATAAATGGACAGGGGCTTGGAAATAAAGTTATTAAACAGGATTTTAGTTTTCACAGATTTTGCTCTATTATTATTGGCAATCTCCTTTTAATAATTTTTTCATAAATTGTTATGTAACATTAACATACAATATATTAATTTACTAGTATATTAAAATGTTTTATATTAGTATATTAACAATTAATTACCCCACATGTAAATGTATAAATGGACATTTAATCTAATATATATATAATGCATTTATAATTTTGGTTGCTTTCAACCTTTCACATTCATTTTCACGACCAAAATGGTTTACTATATCTTTAAGTCTGACATAAATCCAAATATAGATATCTGTACAAATATGTAAGTAAATGTCTTCCCATATTTTGGATAGTTTTCTTAATCTAGAGTCCTAGAATTGCATTTACTAGGCTAAAAGGTACATTTATACAACTTCTGAAAGACTGAGCAACATTACAATCTCACTGAGATAACTTTCAGGATCAGCTTGAGCTGTAAACTTAAGGTCTTGAGTTTTCAACATGATTTTTTTTGGGGAAAAAGTAGATAGTTACGTAAACCAAAAATAAAATTCTAAGTCCCCCAACCATCAGAATGGACCCCTTCTCCTGACCAAGGGCATTCCAAAGCTAACCTGAAAAACTACTTCAGGCCATGATGCGAAGTGAGGTTTGGATATGCCTCATTATACCCTCCTCTCTTCTGGAATTCAGAAAAAGCTAACCACCATTAACAACAACACAGACGTTAAGTTTCACAAGAAACAGTTACAATCTATTCTCTCTGAAGCCTGCTATCTGCAGGCCTCATCTGCATCAAGGGTGTCCACTCTTTTTGCTTCCGTGGGCCACACTGGAAGAACAACTGTCTTGGGCCACACACAAAATACACTAACAATATCTGATGAGCTAAAAACAAACAAACAAAAAAACAGAAAGAAAACAAACAAAACAAAAACCCCTCATGTTTTAAGAAAGTTTACGAATTTGTGTTGGACTGCATTCAAAGCCATCATGGGCTGCACGCGGCCAGTGGGCTGTGGGTTGGACAAGCTTGATCTGCATGATAAAATTTTGGTCTCCACAACCCCTTAGGACATCCCAGACATTCCTTTCCATTGATTTCAACCAATTACCAATCAGAAAATCTTTAAATCTACCTATGACCTGGAAGCCTTGCTTTGAGTTGTCCTGCCTTTCCAGATCGAACCAATCAAATGTACATCTTAGATGTACTGATTGATATGTCTCCCTAAAATGTATAAAAGCAAGCTGGACCTTGACCACCTTGGGCACATGTGGCCAGGACCTCTTGAGGCTGTGTCATGAATGCATCCTTAACCTTGGCAAAATAAACTTTCTAAGTTGATTTCAGACCGGTCTCAGATATTTTTGGGCTCACAGTTAACTGAAAGATACTGATAATTAGGCCCTTAACATACAAGTGGACAATCAGGAATTTAAATTGTTTGGCCTTTGGGAAAACAGTCTAGTCTGGTTAAGCCCCAAGGCTATTAGTCCAGACTCAGGATTTGACTTCCCACTCCTCCACGGACTGGCCTATACAGCCTCAGGCAAGTTACTTGATCTCTCCGTTGCTCAGTTTCCTTGTCTGTTAACTAAGCATAACAGTATCTACACTGCTCTGAAAGCTTAATGAGTTTATACCTTTAAAACACTTAGATTACTGCCTGGCACACAGCTAAGAGCTTAAGAAATGATAAATGCCTATAAATTATATCTTGCCACCTGTCCGCTAACCTAATTTTAAATTAATTTCTTAATGCACACCCTCCTGGAATGTCAATTTTATATGAAAATTCTGGGAAAGCTTTTTTCACATCAAACCAAACATGAGTTTAATGCAAGTTTTTCATAAACAAAAGACTTCAAAGAAATTACTATGGGATGCACCAGGACCCTAGTACCCACATCCTAGGAAAAGTATACTACATATTTGTGGAAAAGTTTGAGAAATAGGATATCATGTACCACACAGGTATATGGTTTCCTAAGCCAACAGGTAAAGTATTTTGAACTCACTTGCAGGCTCACAGACCACCTGGACTCCTGCACTGGGATGCTAGCCCTGATTCTCTTTGGGTACCCCTCCTCACTACAAAATTACCTCTCACTCTCTATCAACCTTGTAATAGTTGCCATTCCCCCATGCATCCCAAGTAAGTATGAAGAATTTCAGCAAATTAGCCTGGTGACGCCCTGCCTTTGTATTTTTCTTTTATTATTTTTGTAAAAGAAAAAAAAAAATCTCAGGACCTCTCCCAACTTTCTTACGCAAAAGGGAAGTTAGTTAAGCCCAGAGGCCAAGTGACTGCAACACCCTCTTCCAAACGAATGGCTGTTACTAGCATTATGCTTCAGCCAAATCCCCAAGGAAGGATAAAAAGACTCAGCCATCTGCGAAGGGCTACCCTGACAGATCATTCATAAGTCAATTCTTTGCTGGTCTCCCATAAACAAGGGGATGCCAACTGTAACTTCAGGTCTACAACCTAAGTCTAGTTCCTAAAACTAAAGTCTAAAACATAAATAGATCGGGCGTGGTGGCTCACACCTGTAATCCCAGCACTTTGGGAGGCTGAAGTGGATTGTTTGAGGTCAGGAGTTCGAGACCAGCCTGGCCAACATGGCAAAACCCCATCTCTACTAGAAATACAAAAAATAGCCGGATGTGGTGGCGTGCACCTGTAATTCCAGCTACTCAAGAGGCTGAGGCAGGAGAATCGCCTGAACCTGGGAGGCAGAGGTTGCAGTGAGCTGAGATCACGCCTCTGCACACCAGCCTGGGCAACAGGCTGTCTCAAAAAAAAAAAAAAAAAAGTATAAATAAAAATGTCTTCCCATATTTTGGACAGTTTTCTTAGTCTTGGGTCCTAGAATTGCATTTACTAGTTTAAAAAGTATGACTATTTTTATGACTTCTGAAAGACTGAGCAACATTACAATCTCATTGAGATAACATTTCATTGAGTTTTGAACATGATTATTTCTTTGGGAAAAAAGTAGGTAGTTAAGTAAACCAAAAATAAAATTCTAAGCCCCCCAACAATGTGAATGGACCTCTCCTCTCAACAAATGGCATTCCAAAGTTAATCTGAAAAACTAGTTCAGGCCTTCCACACTGACCATGTCAATTACAAGCTTATCTTCTCAGGTGCAAAACAAAGTCAAGACTCCATCTACCCAGAGGCATCTGCATAACTGACTCCCTTTACTCTCTTTTTCTCTTCAAGACACTCATGGTATCTTAAAATACAGATTTCTTGGGCACTAACTAAATTCTCACAGAACTATTTGCCTTACTGCCTTCCTGCCCCACCTCCTGAAAACCTCTGGAAAACCAGTCACAGACGTGTTTGTGGCTCACGTTTTTCCCGGATGCGCCCTGAAGCAGGCTTAGTAAACCTCGAGAACTGACAATTATGCTTCAGTCACTCCGACTGTCATTTTTTATTGGCCTGTATGAATCCTGAGGGCAGAGAAATCCTGGCCACACTTAGCTCACTCCCCCGTGGGACTGGGCGCCTATTCACCAGATTGAGGAAATGCATTTCGGGAAATGTTTTGTTTATTATCAAACAGACCAGCGGAGCCGCGGTACTTTCCCGGAAAGAATCAAACTCGACACAAAGCTCTGGCACCGCCATTTCACGGGGGTGGGACCCGGGCGCTCCCGAGGACCCGTACACGGCCACAGGCAAGCGGCAAGAGAGGACCCAGAACACCACTTTCTCCTGGTTGATTTGCGAGCCCAGGTCGGGTTTAATCTTTGGCGCGGCAAAGTGGACCGAAGGTTTCCCAGACTGGGCGTCTGTCGCCCCCAACAGCATCGCCGCCCCCGTAGCCCAGCTGCGTGCCCTACCTCCCGCCCTGCGCCAAGACTCTCCTCCCCGCCTCTCACCTGCGGCTGCGGACAACACCCATGGCGCCACGGCGACGAGCACTAGGGTCGTCGCGCCCAGGAGGACGACCATCATCTGGGAGCCGCCGCAGATCCCACCAGTTACATGTTCGCGCACGCGCAGCTCCTCTCAGCCGCCATCGCCCCGTCCTAAGTCACACCGCCCCTCTGCACACGCGCTGCCCCTCTTAGCTCTCACCGCCCCTCTACGCACGCGCCGCCTCTTCTGACACACACACCGCCCCTCCGCGCACGCGCCGTTCCTCCACGCACGCGCCTTTCCTCCTAGCTAGCACCCCTTCTCCAAGCTCCCATTGCCCCATCCTAATTGCAGCACCCCTGTGCGCGCGCGCCTTAGAAATCGCAGGCCTCCTGCATTCTCTTCTTCCTCACTCTTTCCGGCCTATGGCCGGTCTGGAGCACTTCACCATCGCATTCCAGGACGACTCCCCCTCACAGGAGGCCTTGACCTTCACAGGATCGCGGCACACACCTGCGCAGACCCAGCGACTTTGGAGTTCCCGCGTCTCTTCCCCATGTCTGCAGTCGGAGGGCGCGGGTGGGCTCCTGGTCGCGGCCCGGCGCTCTTCGTCCTCGCCCTTCTCCGCCCGGGGCGCTTGCTGACCCTAGAGTCTTGGACAGTGGCGTTGGGAGTCCCCAGCGGCCTGGGAACCAGATGAGGCTGGAAGGAGGAAGTGGCTGAGCGACCAGACCGTTGCTGTGTGCAGAGCGAGAGCGGGGCAGAGGCGGTCGAGCGCTCGTTTTCCGGGCGACTTGGCTGAGGGGCGAGATGGTCCCTTGGAGAGAACAGCCACGGGCCCTGGGCCGAGGGGCTCCAAACAGCAGTCGCTAGGCTGTTTTGGTCGTCGGGCTTTATCAGTAAACAATTCGAGCCCATGGTTCGAATGATTATTTAATTAAATTCCTCAGTAATAGATCCAGTGCATTGTGAAAATATGCGAAATAAAATTTAAATGATGAGATAAAATAAGGAATCAAATACTTCGTTGTTATAACAACCAAGCAATTAATTAGCAATTACATAATTAAATGAATGTTTGTAAAGAACAATGCAATGGAATATATATGTATTCCATCTATATATTCCATCTCTATATTCCATCTATATATTCCATCTCTATATCCCATCACTATATTCCATCTCTATATCCCATCTCTATATTCCATCTCTATATCCCATCTCTATATTCCATCTCTATATCCCATCTCTATATCCCATCTCTATATTCCATCTCTATATTCCATATCTATTCCATCTCTATATTCCATATCTATTCCATCTCTATATTCCATATCTATTCCATCTCTATATCCCATCTCTATATTCCATCACTATATCCCATCTCTATATCCCATCTCTATATCCCATCTCTATATCCCATCTCTATATCCCATCTCTATATCCCATCTCTATATTCCATCTCTATATTCCATCTCTATTCCATCTCTATATTCCATATCTATTCCATCTCTATATTCCATATCTATTCCATCTCTATATTCCATCTCTATATTCCATCTCTATATGCCATCTCTATATGCCATATATATTCCATCTCTATATGCCATATATATTCCATCTCTATATGCCATATATATTCCATCTCTATATTCCATCTCTATATGCCATCTCTATATGCCATCTCTATATGCCATCTCTATATGCCATCTCTATATGCCATCTCTATATGCCATCTCTATATGCCATCTCTATATGCCATATATATATGCCATCTCTATAGCCATATATATATGCCATATATATATGCCATATATATATGCCATATATATATGCCATATATATATGCCATATATATATATGCCATATATATATGCCATATATATATATGCCATATATATATGCCATATATATATATGCCATATATATATGCCATATATATATATGCCATATATATATGCCATATATATATATGCCATATATATATGCCATATATATATATGCCATATATATATATGCCATGTATATATGCCATATATATATATTCCATGTATATATGCCATATATATATATTCCATGTATATATTCCATATATATATATTCCATGTATATATTCCATATATATATATTCCATGTATATATTCCATATATATATATTCCATGTATATATTCCATATATATATATTCCATGTATATATTCCATATATATATATTCCATGTATATATGCCATATATATATATTATATATATATTCCGTATATATATATTCCATACATATATTATATATCTATTCCGTATATATATATTCCATACATATATTATATATATATTCCGTATATATATATTCCATACATATATTATATATATATTCCGTATATATATATTCCATACATATATTATATATATATTCCGTATATATATATTCCGTATATATATTATATATATATTATATATATATTCCGTATATATATATTCCGTATATATATTATATATATATTCCGTATATATATATTCCGTATATATATTATATATATATTCCGTATATATATATTCCGTATATATATTATATATATATTCCATATATATATTCCATATATATATTCCATATATATATTGCATATATGTATTCCATATATGTATATTGCATATATATATTCCATATATGTATATTGCATATATATATTCCATATATATATATTCCATATATATTCCATATATATATATTCCATATATATATTCCATATATATATATTCCAGATATATATTCCATATATATATATTCCAGATATATATTCCATATATATATTCCAGATATATATTCCATATATATATATTCCAGATATATATTCCATATATATATATTCCAGATATATATTCCATATATATATTCCAGATATATATTCCATATATATATATTCCAGATATATATTCCATACGTGAATATTCCATACATATATATTCCAGACGTGTATATTCCATACATATATATTCCATACGTATATATTCCATGCGTGTATATTCCATACGTATATATTCCATACTTATGTGTCCCATATATGTATATTCCATATGTATATTCCATACGTATGTGTCCCATATGTATATATACGTATATATTCCATACGTATGTGTCCCATATATATATTCCATACGTATGTGTCCCATATGTATATGGGACCCATACGTATGGTCGACATACGTATGTTTCACATATGTATGGTCCACATACGTATGTTCCACATATGTATGGTCCACATACGTATGTTCCACATATGTATGGTCCACATACGTATGTTCCACATATGTATGTTCCACATACGTATGTTCCATATATATTGGTTCCACATATATATGTTCTATATATGTATTGGTTCCACATATATATGTTGCATATATGTATTGGTTCCACATATATATGTTGCATATATGTATTGGTTCCACATATATATGTTGCATATATGTATTGGTTCCACATATATATGTTGCATATATGTATTGGTTCCACATATATATGTTGCATATATGTATTGGTTCCACATATATATGTTGCATATATGTATTGGTTCCACATATATATGTTGCATATATGTATTGGTTCCACATATATATGTTGCATATATGTATTGGTTCCACATATGTATGTTGCATATATGTATTGGTTCCACATATGTATGTTCCATATATGTATTGGTTCCACATATGTATGTTCCATATATGTATTTGTTCCACATATGTATGTTCCATATATGTATTTGTTCCACATATGTATATATGTTCCATATATACATATATGTATATATTCCATTGCATTGTTCGAATCGGAGTCTTGCTCTGTCACCCGGGCTGGAGTGCAGTGGCGCGATCTCGGCTCACCACAACCTCCGCCTTCCGGGTTCAAGCGATTCTCCTGCTTCAGCCTCCTGAGTAGCTGAGATTACAGCTGTGCGCTATTGCGCCCGGCTAGTTTTTGTATTTTTAGTGGAGATGGGATTTCCGCTGTGTTACCCAGGCTGGTCTGGAACTCCTGACCTGAAGTGATCCGCTCACCTTTGCTTCCCGGAGTGCTGGGATTGCAGGCGTGAGTCACCACGCCCAGGGGAAATATGCCTATTTTAAAAACATCTTAGAGGTATAATTTATGTATCTTGAAATTCACCCAGTTTGAGTGAATAATGATTTTTAGGCAATCTATCCAGCTGTTAGGTATCGTTTAAAAAACTTTGAATTATCACTTTACGATTCATCGATTTGGGGGTTTGATTTTGAGTGTGTCAGTACTTCGTTTTAACAACACCAAAGGTGGAAAAACACCCCATGAAGATACGTGAATCCAAATGGAAGAGGAAAAATTCCTGGTTGCAATTACAAAATAATACTTATTTTAAAAGCCTTTTGAACGACTCTGCATGTTTAAATTAAAATTTCCATTTCCTGCTGTCCAAAAGTTCTTGCAAACTAGTTGGAATAGGATGCATTTTTATATTTAGAACAATGAGCTCAAAATGACTGAAAAGTTTAATTAGATTTTTAAACACATTGACAATTTCCTCCCCTCCTTTTCTTCCTCCTTTCCTAAGATTTTCACTCTTCCCCATCTTAATACAACCTATTATAAACATTGAATTGTATTTTAATAAAATTGGATTGTGCTTTAATAAAATTTGCCACAGCTGTGACACCCTGTGGTAAGTACTTCGTGTACTTTAGTTTCAACTTTTTTGCTGTAATAATTTATTTAAGGATAAGACATGAATTAATTTCCCCTGTGGTGCAAGCTCTGTAACCTTAACCCAGAACCTCCCTTCTCTCCTTTATTCTAGTCAAAACGGTCCATTAGAGGCTGCACTTGCAGTTTTTCCATACAGCATGTTCTTTTTCACCTTTTTTGGTGGGGAGGGGAGAGGGAATCTTGCTCTGTTGCCCAGGATGAAGTGCAGTGGCATGATCTCGGCTCCCAGCAACCTCTGCCTCCTCAGTTCAAGCGATTCTTCTGCCTCAGCCTCCTAAGTAGCTGGGACTACAGGCGTGTGCCACTGCGCCTGGCGAATTTTTGTATTTTTAGTAGAGACGGGGTTTTGCCATGTTGGCCAGGCTGGTCTTGAACTCCTGGCCTCAAGTAATCCACCTACCTCAGCCTCCCAGAGTGCTGGGATTACAGGAGTGAGCCACTACACCCAGTCCCATTTTTACTTTTTGCTTGGAAATAATTTGAAATTACAGACAAGTTGCAAAAATAGTAAGATAGCTCCCACATACCCGTTGCCCAGATTCAGCAAATCGTTAATATTTTGCCATATCTACACTCCCTCTTTAAATACACATACAAAGTCATGTATGTATGTTATTTATTTTCCTGAACTTCTTTAGCTTTCTTTAATCCAGAGTACTTCCCTGGCCATTGTCTTTCATGTCATGGACATTTTTTTGATTTGGGGATTTTTTTTTTTTTTTTTGAAAAACACAGGCCAACTATTTTATAGAATGCTTCTCCAATTTGGACTTGTCTGATGGTTTCTCCTGATTAATTTCAGATTATGCGTACCTGGCTTGTGTGGTGTCCTCAGTCCCTTCACAGGCACATTAAGCTTATTAGTACCTCATATGTGATGTTAATTTTGATCATGTATCAAAGTATTATAGTTACAGTCTCCATTGTATAGTTACTATTCCGCCCCCCATCGACCTCCCCTCCCACCCCACCTCCTGCAGCTAATTGGTGGGAAGACACTCGGAAATCCTGCAAATATTCTGCTGTTCATCAAACTTTTCTTCTAGAATTAACATCCATTAATCATCCTTGCCTGAACTATCCTACCTGTGATGGTCATGAAATGGTAAGTTTTCAACCCTGACCCTCTCACTGCAAATATTAGTTGACACAATTTAAGAAAGAGCTTTTCTTTCTTTCCATTTATATTTATTTATTTATTTATTTATTTGAGATGGTGCTTTGCTCTTGTTGCCCAGGCTGGAGTGCAATGGCGCCATCTCGGTTCACCGCAACATTTGCCTCCTGGGTTCAAGCAATTCTCCTGCCTCAGCCTCCCGAGTAGCTGGGATTACAGGCATGTACCAGCATGCCCGGCTAATTGTGTATTTTTAGTAGAGACAGGGTTTCTCCATGTTGGTTAGGCTGGTCTCGAACTCCCGACCTCAGGTGATCTGCCCGCCTCGGCCTCTCAAAGTGCTGGGATTACAGGCGTGAGCCACCACGCCCGGTCTCCATTTATTATTAGTATAGACTCACAGATTCTTATTTTATTTCATTGGTTATAGTTCATTGTTATCCTTACTTAAATTTTTAAAATTAATATACAACTTTTAGAGGAGTTTTAGGTTTACAGACAGTGTGGAGAGTTCTTATATACCCCCTCATCCCAAGCCTGCTTTCAGTTTCCCGTTGTTAACATCTTGCATTGGGGTGGTACATTTCTTACAGCTGATGAACGTATACTGATACATTATTAACTAAAGTCCAGAGTTTACGTAAGAGTTCTTTCTTGGTGTTGTACATTCTATGGGTTTTTACAATGTATAATTGTTACTGGTAGAAGGCATCCCAGTTACCTGCACAGCAAATTCGACTGAGGGGCATAAGGCGGAAAAAGAGACTGAGGCAAGTTTCAGAGAAGGAGTGGAAGTTTATTTAAAAAGGCTTTAGAACGGGAAAGAAAGGAAAGTACACTTGGAAGAGACCCAAGCGGGCAAATTGAAGGACAAATGCAGCGTTTAACTGTGATTCTAGGATTTATAGGCTGGCCCACTTCTGGGGTTTTGCACCCCTTTCCCATGATTCTTCCCTTAGGGTGGGCTGCCCGCATGCGCAGTGCCCTTCTTACACTTGGGAGGTGAACATGTGCAGTGTGTTTAGGAAGTTGTGCGCATGCCCATCTGAAGATTTCTTCCCTTTTCCGATGGAGTGCCCCCGGAAGGTCATACTCTGCCGTTTTGTCTCTTAATGTGCATGCACCGGCTCACTCACCCAATACCGGAGATTATTGGAAGCTCTTTTTGCTTCTTGGCGCCTACATTCAATTAACACTCTAATGTAATAGCTGTGGACCATTAGGAGATAATTCGGCTCTGGGTGCTGAATTATTTTTAGAGAGGCAATGTGATTGTTGAACCATCACCTGACATTCCTGGTGGGTGGGGGAAGAGCCGTCTCCTGCCCTTCTCATACATAACCACTTGCAACATAATGTCATGTATCTACCATTACAGCATCATACAGAGGCATTTCACCGCCCTAAATATCACCTGTGCTCTACCAATTCACCCTCCTTATTTATTTTAATGCTCAAATTGTCCTAGATTTGGCCAGTGGCAGCCACTTCAAGCTGACTCTTGTTCCTTTTGCTAGTATGCTCTTAATTTTTTCTAACACTTCTTTACTTTCTAGCACAAGATGTTCCAAGTTCATCTTATATTTTTCCTGCTCAGTCCTAAAATCAGCCATTTCTTCAAGGGGCCCTGCTTTTTGTTGTTGTTGTTGTTGTTGATGATGTTTTTATTGGGGGATGGTATTTAGAAACCAATATATGGGCACTAAAACTTTTTGTTTTAATTAAGGAAGTAAATTACTGTTGAGTATATATTTTATCTTTCCCTTTTTGGCTAACAAAGAAAAAGTCGTTCCTTGGGTATTTCACTTTTGGAAAAAGACATGTTAGAAACATCTGTGCTTTAGAGCATGTTTCCATATGATTACGTGGCAGATTTCCCACACTGTGAAATTGAACTCTTGTTTCTTCGCATTGTCAGCCGTATTTGCTATACACAGTCCAACACTATTGCTGACTGAGGAATGTATTTTAGTTTGTCATATTGTAGAAAGAAGAACAAGGGGCATGTGGCTTTTTGTCTTTTGCTATTAAGAACCCCCAAAGCAGTTTCTAAACACTGTCACCAATTACGAAATTTTGTAAAGAACCAAAACGAATGAGTATCATATGACTTTAAACACTCTTGGAAAGAAATTGTGGGGGTTTGCTTTTCTGGAAAATGTCTTCCTAATGTGATGGCTTCATACTGTGATTAGCTAATATGTCAAGGCTGCTGTTATCTTATTCACTTGTGTATTAATAGTACTATCTTTAATTTCCAATTTATTTGCAAGAATCTTGTCACATCCATTTTGTGAGCATTAATTTAGTTAAAACTAGCTAACGACCTGTAAACACACATCAAGCCAAGTAAATGGTTAGACATAATCACAAACTCCAAAAGTGTACAAGCAGAAGCATCGCTGCGCATTTCCACCTTGTGAGTTTCTCACTCTGTTCTCAAGTGTGTCACACATCACTGAATGTGACAATGTGATGCTCTGGCATTTGGACCAAGTGAAGGTGCTTGTGCTAGGTTATATATCAAATATCAAAAGCTTAATTTATTTCTTATTAAAGAATGTAAATAGAATTTCACTGCACTTCGGTGGACCCTGTAATCCAACGCAAACCCCTAGGGTGGGTGCACCCTGGATTAGAAATCACTGCTTTAGAACCTTCCAGAAGAATAAATTCACTTCTTTCTGGGAGGAGAGTTTGGTAGATGAAAGGAGAAGAGTCCTAGCTGAGTAGCAGCCCAGTGGCACAGACTTTGAGGGTGTACAAACACTAGCTCCAGGATGTTCAGGAAGGAATCTGAGCCGTTCTACTCTGGAATCTCCAGAATGTCTTTCTCCTTGGTGCTTTATCATCCTATACATTTCCTCATCCCAGTAGGCAGGCAATTCAGTAAAAGATAGTAGTGAAGCTGGCACAGTGGCTCACACCTGTAATCCCAGCATTTTGAGAGGCTGCAGCAAGAGGATCACTTGAGCCCAGGAGTTTGAGACCAGCCTGGACAACAAAGAGAGACCCCCATATCTGCAAAAAATACAATTAGTTGGATGAGGTGGCAGAGGCCTGTGGTCCTAGCTACTCAGGAGGCTGAGCCTGGAGAATCGCTTGAACTCCAGGAAGTCAAGGCTACAATGAGCCGTGATCACACCACTGCACTCCAGCCTGGGTGACAGAGTGAGATGCTATTTCAAAATAGTAATAATGATGATGATGAAGCAAACGGTGGGAACACTAAACTAGTTTAGTGGTGAGGGATACACATTGCAGCAGGTGACCTGCAGTAAGAGATGTTTAAGGGGAGGCAGAGTATAAGTAGGAGATAGGAAAAGAAGAGGGATACAGCATTCTAAATAAAGGGAACAGCATATTTGAAGGTCTAGTCTGTGTTCACATGGCTTGAGGAAAGATTGAGTGTGGCTGCATGCTCACTGCATACTGAGAAAGATGTCTGTTTTTAAGCAGTAACATGGAAGACAGCCATACGCCTTTTCAAGTGGTAACTAAGTATCTCTTAAACAGAGACTGGCCTACTGGTTAAGAGTCTGAGTTCTGAAGTTGACTTAGGTTGCTATCCCACCTCCGTCACTCTGGGATCTTGGGCAAGTTACTTAATCTTTTTTCCTGCTTCCTCATGGGGACTATAATAATATCTATATCATAGTGGTGTGATGAATTTTTAATCAGTTAATGCACACCAAGAGCTTAGTTTAGTGTCTGGCACAGTGTGCTCAGTAATTTTGGTTATTTTTTTCTGACCATCGTGGTTACTGTTTTTCCTACTTCAGGAGGGCTCAGAGGGAAGATCTAGTTTTTCTGGAGAAAACCTGAAGGATCAAATAGCCCCAATGATCAAAACTTCATAGTCTGCAACCTCAATTGAGCTGAAATTAAAAACCTACACTTACTTCACATCTCTACCCTACAGCTTTTCTTCTCATTTTCAACAGATGTTCCTCCACCCAGCTCCTAGTTTCTTGGAAAATACAGTCAACAGATCAGGTTTCAGCTCTCCATCACCAAAACTTCAAACTCACCTGCACCTGCTTCCATTCTGTCTTTCCCTGTCGTTGGGAAGACATCCTTCTTTCAGTCAAATGAAAATCTCTCTGTCTGGTTCCGTGAGCCACCCCTTCATAGGGATGGCTATCCGTTGATTATTTTTACGTTTTTTCATGACTTTATCTCCTCTCTTTAGTTTCTTCTTGTTAACAGTTACACATTCTCAAGTCTCTCCCAATTTAAAAAGGCGTATATGCTGCTTTCACTCCAGAAGCCGTCCTTCCTGTTATTATTCGTAGCCAAATCTGTCTACATTTGTCCACAACTATCTTTGTTTTCTCACTTATGTATTCCTCAGCCCACTGAGCTTATCTTTCTGTCCCGTTTTGCTTATTCTCTTCTCACCCAGATCATCAGCTAATTTCTAGTATTCAGATCTATTAGACATTTTATAGCCTTGATTTTACTTGACTTCTCCATAGCATTTGGTATCTATCATTCCCCACGCTCTTTTTCTCATGATTCCATACTCGTTTGCTGTTGCATCTGTCTTTCTGGCCATTCTTCTCAATCTCCAGGACAACCCACTCCACTGCTTGTGACTTAAATATTAGTGTCCCTCACTGCTTTGTCCTGGCTCATCTTCTTTTCTCATCTCCTATAGTGGTCTCTTCCTCTTCTGTGAGTTCACTGACTGTCATTTATGCTCATGGCTCCCAAATTGGTCTTCAGCCTAGATTTCTTTCCTGATATCCAGATTTTATATCTATCAGTGTATTGGAAAGAGGAGGATGAGCCTTTATTCCCCTAATGATTCTGCTCCTCATTTGAGGAGTCTGGCTCCGTCCCAAAATCTTGTGCGTGATCTTTCAATCCTGACCACAGAAATTACAAAGCTTTGTCTGCCAGGCCTCATGGGGAGAAACTGTCCTCCCCATACCAGACTTGCATGTGCACTACAGTGCACTGCATTTTTCTAGAGGGATTTGTGGTTAAGGACTCAGCTTTCCCACCTCCCACACCACCTCTGGCCAGCCCTGCTCATAAGCGTATCTGCATTCCTGGCCATTCTGTAGGGGAAAAAGGAACACTGGGGTGCTGCCGCCTCTTTTTTGCTTCTTGTTTGCAGTTAATAAAGGCTTGATTGTTATTTTCAGTTCAGCTCATTGTCCTAAATACTATCTGGACACCTGATTGCTTGACACCATTCAGTGGACCCTTTCTATTTGAGGATTTGTGTCTGTCTAGCTGAAGAAAATTTTCATGTATCATTTTTGTGGCTGGGGTTTGGTGAGCTTCTTGGATCGATGGGTTTATAGTTTTCATCAAGCTTGGAAAACTATTGGCCATTCTTTCAATTTTTTTCTTATCCTCGCTTTACTCTCCTTCAAAATGCACACTTATTAGACTCCTTAAAGTTGTGTTCGATGCTATTCTTTCATTTTTTCTTGTCCTTTCCCCTGTGTCTTTCATTTTGAATAGTTTCTATCACTATGTCTTCAATATCACTGCTCTTTTCTTCTACAGTGTCTAATCAGCTATTAATCTGAATTCAGTATATTTTTCATCTCAGACATTGTACTCTTCATCTCTAGAAGTTGGATTTAGTCTTTTAAAAATATATTTCATGTCTTTCCTTAATATACTAATGCTTTCTTTCATCTTCTTGAACATATAAAATATGGTTTCAATAACCGTTTTAATGTCCCAATCTACCAAATCTATCTACTATTTCTATTGATTTACTTTTCTTCTTGTTAAATTAAATTTAGCCTAAAGCTACCTCCTTACATATTTTAAGTCTGGCCTAAAGGCTTCTTTGTACATCATGAACTGTAGCCTACCTAGATGTGTAAACAGACTGTAATTTGCTCTTGTAACAAGTAGCGGAGTCTCAGCCAATCACAGCAGCTGAGTTTTGGCCATTCACAGGTGGCCAGCTGTTTAAGCCAGCTTCAATAAGGCAACAAAACAGCTGTGATCAATCCAGCTATTTCTGTATCTCACTTCTGTTTTCTGTACATCCCTTTCCTTTTTCTGTTTAAAAATGTTATTGACCATGTGGCAGCCCTGAAGTTGCTCTGAACCTATTCTGGGGGCTGCCCAATTTATGAATTGTTCTTTGCTAAATTAAACTCTATTGAATTTAATTTGTTTAATTTTTTTGTTAAAAAACACTCTCATTCATTATGGGTTGTATTTTCCTACCTTTTTTCATGGCTAGTAATTTTTTATTGGGTGCCAGACATTATAAATTTTACATTGTTGGGTGCTGGATATTTCTTTATTCCTATAAATATTGCTTGAGTTTTATTCTGGGATCCAGCTAAGCTACTTGGAAATGGTTTGGTACTTTTGAGGCTTGCTTTTGTCAGAGAGGATCAGGCAAGTGTTTGGTGTAAGAGCACATTTGCCCCACTATTGAAGTAATAGCCCCCTGAGTATGCTACCTGATGCTTCATGAATTATGAGATTTTCCACGCTGGTTGGAAACTATTTTCAGCCCAGCATGAACCCTGGGGATTTATCCCTTTGCTTTTTTAGCGTGGTTCTTTCCCTGGCCTCAAGTTTCCTTACTACACATTGTCTGATCAGTAATTAGCCTAATACTCTTTGCAGCTCTCTGGAGCTTTTTCTCTGTGTGAAGCTCTGTCTTGTCTGGTTCTCTACTCCATGAAATCTAGCTGCCCTGGCCTCCTTGGACTCCTAGCTGCGTTTCCTCGACCCACAGGGATATGGAGTCCTTCTCTCTATGCTGAGGCCTAGAAATTCTCTCCAGTAAGTCAGTTTGGGCAATTGTAGAGATCATCTCAATTGTTTCTCTTCTCTTAGGGATTACTGTCCTGAGTTTTTTATTGTCTAATATCTAAAAATATGTATTTTAAATCTTTTGTGCTATTTTGGTTGTTTATTTATAGTTTAAGGCGAAAGAGTAAATCTGCTCCATGTTACTCCATCATGGCCAGAAGCAGAAGTCTCATCCTTGCACCGTGTTTTAAATACTTCCTCCCTTCCATTTTCTTTCTTCTTTCTTAAACTCCTATTAGTAGAAAATTGTACTTCCTGGATTGACCCTTGAGGTCTCCTAATATGTTCTCTCTAGTTTTTAACTCTTTATATTTTTGTCCTTGGTTCCGGAAGATTTACTTGATTTCTAATGAAATATTTATTTCTGTGATTATATGTTTAATTTTTAAAAGCACTTCTTTATTCTGATTTTTTAATATATAGCATCATGTTCTCATTTTATGGATGCACGAATGTGGGATCTTTTAGAATTTGGGTTTCTGTGACATTCTCTTCTGTTCCAATATTCTATTTCTTTAAGAGTCAATTGGTTCTGTTTGTCTTTTTCTTTTATTTTTCTCATTGGCAATCTTTGAGTATTTTTTAAATATATTTTAAAGGAGACAGCAGGTTGATTTTTTTTAGGTAGCTAGTATTAACAGAGTCTTTCTCAAGAAAATGAAGACGTGTTTTTGAGGCAGAACTTATCTCTGGAAGCATCCCTGTAGGATAAGTAGGGAAGTAGGGTGTGAGACATTGCAAGATTGTGGACACCAACTGCCAGAATGGTGAACTCTTCCCTTTGGCCTACTGAAGAGTGCAGTAATATTGCCAGGGTGGTTAATTCAATTATTGAGAAGAACAGATCTATAATTTTTTGCCTAAGGGTGACTTAGACAAATGCCTGACTGCCTCAGGAAGGGGAGAGGCAGGCAGCAGAGGAGTGTGGGAAGCTTTTTGCCACTGCTATTCTGTTGACTGACTTTTAATTAACCCATTAGTGTTTGTACCTCCTCGTTTTGTTTCCACCTTTCTGTCATACCTGAGTCAAGAACAGCAGCCTTTAGATATTTTTTATTACATAATTCCAGTAGGAAAACAACAACGTTGATCATGCATTCCCAGTAGGTGTATTGTTATTTATCTATAAGCTAAATACGCATATTACTGCACATATTTTTATGCACATCGTAAATCACATACAAAATAAACATTTGAAAAGGATGCCTTTTATAGACATTTAAAAAGGGATTTTAAAGGCTTTTTATGAGATGGGGTCTTGCTTGTTGCCCAGGCTGGAGTGCAGTGGTGTGATTCTAGCAGTGGTGCAGCCTTAAACTCCTGGGCTCAAGGAATCCTCTCACTCTGTGAGAGGGAGTCTCACTCTGTCACCCAAGCTGGAGTGCAGTGGCACAATCTTGGCTCACTGCAACCTCTGTCTCCCGGGTTCAAGTGATTCTCGTGCCTCAGCCTCCTGAGTGGCTGGGATTACAGGTGCACACCACCATGTTCAGCTACTTTTTGTATTTTTAGTAGGGACAGGATTTCCCCATGTTGGCCAGGCTAGTCACAAACACCTGACCTCAAGTGATTCACCTGTCTCAGCCTCCCAAAGTGCTGGGATTACAGGCATGAGCCACCGCTCCCGGCCCCACCTCAGCCTCTTGAAGTAGCTGAGATTACAGGCATGAACCACTGTGCCTGGCTTAAATCCTTTAAAAAAATATTTGAAAAATAAAAATAAAAGACTTAATATTTGTTCCCACACCATGTATACTGGTCTTGAGCCCCCAAGACATCTGGTCTGTTCACATCTCTGCCTTCCTGATCACCTCTCTGCTCTCATGAAACCTACCTACTCAGAGTGCTATAACTTGTTGCTTTCTCCCTTTTTTGTTTACCATGTTCATGGAAAGCCCTTATGTGGAAATTAACAGAAAACTGTCTCTGTACCACAGAGAAGATAAAGGGAGATATCCCATTGCAAACTCTGGAAGAATTTTAAGCTTAAATCTGTCCATGAGTGGATGACATGGCTTTTTTGCAGGATTACTGTGGGTCACACAAGTCCTGTAGAGCACCTCTTGTAATGCCAATGACAGTGTCAGTTTTTTCTAAGTAAAATTTCTTCACAGAGTTCATGAAAGAGAGAAAAAATCCTGGAAATGTAACACGATGCAGCAGTTATTTAAGCCCAAGTTCAATGCCTTCTAACTAGGATGCATCTTACTAAACATATATTTGATAAACTATAACACAGAAGATAGGATAATGAACAAGATAGACATGGTATCTGTATTAGTCTGCTCAGGCCGCCATAACAAAATACCACAAATTATGTGGCTTAAACAACAGAAATTTATTTTCTCACAGTTCTGCAGGGTGAGAAGTCCAAGATTAAGGTTCTGGCTCATTTGGATCCTGGTGAGGCCTCCCTTCCTGCTCACAGATGGCTACATTCTCACTGTGTCCTCATATGGTGGAGAGAACAAGGTCTCTGCTGTTTCTTCTTATAAGGACACTAATCTCATCGATTCAGGGCCCCACACTTATGACCTCATTTAACCTTAATTACCTGCTGTAGGCCCTACTTCAAATACAGTCACATTGGGGATTAGGGTTTCAACATGTGAATTTTGGGGGTACACAATTCAGTTGGTAACATTACCTGTCCTCATGAAGTCCACTACAAAACACAGATATTAATAAGCAATGCAACATGTAATGAGAATGAAACATGTAGTAGAGGTAGTAACTCCTCTGGAGGACTTAAACTGTTATTCTCTACATACTTTTTGGGACGCAGAAAGCATGCATAAGCAATACACGAAAGCAATGTTTAGGAAAGAGTAAAGCTGCAGAGGTAAACCTGTGGCTTTTGACTTGAAGATAAACCATTTACATTATATGCAGGTCACAATTTTTTTGTTTGTTTTTAGTTCAAAAGGCACTTAAAATCTTGAGCATCATAACTGATATCTTGTTTAGTAGTATAAATTGTTTCTCAGTGAAAGGTAATAAAAGATTATGAACCCACAATAGCAGGTTCTTCTGACTTCTTAGTGCAACTGCTAAGACCATAGAATTGTGAGTGTTGGTCATAAGGAGGCAGTGAAGAGCAACTGAAACAAATGTAAACACTTTCTTATCTCCTTGTGATTATTTGGTAAGCTTCTCTGCTGTTTCAGAAAAAAGTCAAAATAAAACACCAACCCAAGTAGGGACTGAGTCCTCATTTGTCAATCCTAGGACCTGGATCACACACTCTCCTCTGGTCTTGCATATGCTGGTGTTATTGGTGATCCATCCATGACGCTTTGAATCTTTCTTACATGTCTATGTACATCAGCCAACATCTCCTAATGATGAACAGCTGCACTTTTGTTGGATGCAAGCCAGAAGTGGCAGATTTGTCTCTGGGACTGCTAAACCACAAACGTGCAAGGGCAACTGGAGTGCAGGTTCCAGCTGTCATAAAGAACCTCTTCAGCTGCTGTTGGGGTTTCAGATCCACTTATCTCTACTGCAATGGGGTACTTTTCTACTCCTGCAAAAATAGAAAGTCACAACAACACAGAAAACTGCAAATTTTGTACTAAATTAACACCTTATGCACCCTTAAAGGCAATGGTTTGCCAACTTTAGTGTTTATTGGAGTCACCCAAGGACCTGTTATAACATAGATGAAAATACAGACCTCTCCCTCACAGTCGCTGAGCCAGTAGGCCCGAGGCGGGGCTGGAGAGTTTGCATTCCTAAGCTTTCATGTGGTGCTGATGCTGCTGGTCTAGGAAACACACTTTGAGAGCCATTGCTTTAAAGAATCTTGATGTTCTTCTTACCCGTAGCTTAGATGATTATATTTCCTACAGTCCCTATTCTTTTTGTGGGATCTTCACATACAATATACTGTATACAGTTTTCCATGTGATTATATTGTATCTACGGGACTGTCAAAAGTTTCTTATTGGTGATGGTAGGACATTTAGAATTTTCTACTTCTATAGATGTCCTCATCAGCAGTTCTTATACCTAGCAATAAAATATTAACTTACTTCATTTAATTTTATAAAACAGCAATCTCATGCTTTTCAGATATAACAATTAATATATGCAAATATGTTGCAAATATAGTACAGTTACTATCAAAAGTTGTGAAGTTTAGAATCTTTCAGGACACTTTAACATCCATGAAGTGATTCACTTTGAAGCAAAAGCTCCTATCTGTCCTTTATTCTGATATGTTGGCATCGTGTTTTCCAGAATGAAGAACAAGGTTCCTTTGGGAATTTGTGGGCCAAAGTGTTTCTGAGAAGTGGAAAAATTGATGCCAGAGAGCTGTGAAGAAAGGAAAAGGAAGCCATCAGCTGAGAGGGCACAGTATATATGTATACATAATTTCTGGAAATCTGAAAGATGGGAAATCCTGGAAGGCAATGCAGCTATCAATGAAAGGAACATAGAAGACCTGAACTCTGGGCATGAGTCAGCCACGGATTTACTGAAAGATCCTGAGCATTCATTCATTCACTCATACATCCATGCATTCAACAAATAGATCTTGAGCCATCTATTAAGCACCAAGCACTGTTCTAAGGGCTGGGGATCCAGGAGTGAATGAAATATACAATGTCTGTGCTCTCCTGGAGCCTACAATCTAGTGTGGACAAGGACAAATGTGTGAACAAAAAATATTTGTTGAATTGAATCGAAATATTATGATGTCAAGTAATGCTACATACTATGAAGAAAAAGAAAGAGGGACAAGAGACAGCAAGGGAGAGGGCCTCTCTAAGAAAGAGACACTGGACGCAATGACACAAGGAGAGGGCTGTGTAAATAGAAAGTGTTCCATGCTTAGGGAAGAGCATATGCACGGGCTCTGAGACAGATGTGTCTCTGGCACATCCCAGGCTGTTCCGTGAAAGGGCCCTATATGCAAAAAGGCCCTCAAATGCCAAAGGAGCTGAGAAACCGAAGAACAAGGAAGACAAATTCAGTTTGTCGGTAAAGGGTGGTTTATTGGGGAACTCACAGACAGAAGCATGGTCTTGGGCAGCTGCAAGACAAAGGGATTTCTCATGGTTACCCTCAGATCCAGAGATTATATACTAGAGGGAAAGAGGGTACATACTCCAAAGAGTCAATGAAAGACCACTGTCCAGAACAGGCAAGACTGCTATGTGCGTCATAGCCTGTACTTGGTGTGATAGTATTATGGTTGCTTTGATCTCAAGGCAGGATTTGTAGCGAGTACATGTTCTTACACTAAGGACAGTAAATAAAGTAGGAATCAGGAGGACTTCAGGGACTGGGGTGAATCAGAAGTCAACATGGTGGATTAGCATCCAAGATGCAGTCACGTTTGTCTCCACACAAGCACAGCAAGTAGGCTGAGCCCCTGCAGAATGAGGAGAGAAGGGGTGCAGAGGAATGGAGGCCAGGGGAGTAGTCGGTGGGGCCTGCAGCCTCTGGCAAGGATTTGGGCTTTATTCTGGGCCAGATAGGAAGCCATGATGGAGATTTTAGCAGAGGAATGACATGATCTAAATTAGGGAAAGAAGAAGTGGAAGGTTACCAGGCGCTTAGCTCCCTCCTGGCTCCCACAGATGCTAAACTTACCCGATTTTAATAATTTTTACACACTGAAGGGAACCCACACTAAATCATTGTTTTTAAACAGCTAACAATGTTGTTGGGCTGGGTGTGGTGACTCCCAGCATTTTGGAAAGTCAAGGCAGGAGGATTGCTTGAGCCCAGGAGTTCAAGACCAGCCTGGGCAACAAAGTGAGACCCCATCTCTACAAAGCAAGTAAAAAAAATTATCTGGGCATGGTGGCACGAACCTGTAGTCCCAGCTACTTGGAAGGCTGAGGCAGGAGGACCGCTGGGTCCCAGTGGGGTCCAGGCTGCAGTGAGCCATGATCGCACCACTGCACTCCAAACAACCCCACCCCCCAAAAACCCAATGATGTAAATTCACATTCTGCTCAGATAACTATTATATCAAAAACTAGAATTTTACAAACTAGGGTTCCTCGAGTATTTAAACAATGATTAAAAATTTAATCAATTAAACTCTTTCAAACTAAAAATGTAATGAAAATTATAAGCCAAATGGATATGTTAAAATGGTTTGAACACCTTACAAATCTGATACACATGAATATAATTGTTACAAAACTTTTCAGTATAAACCTCCAAAAACCTTTTTATAAAAATGTCAATGTTGTGGATCTAAATTTGCTTTGTCACAGTCTCTGTTCTTATATTCTTTTCTCATATTGCTTCCCTGGGTGCTGTAGGCCTTCCATCTGCCTCTCCAGATCCATTCTTCTCTGGGCCTGCCCTGTTCCATGCCCTGGGAGACTTCTTGTATAAAATGCATCAAAAATGGGTGTGGTGGCTCATGCTTGTATTCCCAGCACTTTGGGAGGACGAGGTGGGCAGATCACTTGAGGTCAGAGGTCCGAGACCAGCCTGGCTCACATGGTAAAACACTTACTCTACTAAAAATACAAAAATTAGCTGGGTGTGGTCTTGGGTGCCTGTAATCCCAGCTACTTGGGAAGCTGAGGCAGGAGAATCAGTTGAACCTGGGAGGTGGAGATTGCAGTGAGCCGAGATTGTGCCACTGCACTCCAGCCTGAGCAACAGAGCAAGACTCCATCTCAAAAAAATATTAAAAATTAAAAAAAAATTCATCAGCAGAGTCCTTTACCCTCTGACTTTGGGTGGGTTCCACCAGTGGGAGGCATCAGCCCAAGATCAGAGGGTGGGGGACAATGAGGTGTGCTCTCTTCCTGCAGGGTCTCCATTAGTGGGCTGTGTGGCTGACCCCTGTGCTCTCCAGGGTAATGGCTCCTCCCCTGCCTCCCAACAGGCCTAGAGCTAGTGAGCTTCCCACTATTGCTACTGTATTGTTTTTTGGTTTCCCTTCACCCTGCCTACGCTGCTACAATAAGATCCTTCATTATGCCTTTCTCAGTTACTCTGTTGGAGTGTGTCATGGGTTTCCCGTTAGGACTCTGACCTATTGATAGGTCATGACCTAGGAAGTGAGAGTGACCTTTGCTTACCAGTGTAGGTGATCAATACAGGTTAACAGTTGAAGGGCCGGGCATGGGGCTCATGCCTGTAATCCCAGCACTTTGAGAGGCCGAGATGGGAGGATCACTTGAGCTCAGGAGTTTGAGACCTACCTGGGCAACATGGCGAAACCCTGTCTCTATAAAAAGAAAAAAAAATTAGCCTGTCGTGGTGGTGCGCATCGGTAGTTCCTGCTACTCCAGAAGCTGAGGTGGGATAATCACCTGAGCCTGGGGAGATGGAAGCTGCAGTGAGCTGAGATCATGCCACTCCAGCCTGGGTAACAGAGGAAGACTCTATCTCAAAACAACAACAACAAAAACAGTTGAAGACTTAGAACCAGGGATAGGAGATGGTACTTCCTCCCACGAGACCTTATCTACATAGAATAGTAGAATAGGCTCTTTACCTTTTTTGGACAGCCTTTGCTCATTATGTAAGGAACTGTGGAGGTTATTGGCTCTAACCAGCCAGTTTTGCTTTTTTTGTGTCCTTAGTCTTACGATCTTTAGGAAAATAACGCTGTTTGAATGTCTTATCTTGATAGTACAGCCTGAGACAAGACAATGACTAATCACATAGTGTTTGTGATGCCACCAATAAAAGCCATTTTGTAACTGCTTGTTTGAAGAAGGAACTGGCTTGGTTTAACTGATTACAAAAGTGCTGATCAATTCAGTCAACTGAAACATCAATTTCATGTCTTCCTGGCCATTCAGACCTGCAATGATGAGGCGTCTGCTACTGTAGATCTGGCTCTGTGTATACTTGGGAGCTGGGGAACTCACAAAATCCCCAGGAGAGTGCGCATGCTCAAAGGTAGGGGGCCTTTCAGGGCAGCCCATTTGGGATCCTTGCAAGCTTTCAGGAAAACAGTATCAGTGATGCTCTGTTAGCTGGTGCTGAAGAAAGAACCAGAAGAAAAAGAAACCACGATTGCACCTTGAGGGACGGTGTGTAATCTCTGGATGGATATTGGCTGGATCAGCGGTAATCCAGCCATCCTGCTGATGGCTCAGCAGGCCGAGTCAGCATGGCTTGTACTTTGCCGGCTGACTCGGTGTTTGAATTTCCCTGCCTTCAGGCTTTGGCTGTTCAACTGGGCTTAGTGTCAATCACTTTTTGATGCATCTTCAGGCTGGGTCCTTTTTTCCTCCAGACTGCTGTGGAAACTAGAAACAGAGCAACAATGCCAACATTCCCCCTGGGAGGGCTCTTCTTCAGCCCCCTTCCTGGCCAACAGCGCTGTGCTGTGCTGTCCCCGCCGTGGCAGAAATGCTCATTGTGCTGGGAAGGAGGAGCCAGCCATCTTGCAGACCCTGCTACTGGCTGGTCACCAAGCTGGGCACCTTGCAGCTTTTCTGTCACTGGTTTTCTAGCGGGCTCTGGCACTGCCCCATCAGCCCTCTGCCTGGTCAGGTGGGCTCACTTTCTCATTCCCCTAGGGAGCTGCTCCATCCTACTCATTTCCTCCCAAGCCCCTCTCTTCCCTCCCTTTGTTGATGACCTATACTTTGCCAGGAACATAGAAGACACCAGGCTTCCTTAACCCCTCACCCCCTTAGTGGGATCACCTGCCTATCCCTGGCCTGTGTTCTCTCCAGTGACAACCTCGGGAGTATCCCTCCTCCTGCCAAAGGCCAGAGCGGGGGCTGTAGGTCTGGTCACTTCTCTTGTGTCCTTTCCAGGGACATCAGGCCTTCTCTCATGGGTGTCAGCAATGCATCTGTCAAGGGCTCAGCTAATCTGGAGAGAGTGGCTAATTGAAGCAATAAGGCAAAAATGAAAGTAACAGAAACACCTGTAATCCCAGCACTTTGGGAGGCCAAGGTGGCCGGATCACTTGAGGTCAGGAGTTCGATACCAGCCTGGCCAACATAGTGAAACCCCGTCTCTACTAAAAATACAAAAGTTAGCTAGGCATGGTGGCACACAACTATAGTCCCAGCTACTCGGGAGGTTGAGGCAGGAGAATCGCTTGAACCCGGGAGGTGGAGGTTGAAGTGAACTTAGATTGTGCCACTGCATTCCAGCCTGGGCAACAGAGCAAGACTCTGTCTCAAAAAAAAAAAAAAAAAAAAAAGAAAGTAACAGTGAAGCCCTCATCACTCACTGCAGGGGCAGAAGCAAGAGGATTCCACCCTCCCCGCAACAGAGCTCCAGTCAAGAGTCAAGTAATCAGTATAGATGTGGGGGTGAAGGTCATCTCTCTGTTGAGGCTTCTGTAGTTTTATGGACCCGGGAACTAGCGGGAGGGAGAGAGGACAGGGCCAGGAGTAGGAAAGAACTGAGTCAGAGAGGATAACAATGTCTTCGTGGCTCCCCCTTCCCTACTCCCTGAGAATAAGGAGGCCTTAGTTGAGGTGCCTGAAGAAGGCCTTGGGCACACGTGCAAGGCTGGGAACACAGGTGTGCATAAGAGCATGGCCAGCAGGGGCCTGAGACCTTGACCGCAGCTCCCTCCAGGGACTGCAGTGCACTGGCTATGCCAGTTCTGGTCTGGAGAGGGAGCCTCCCTGTGAGGCCTCCTTGGTACAGCCTTAAAGTTGCCCAGGGTCAGTCCTGAAAAACCAGCCCTGGGATTCTAACTAGGAGCCGGACTCCTCATTTCCTGTCTACAGGCCTCAGGCGACAGTATACCATGGTGGTGTAATATCACTCACCTGAAATATCCCCCCCTCGACTTTCTTCTTGCCCCTTCCAGACACTGTCACACTTCTTCTGAGCCCAAAAGCCGTCCTTCTCAAAGGAGTTGGCTACACCTGCTGTCCCAGCTTCTCCACACCCTCCTGTTCACTCCTCAATACCATGAAGTCTAGACTTTATTGTCATCACTCTGCGGCAACAGGTCTTCCCAAGATCTCTAGATTAGGCTGGGTTCCCTGGAAACACACTCTGGAAGGAAAATTTGCATGTGGGAAATTCATCTGGAAATGCTCTTGGGGACAACACTTGTAAGGAGTGAGGAAAGTAGGATTGGGCAGAGGGAGAAGTTGGAGATGGATGATGATTCAGAGTTGCCTGAAGTTAACGCAAGGGGGCCCAGCCTTGGCACTCCCGCATGGAGCAGTCATCGGGGAACCCCCAGCTTCCATTTCCCTAGAAATGAAAGAAGTCTCCTGCCTGGCAGAAGGGGCGTGACTTATGCCTGATTGGCAGCTCCCTGGATGAGGAGCAGGGAATCGCTGAAAGTCCACCTTGAGCTCCAGCCTCTTGTTTTTAGAACAGTGCCTCACCCTGTTGCTGTTGGATTGAGAACCTCGATTCCCTGTTCGTTGTTGGCTGGAGGAGGCATCCTCAGGTCCTAGCCATGTGACTTCTCCAATATGGCAGCTTGCTTCATGCAAGTGTGCTGTCCAAGAAGGCAACAGAGAGAGTCTGCTGGCAAGATGAGAATTACAATCCTATGGAATCTAAGACAGCATCCTGTCACCTGTGTCGCTTTCCATGGGTAGAAGCAGGTCATTGGCACTGTCCACACTCAAGAGGAAGGGATTACTCAAGGGTGTGGCTACCAGGAGGTGGGGATCATGGGTGGCTATCTTAGATGATTGAGTCTGGAGCCAGACCACTTGGGTTCAAGTCCTGGCTCTGTCACTTCTTGCCTGTGTGATCTTAGGTAAGTGATTGAACCTCTCTGTGCCATAGTTTCTTTATCTGAAAAATGAGGCAGATAATAGTATCTGCTTAACTGGGTTGCTGTGGGAATTAAATGAAAATGTAAAAGTGCTTAGAACAAGACCTGCACATAGGAAGCAGTAAGTAAGGGTTGGCTATCGCTCCCACCCCATCAGCTCCATAGGGCAGGTGTGCAATGCGACCCTCAGGGGCAGCCCAGTAGCAGGCAGGCCCCAGGCAGAGGCCAAGAGGAGGGGAACTGCAGCTGGCTTGTGTTTCCTGTTTATATTGAATTGTTTAACCCAATTTAAAGTCTGTCCTTGCCATGACTCCTCCTGCTCAGAGATATTACTCCCACAGCTTTAACCTTCCGGTTATCTTTTTTATCACAATCCAACAGCAATAAATTTGACCTCGTAAAGTGCCAGCCCAATAGTCAGTGGCTGTTTAATTAAGAGTTCTCATGGGCATGGAAACAAAGACATTGTTTGGTGTCTGCTTGATTCAAACAGGAGTGGTGAGGTGGTCAGGAGACAGAACCATGGACCTGACTCAGGGAGAAAAATCATGTTGAGTCTCTGAGTCTCTAGTTCATAAAATAGACTTTGTTTTTTACTTCCCGTTTGTTTTTTAAGGAAGTTGATTTGCAACAGCATTTTCTGAACTAGAGAGTTCAGGAAATGGGACAGTGAGGCAGCATGCCCAGTCATTCTCAGCTAACTCCCTTGCTGAGAAGAGTAAGATACTAAGTTCCCGTAAAATAAATCTGAATGACCCTCTGCCCATCTTCTTCCCCATTTTAGATACTAAGAAGATATTAGAACTGGTCAGGGTAAAACAACAGAGTCTTTCCGTGCTGGATTAAGTTTCCTGCGGCAGAAGTAACAAATGATCGCAAGCTGGGTGGTTTAAAACAACAGAAATTGTCCAAGGAATGTAGCCCAGTAGGTTTCAGCCTTACTTTACCCAGCCCCTCTTCAAGATGGAGTCGCTCTGGTTCAAACACCTCTGAGAACGGCATCAGCAGATTGAGTGTCTGGTGAGGGCCTGTCCTCATAGGTGGCACCTTCTCTGTGTCCTCACATGGTGGAAGAGATGGGCAGCTCCTCTTTTATGAGGTCATTAATCCCATTCACCACCTCCTAAAGATTTCTACATACGAATTTTGGAGAGGCACAAACATCCAGACTGTAGCATCTGGATATCCTGTACAGAACATAACTGTTTTCTTTCACTTTGCATATTTGTTTTATTTTTGTTTTTCGCTTGCATATGTTTTATGGTGATTTGTTAACTTACAGCTCTCTGTTTAATCTGCATGTATAATTGTCATGTATCCCAAGAAGGCTTTTGTTTACCTTTTTTTTTTTTTTTGAGATGGAGTTTCCCTCTTGTCACCCAGGCTGGAGTGCAGTGGCACGATCTCGGCTCACTGCAACCTCCGCCTCCCGGGTTCAAACAATTCTTCTGCCTCAGCCTCCTGAGTAGCTGGGATTACAGGCACCTGCCACCACGCCTGGCTAATTTTTTGTATTTTTAGTAGAGACGGGGTATCACCATGTTAACCAGGCTGGTCTCAAACTCCTGACCTCAGGTGATCCACCCACCTCGGCCTCCCAAAGTGCTGGGATTACAGGGGTGAGCCACCGCACCTAGCCATCATTATTTATTATCCATTAATTCAACAAATATTTCTTTGTACCAGCTACTTAGGATTATCTTATTAGGCACAAAGAAAGGGGTAGCAACTTGGAGAATTGCTTCCCAGGTGGTCAGTGGTGAGCAGCCGAGAAGGCTGAAGTGCATGGGAAGGATGCATTCCTGGGGCATGTTTCCCAGAGACACTCACAACCCCTCAGGAAAGAAATCTTCCTGTGGAAGCACAAGGTAATGAGTGGAGTCAGTTAGCTGGGTATTAAAAGAAAGCGACCCCTTTGAAAGCCAGATAACATAAGGTCACACAGAAGTGCAGGTAAGCACGTCCTTTCAATCTATCATAACTGCTCTGCTACAGCAGCTGTTCTCCACCTTGACTGCAAACTGGAATCACCTAGGAGCTTTAAAAAATGCTGATGCAAAAATCCCTCTGCAGAGAGCTGAAATTCATTGGTCATGGTAAGGCCTGGGCATCCACATTTCTAAAGCTCTCCTGGCGGCCACAGTGTGCAGCTACGGCTGAGACCCATGGTTGTGAGAGGAAGGAACAAAGGTGCCCTGGAGGCTAAACCAGTCTGGGGATGGGTGTGGGAGGTATGTTAGGGGAGGGGCAGGAGCCCCAAAAGGAAGTGAGATATTTTCAACAAGGCGAGGCAGCCAGAAAGAGCGAGGAGGAAGGGTGGAAGGGGGTGAGGATGGCTTACACTGTCTTCCCCTCAGGGAATCTTTCAAACCAACTGGACATATGTTTTCTGCTAGAATGTCTGATTGGTGGCCCACAGATGCTCTGCTGAAACCCCTTCTGGTCCCAGAATTCTTGGACATTTTCCCACAGGTGTTCTTCCCTTAGTCACTTCCTGGTGAAGTGGCATCCTTTGTCTGGGGAAATACCCAAGATTCATTGTCTTATGCTAAGGAAATTGAAGTCACAGACACAGGAAATCGAAGACATGGACACACAAAAACTGGGTTTAACAGTGGAAGTTCAATAGTTGAAAGAAAGAAGAGAGAGCTTCCTTGTGCAGAGGGAGGGGGTGCGAGTGGGTCCGAGTGGGTTTCCGGGTTTGGGGCAAGATACGGTTGGTTTTACAGATGAGCTTGAAGAGGCAGTGTTTGATTTATATAGGGCATAGTGGATTGGTTGGGCCAGCTGTGCCATTTACATAGCCCACAAAGAGGCTGGCCATCCCACCCTAATCTTTTATTCTGCAGATGGGGTCTCTACCTGGCCAGCACCATGACACCTGCACACATGACGACAAAGAGAAGGGAGGAGGAACCTCCATATTGGATGTACTTGGCTTCCAGGTATCCCTTTTCTATTGGCACAGCTGCCGCATTCACCTGTGCAAGCTTCCAGCTTGCTAATCTACGCTTGCAGCTTGATTTTTCAGGCTTGTATCCTAACCACTCATATTTTCCATTCTTTTGTTTCTCTGTACTGTGCCCTGGATAATAACTTCTTTTTTCTTTAAAAAAGTGTAACAAGATCTTAAAATTCAATTTCAAAAATAATTTTTTATTTTATTATTTATTTATTTATTTAGAGATGGAGTCTCGCTCTGTCACCCAGGCTGGAGTGCAGTGGCACGATCTTGGCTCATTGCAGCCTCCACCTCCTGGGTTCAAGTGATTCTCCTGTCTCAGCTTCCCAAATAGCTGGGATTACAGGTGTGCACCACCACGCCTGGCTAATTTTTGTATGTTTAGTAGAGACGGGGTTTCACCATGTTGTCCAGGCTGGTCTCGAACTCCTGACCTCAGGTGATCCACCTGCCTCAGCCTCCGAAAGTGCTGGGATTACAGATGTGAGCCACCACACCCGGCCAAATTTTATTTCTATATACATGCAGCAAACATTGAAAAAAGTTTCAAAAAAGCAATCACAGATCTACCCTCCCTATGATGGTTAATTTTATGTGTCAACCAGCTAGACTGATTAGGTAAAATGCGAGTCTTGATGTTGGTGTGAAGGTATTTTTAAAGATGAGATTAACATTTAAATCCATAGATTTTTGAGTAAAGCAGATTACCCTCCATAATGTGGGTGAGTTTCACTTCTATCACTTGAAGGAAGGCCTTAAGAGAAAAGAAGCCTGAGGTCCCTTGAGGAGGAGTTAATTCTGCCTCCAGACTGCTTTTGCTCAAGCTGAAACATCCACTCTTACCTGGGTCTCTAGCCTGTTGGTCTGCCCTGCAGTTTTTGAACTTGCCAGCCTCCACAGTTCCTTCAAATAAATCTCTATGTTCATTCTATTGGTTCTGTTTCTCTGGAGAACCCTAATACCCTTCCTTTTCTCTTTCTTTTCTTTTTTTTCTTTCCTTTCTTTCTTTCTTTTTTTTTGACAGGGTCTCATTCCATCACCCAGGCAGGGCCGGAGGGCAATGGCATGAACATAGCTCACTGCAGTCTTGACCTCCTGGGCTCAAGCTATCCTCCCACCTCAGCCTCCTGAGTAGCTGGGACTACAGACACATGCCACCATGCCTAATTTTAAAACTTTTTGTAGAGAAGGGGTCTCACCATGTTGCCTGGAATGGTCTCAACTCCTGGGCCCAAGTGATCCTCCCACTTCAGCCTCCCAAAGTTCTGGGATTACAGAAGTGAGCCATTGTACCTGGAGACTCCCTTTTTTGCTCAGTTCTGTGTCTAATCTGTTGTTAAGCCTGTCCCCTGGCTTTTTAAACTTCCACAACTATACTTTTTATTTCTAGGTTTTTTTTTTTTTAATAACGGATCTGGCCCTTGACTGCAATTCTAGTTTTTGAAGCTTTAGACTGAGAGCTCCCAGATGACTGAGACCTAGTACCTAACACAGTGCCTGGTCAACAGCAGGCAGGGTCTAGGAAGTACTTGTGGAATGAGTGGACATCAAGATGGCAAACTAGAGCCTTTTTCAGTATCTAACAATGACACACAGGTAGTATCATGAACACATATAGTGCAACACAGAGTAAAACTTTAATGGAGCACCAGCAGCATATAAAACATATATAGGTAGAAAAATAAATTCAAAGTACTGCAAAGAATCCAAAAGTCCGTGCTCTGTGTAGCATTGAGCTGACCACCCTTGAGTTGAGGTCGATTTTCAGATCAGTCCATCCATAATCTGGTAGAATGTTACATCTACCAGATGTAACATCTCCATTCTTATTCCTCATTTTAAGTATTTCTGTTTCTCACAATTTTTTTTTTTTTTTTTTTTGAGATGGAGTCTCACTTTGTCACCCAGGCTGGAGTGCAGTGCCGCTATCTCGGCTCACTGCAACCTCCTCCTCCTCCTCCCGGGTTCATGCAATTCTCCTGCCTCAGGCACTCGAGTAGCTGGGATTATAGGCATGCGCCATCATGCCTAGCTAATTTTTGTATTTTTAGTAGAGACTGGGTTTCACCATATTGGCCAGGCTGGTCTTGAACTCCTGACCTCAAGTGATCCGCCTGCCTCGACCTCTAAGGTGCTGGTATTACAGGCGTGAGCCACTGTGCTCGGCCCTGTTTCTCACAATTAAAACATGATCTTATTTTAGTGATATAAAAGGCTGAAAATTACACTCTCAGTGGCCAACTTCTGAAAACATCATGAAAGCCTTTATAAGGCAGTGAGTTCCCAAATGGAGTATTTTTGCCAAGACAGCCTTTAAAATGTAGCTCTCTGGTGGCTAAGTCCAGGGTCTGGGAGTTCTAGATGTGGGGCTGGCTCAGATGGTCTTGGCCCTTGTTTGCTGCCCTGATCCCTCACTGAGGCAGATGTGAGATGGAGTACGTCACTGTGCCCAGCCGAGTGTGTTTCCTTCTCAGAGCCTAGCTTTGGGGCCCCTGCCCAGGCGGGGTCCCGAGGCTGCAGCTGTCACCAGGATTCTGCTTGCCGCTCTCAGAGTCTTCTGCAATGACACTTAGCTTGTCAAAAACATCATTCTCATCCGACAATGGAAAGGAGAAAAACAGAAGTGTGTTATGATGAGGATGGCCCAAAAACTGTGGAGGGAAAGAGGACAGTTAATGATCAATTTTCTCCATTTCTTTTTCTGGGTTTACAAAGATTTTTTCACAGAACTCCTGGCTGGAAAATCTATTTTATTTTATTTATTTATTTTTAATGTTTATTTTATTTTTTTGAGACAGAGTCTTGCTCTGTCACCCAGGCTGGAGTGCAGTGGCACGATCTCAGCTCACTGCAACCTCCACCTCTCAGGTTCAAGCAATTCTCCTGCCTCAGCCTCCCAAGTAGCTGAGATTACAGGCATGTGCTACCACGCCAGCTAATTTTTGTATTTTTAGTACAGATGGGATTTCACCATGTTGGCCAGGCTGGTCTTGAACTCCTGACCTCAGCTGATCCACCCACCTTGGCCTCCCAAAGTGCTGGGATTACAGGCGTGAGCCACGGCCTCTGGCATCTTTTGATTTATTATTTATTTTTATTTTATTTTTTTACAAGTGGGGATACTCACTGCTATACAAACGAAGATTTTTTTTTTTTTTTTTTTGAGATGGAGTCTCGCTCTGTCGTCTGGGCTGGAGTGCAGTGGCACAGTTTTGGCTCACTGCAACCTTTGCCTCCCAGGTTCCAGAGATTCTCCTCCCTCAGCCTCCTGAGTAGCTGGGACTACAGGTGCCCGCCACCATGCCTGGCTAATTTTTGTATTTTTAGTAGAGATGGGGTTTCACCACGCTGGCCAGGCTGGTCTTGAACTCCTGATCTCAGGTGATCAACCTGTCTCAGCCTCCCAAAGTGTCAGGATTACAGGTGTGAGCCACCATGCCCGGCCAATCTTTGGACTTTTTTTTTTTTTTTTTTTTTCAGACGGAGTCTTGCTCTGTCACCCAGGCTGGAGTGCAGTGGTGCGATCTCAGCTCACTGGAACCTCCACCTCTCGGGTTCACGCCACTCCCCTGCCTCAGCCTCCCGAGTAGCTGGGACTATAGGCGCCCACCACCTTGCCTGGCTAATATTTTTAGTAGAGACAGGGTTTCACAGCGTTAGCTAGGATGGTCTCGATCTCCTGACCTCGTGATCTGCCCACCTTGGCCTCCCAAAATGCTGGGATTACAGGCGTGAGCCACCGCACCCGGCCCAATCTTTGGACTTTTTAAAAATGTGGCTACTAGCAAATCTAAAACACACATGGCTTGCAATATGCTCTATCAGACAGAGCTGCCTTCTCACTTTTAATAGACACCAACTCTTCTCAGTTTGTGTCACCTGTAGCCAGGGCTCCTTAAGGGCAGGGACCACAGTCTAATAATCTTTGTCTCTCCGGTGCTTTGAACGATGAAGATGCCCCTATACATTTCCTGAAATCTCTGCTGGTTTCCCACTCTCCATTCTTCATCTTCCTAGGTCCACCAGTGCTCTTAATCTTCACAATTAGACGGAGAACCTTCTGTAAAGCTTTGCATCTTGAACCCTTTCCCTACAGATGGAACCCCTCTTAATGTCATTTCTACACTCAGCCTTCTGGTATGACTTAATGGAACCTGAGGGTAGCTCCACTACCTCCTGGCATGGACCTGTAGGGATTTTTCCCTTGTGGGTTTTGAGCAGCTGATGGAGGGTGGTGGGGTGCTCCTCTGTTGGGCCAGGAAGGAGGCTGGAGGGAAGGGGAACCTCTCTAAACTTTGGATCCAGTGGATTAATGAGAATGGACTGGAAGCTACTCTGGATTTTCCTGGGATAATGGGGACAGGAGAGATCAAAGGAAGGTGTATTAAATCTCAAGGAAGCAGTATCAGCTGAGTCTCCCGGTTGGACACACACACACACACACGCACACACACACACACACACAAACTGGTGGCTGGCTCAATAGATCAGTGTAGGATGAACCTCCCTAGTGCTTTTTTAACTCAAAGTCTCCATTCCTAGCAAATCTCCCTGAACTCGAAATGATCCTCTGGATCCTGGTTAATGGATTCTATCATTATGAGTCAAGCTGGAGAAAGTCGTGATGTGAGGACCTCGAACTGCTCCGTAGTTGCCTGGCCCTTCTCCAGCACCCTCCACTCCCATCTCTGATTTCTCAGATCTTACAGGGGCTGGCTCCACGGTCAAGTCTGCAAAGTCTTCTAGCCTCGGAGGTGAGAGCTTATGCCAGCAGGCCCCTCTACCGTTCATTCCGTCTGTTCTTTCCTGTCTGACCAGTTTCTCTGATGGTGAAGCCAGAAGCAAAAATAGCAGGTGAATAATTTTGTTTCCTTTTGGTTCTCAGTTAACACAACACCTTTTACCCAAGCAAAGGGCCCACCCTCATTCTTTGTTCTTCCTGCTGCAGCTGTGGCTTCTCAAAAGCTCATAGAGGATTCTTAGTTCATGCTGGTGCTGCAGTCTCCTTGGTACTTTTTTTTTTTTTTTGAGATCGAGTCTCACTCTGTCGCCCAGGCTGGAGTGCGGTGGCGCGATCTCTGCTCACTGCAACCTCAGCCTCCCGGGTTCAAGAGATTCTTGTGCCTCAGCCTCCTGAGTAGCTGGGATTACAGGCGTGGCTAATTTTTGTATTTTTAGTAGAGACAGGGTTTCACCATGTTGGCCAGGCTGGTCTCGAACTTCAGACCTCAAGTGATCTGCCAGCCTTGGCTTCCCAAAGTGCTGGGATTATAGGTGTGAGCCACCATGCTCGGCCTGGCACTCTCTGTAGGGGGTTCTAGTCGCTCTGAAACACTTGCCTATGGTCCTGTGCCCCACTTGCCATCGAGGGTAGATGCAGTGCTATGTTGCCCAGATCCCTTTTGTGGAGGAGGCGCTTGTTCCCCCAGCCTCCAGGAATATCGGAGGCTGAAATGGCTCACAGCTGAGTCCCTTTCTAGGCTGTGCCCTTCCCAGAAGGCAGTTGCCTCGGTCAAGGCTCTGTGCCCTTGCCAGAGGCAGCCTGCATCAGCTGACTGGTGGTGCGGGGACAAGGGCCTGATATTAGCTATCACAACAATACATTAATAGGACCAGACACGCCAAGAAGTGGCAAGGCATTGGTGAGGCACACACACTGCAGAGGGTGAGAAACTCACCCTGTAGAGATTCAGGGACCTGCCACATCTGTGATATTTGAGGGGACCCTTGCAGTGGGGCATGCCAGGACATCCTCTTTAAAGGACCAATTATTGTATCTTGCCCCTCCCACCACTAGGAAGGAAGCATTGTGCTGTGGAGGCCTCAGGGTTCTGGAGGCAGCATGTTCCACGCCTAGGAATACTGACTGTTCCAATATGTTTATCAAACCACACAGGAGGCTGCTGGCACGGAGGGGCCCCAGGCAGGAAAGGGCCCTGCAGAAGGTATGGGCCGTGCAGCCTGCAGCCCTATGCACACCTCAGGACTGGTACATTACCCACCAGGGACGGCCTGTGAATCCAACCTGGGGAATGTGTGACTTCGCATATCCTTGAAGTGTCTGGGGTGGGAAAAGATGCTGGGTGGAGTTTATGGCAAATCCCAAGAGGAAAGTCACAACATAGATACGAGAGTTCTGGGGTCAGGCGGGGCCATCTGCAGCAGATAATTGTACTCTGTTTGAAAAAGCAGCTCCTGGGACGCTATGGGGTCCCGGCAGAGACAGAGCTTCTGACGAGGGACGCGAGGTGATGGTGCTGCCCAGAAGTGACCATCATGAGGCCTGAGACCCAGTAGGTCCTGAGATGGGGTCAGAGGGTGCATGTTGGCCACATGCAGGTGGCTCGGACTCCTGTCCCCTCTACCCCTGTCGCACCGTGTCTGTGTCTGCTCACATGATGACCATAAAGGGGGATGGGTAATTATGCCTAGCAGAAGTAGGAGGAAAGGCCGGCCTGGTTTCATGGCAAGGTTAGCATGGTATGTGGGCACACACCGAAAGTGGCCCGCTGCTGCACTTCAGCCCCAACCAGGGAGAAAGTGTCCCCACGGGCAGAGCTTTGGGCCGTGGGTCTGATCATCACCTTTATGTGGAAAGAAAAGCAGCCCAAGATCAGGCCAGCTGTGGGATCCCAGGCAGGGGTTAGTGACAAGCCTGGTGGTCAGGGGCCCTGGGGAAGGAAGACTGGAAGGTTAGGGACAAGGACGTTTGGGAAGAAGGATGGACCTGAGGGAGTAGCTGGAGCGTGGAGATTTCTGCATCCCATATTAACTCCCACTGAGAGCATGTATCATAGACAGCAGACAGCCAGGGAGACATGATGACACAGCCAGTGGATGTCAGCCAGCCTCTGCCACTGGTCACCTGTACATGGCACAGGGCTCATGAACACAGCAGCCGTGGTGGCAGGGATGGAGGCTGCGCGTGGGCCTGAAAGAAGGGGCTCCCACTCCCACGGCTGGGTAGCCACCACTGCTGTGGAATGTCCAACCTGCCTGCGACAGAGATCAATGCTGAGCCCCTGATATGACGGCATTCCCCGAGGAGACTGACCAGCCACCTGGTAGCAAGCTGATGACGTCGACTCTTGCACCACTCTGGAAGGGGCAGTGGTGCATCCTGGCTGGAGCTAACCTTTAGTTTAGGAGTGATTTGCTGTTCGTGTCCTGCAGGGCCTGTCAGGATTCCCAAGGTTTCACAGGTGTTTTCTCTCCTGGTAGAGGATCCTGTTAGGTGTTGAATTCTGTTCCTACAAAATTCATGTTCTGGGCCAGGCGCTGTGGCTCACGCCTGTAATCCCAGCACTTTGGGAGGCCAGGGCGGGCAGATCACTTGAGGTCAGGAGTTTGAGACCAGCCTGGCCAACATGGGGAAACCCTGTCTCTACTAAAAACACAAAAATTAGCCGGGCGTGGTGGAGGGCACCTGTAATCCCAGCTACTTGGGAGGCTGAGGCAGGAGAATCACTTGAACCCAGGAGGCGGAGCTTGCACTGAGCCGAAATCATGCCACTCCACTCCAGCCTGGGTGACAGAGTGAGACTCCGTCTCCAAAAAAAAAAGAAATTCATATGTCCTAATCCCTCTACCTCAGAATGTGACTGTATTTGGAGATAGGGTTGCTGCAGAGGGGATCAGTTAAGTTAGAATGAGGGTATAGTGGAGCAGGGTGAGCCCTCCTCCCGTGACTGGTGTCTGTATAAAGGAGGGGCAATGTGGACACAGACACTCACATAGGGAGAAGGCTTGTGAAGATCAAGGCAGAGACTGGGTGATGCCTCTAGAAGCCAAGGAACGCCAAAGATCGCCAGCAACCCTCAGAAGTTAGGGTAGAGGCCTGGGACAGATCCTCCCTCACAGCCTCCAAGGAAACCATCCTAGTGACACCTTGATTTTGGACGTCTGGCCTCGAGAACCGTGAGAGAATCAATTCCCGTTGTTACAGCTGCGCAACGAGTGCTACTTTGCTACAGCAGCCCCGACAAACTAGTAGAGACGCCGTATCACATGGTGCCAGACCAATGGGCCCACTGACAGTGAAGGCGGGACCCCCCTGGTCGTATCCCACCCTGCACCACCCAGCAGCTGCCAGACTGGAAGAAGGACGGAGCGGCCTGTTGAAAGTGCAGGGGAGGCGCCAGCTTGGAGATGACACCTGGTGAGGGCAAGGCATTGTCCTCCAGCCCCTGGCATGCACCCAAGACCAACAATCATGTGGGGCTGTGTCCCCAGCAGGTGGAACACCTGCGTCAGGAAGCAAGCGCAGGGCAGGAGTGGCCCTGTTCACCCTCATCATGCCCAGTGACCTACTGGGGAAACCGCTGCTCCCTGGCCTTGTGATTTGAGGCTCTGTGGGTCTAGGGCAGGGCCAGCAAACAAAGGCCCACGGGGCAGATCCGGCCTACCACTTGTTTTTTCACATGGCTTTCGGATTTTTAAATGATTATATTTAAGTGGTTATATAAGTGACTACATAATTTTGATTTTTATTTCTTGCCAACAGAACCTCAAATATATATATATAAATTTTAAAATTTTTTAAATTTTGAGATGGAGTCTCGCTCTGTTGCTCAGGGTGGAGTGCAGTGGTGTGAGGGATCACTGCAACTTCCACCTCCCGAGTTCAAGCGATTCTCCTGCCTCAGTCTCCCGAGTAGCTGGGATTACAGGCATGCGCCAGCATGCCGGGTTAATTTTTGTATTTTTGTATTTTTTTTTTTTGAGACGGAGTCTCGCTCTGTTGCCCAGGTTAGAGTGCAGTGGCGCGATCTTGGCTCACTGCCAGCTCCGCCTCCCGGGTTCACGCCATTCTCCTGCCTCAGCCTCCCGAGGAGCTGGGACTACAGGCGCCCGCCACCACGCCTGGCTAATTTTTTGTATTTTTAGTAGAGACGGGGTTTCACCATGTTAGCCAGGATGGTCTCGATCTCCTGACCTTAGGTGATCCACCCACTTCAGCCTCCCAAAGTGCTAGGCTTACAGGCATAAGCCACTGTGCCTGGCCTTCTAAAATATTTTTTACCTGGCCCTTTAAGAAAAAGTTTGCTGACACCTGGTCTAGAAGGTTCCCAGAGTGGGAGCATTTCTACCAGGGGACATGAAACAAGGCCCGATAAACTTTAAGCCACCTCCTCAGGCCAAGAGACTGGCAGGCAAGAGAGAAGTCACCACTGTATCACAGTGGGTACCCGCCAGAGTCACTGGGCACCTCCTGGGACTCCCCTGCCCGATTTTGACAGCAAATTGACAAGTGCAGGGACAGGCCATTGCCTGAGATGGGCTTGGGGACCGGAGGCTCAGTGCTTTCTGGGATGAGGGCTGGGTCACCCAATCAGGTCAGCAGCCCCTACAGCACAGGCTCCTCCCGGGAGAGGAGAGCGGGCCCTCAGGGCAGCGGAGGAAGGAGCCAGCCCACAAGCATTCCTTTGTGGTCCCGACACCAGCAGCAGCGGTGGGGGCTGGAGTGCATTCCACTCATCTTCCTCCTGTAACCCTCCCCAGGAAACGAGATCAACTCAGATCCTGGAGGAGCTGCTTCCAGTAGATCCAAGTGGTCCCAGGGGTGACTGTAATGGAGGCTGTGGTGCCTTCAGGAATGAGGCACTCGTGCTCCTAGCTCCTGGCTGCTGCTGTCTCACCTCTCACCCTAGCTTAGGGCCCCTTCCTGGGAGTAGCCCACATCCAGCGCATGGCCAATGTGGAGTTCACACGCCCATCCCTCTTGCCTCAGCTTAGGACATCTCTAAAGGGCCACCCCAGCTCGAGAGGCCACATGGGATTGGCTGAGGCCTCTGTTGTGGCTGTGTGACAGCTCAACCTCTCTCTGCCACATCTGGCTACCTTCACTCCTTTAGGGTATTATTCCCAAGGATGTTCCCCATCAAGCCTTTTGAATACAAATCTCTATCTTAGAGTCTGCTTCCTGGGAAATGAGACCAAAGATAGTTCCTTTGGGTCCGGGCTTGGAATCTTTTCATTCTCTAGTGTCAGTGACTATCCAGAGTTTCATTTCTTAGGGCTTCTTCAGTCCTGTTATCATTAGTCAGGTGCATTGTTTCTTCTTCCTAACCCTTTTACAAATAGCCTTCCTAAAGTCCAGGAAACACTACCCAGAATTTCAATCGCTCTCGTATATTCCAAAACTGGAAATGTTCCTTTCTTTCCTCCCATTCTCTCCCTCTGGTGATTTCCTGGCATTTAGCCTCCAGTTTTCTCTTTCTTCCACACTGAGCTCTGTTTTTCCCCTCCTGCCCTAGAACCATCACCTTTGCTCCTCAGGGACCTGGGGCTTTGGGCAGTGAAGGCTGGAGAAGGAGCGATGCCCTAGGTGCAGAGAGGGATACTGGACAACCCCGCGCCCCTTTCCTCGGGGCTGTTCCTTCACCTGACATGGTTACAAGAGAATGGACCAGCACACAAGAGGCGTGTCTGTGTGTGTGTGTGTGTGTGTGTGCGCGCGCGCGTGTGTGTTTTCCTGGAAAACATGTTGTCTGGAATTGGGCAGCCCTAACTAGAAAGGAAAGCTCTTTCCGATCAAGGTTTTCAAATCCACATCTCACTCCATCCTACCTACCTCTTTCAGGTGCTGTGGAAGAGAATTCCTAGGGGAGAAGGCGTACTTTGTCTTCTTGTAAACGCACCACAGCAAGGCGAAGCAGCCGAGGAGTGCCAGGCAGACCATGAAGACCGAGGCCATGAGGATGACGGCCACCATCCAGGAGGGGACCGTTTCTGCCAGGGGTAATGGGCATGTTACATTCTTGTCACAGGTCGGGTCACAGTGATCCCAAGAGCATTTTAACCATCACAATCCCTGAAAACAGAGCCTGTACGTTTATCTTGGGGGACGTCTCAGAAACAGCAACTGGTTGGAGGACCCAGAGGTTTTTGAAGAGTTTCACCCTTTTCCTATCTTCTCCAAAGTTTGGTTTCTGGAATTATTGCTGACATACATCAAAAGAATAACAAGCAAGAATTCTGATCCACTGTACCTACTACTGGCAGTGTAGCAATGGGCCTCCCAGGTCTGGATATACCACTTCTGCCTTGACACAGCAAGTGATACTCCCCTGGACACCTGAGCCTGAGTTAAACACAGGCACCATCTCGTTCTATATTGAGAAAAACAGAAACTCTGCGTGAACAACTCTATCCAAACCCCTGCACTAAGCCAGGTGTGGTGGCTCACACCTGTAACCCCAGCACTTTGGGAGGCCGAGGTGGGAGGATCACTTGAGCCCAGGAGTTTGAGACCAGTCTGGGCAACATAGTGAGACCCCTTCTCTACAACAAAAAAAATTTTTTAAAAATTAGCTGGGTATGATGGCAGACACCTGTAGTCCCAGCAATTTGAAAGGCTGAGGTGGGAGGGTCGCTTGAGCCTGGGAGGTCGAGGCTGTGATAGTGAGCTATGATTGTACCACTGCACTCCAAACTGGGCGACAGAGTGAAACCCCGCCTCAAAAACCAAAACCAAAGCCAAAACAAACAAACCCCTGCACTAAGAGACTTGGCCAAACCCCAGCATAGCTTCTAGCAGGCCAAGGCCACACCCTTGAATTCCTGTCTGGAAAAACCCAAGGCTGCCTAAGGAACTTACCATTTGTTCTTCCCAGCCCCTGATGCGAGGCCTTGACCTCTCTTTCGGAGAGCATTTATTAAAAAGGGCTTATAGTGGTGAATCCTTCCTCTGTCCCTTTGAGACATGTATGTATCTCCCACAACGCAGGGATATTTTTCTCAATGATCTGCGAGCCATTCTTTTGAAATCATCAGGAAGTACAGGGCCTCTGTCTCCCTGTCTCTGTGGGAGGGTAGAAGCCTAGCCTTGATAAACACCGGTTCACAGACACAGAGGGCCTCACGGCACTGACCCATCCCCTTAGCTGATTTAAAATTTTTTTCACTTCCCTGATTCTGCTCAACTCCCCACGCATTCTTTCTTTCTACTCCCTCATTCTCCTTTTATTTATTTTCATTTTTGAGATAGAGTCTTGTTCTGTTGTCCAGGCTGGAGTACAGTAGTGCAAACACAGCTCACTGCAGCCTTGACTTCCAGGACTCAAGTGATCCTCCCACCTCAGCCTCCTGGGTAGCTGGGACGACAGGCATGTGTCACCATGCCCAGCTAATTTTTAAAATATTTTATAGAGATGGGGGTCCCACTATTTTGGCCAGGCTGGTCTCGAACTCCTGGGTTCAAGCGATCCTCCTGCCCCGGCCCTCGTTCTCCCTTTAAAACACCTCTGAGTAAATGGAACTCGGCCCTTTTCCCAACTCCAGTCATTACTGAATAAAATGTTTTGACTGCTTTAATTAGCGTCCTGCTTTGCTTATCTTTGACAGAGTCCAGGATGTCACCTGGGTTGCTCGTGGTCCCAGCTCCCCTTGTTCGGCTCCAGGTCCCTCCTCCAGCTGCCCTGGCCACCTGATTTCTCTGTGCCCATCCCCTGCCAACCAGCACCGCCCTCACGAGCACAGCATTTGGCTCTGAGAGGGGCCAAGAGAACAAACACTGCCCATGAAGATCATGTCGTTTTAAAGGGACACAGGGATCAAAGAGCCCTGACACAGCACATGACCCTGGAGCTACAGCAAGTGCAGTCACCTGCTGGCACGACATGGTGCTTGTCACAGTGCGTGGCTCACAGTGCACACTCCTTAAACGTCTGAGGGATGGAAGTGGCATCTGTATGAGGGAAGCGGCTGGAAGGACCTGAGCACTTGTGCCGCCCCCAACCCCATGGCCCTCGTTCTCTTGTGCTTTCATTCCCGCAGGCGGCCTCCCATCTCCCCAGCTCCTGTCCTTGCGGGTTTCAGCACTCCTTATCCCAGTTCTTGGTTCTTGTTTGTTTCATGCACCGGAGCCCAGAAGCGGTGCCGTCTGGCCCACACTTCCAGCATGTTCAGCTCAAACATGTGAGTCTGCTCTTGGTGATTCCAGGGTCATACGGCAGTGAGCTGGCTGGAGCGGCCCCCAGTCCACACCACAGCTGGACACGTGAGGTCTCCTTGGGATTTGACATCCCAGGTCTTGAGAAAGTTCCAGGCTCCTACTCATCCATCCATCCTTCCATTAATATTTCGGTAGTTCTCTAATTTGGCGCCCGGAGACTCATTCAAACAGGGATCCATGGGCCCCGCCCTGTTATTTTATTTTGGGTAATGAACCTCTGGGGCAGTGCTTGGGTCTCCTGGTGTCTCAAACTGGGGCATCTTAGCATCTTAAACAAGGACACATCTGGGTGATGGTGACATGATTCAAGGAATGCTTTTGTTACTCACCCCAGATGGAGAGTTCCACAGGGGGCAGGAGAGAGGACCCTGCTCTGCATAGGTTGTGAACTGTGGGAGAATCTACTAATCTACATCCTCCGTGTAAAGTTCTCTAACTTGTTTCAGATTCATCTGACCACACCATGAGGCAGACTACTCTTTCCTGTTTTATCCACAAGGACACGGTGCCTCAGTTTACCTATGGAATTAATCTATAGGTAGTAAGTTACAGGAAACATAACCTGGGCTTAGATGAATGAGCCTGTGTTCTGGTTGATCCTTTTCATTTACTAGCATTTGGGCAAGTTACTTAACCTCTCTGTTTTAGGCTGTTTTTGCACTGCTATAAAGAAATAACTAAAACTGGATGGCTGGGCATGGTGGCTCATACCTGTAACCCCAGCACTTTGGGAGGCTGAGGTGGGTGGATCACTTGAGGTCAGGAGTTCGAGACCAGCCTGGCCAATATGGCGAAACCCCACTCTCTACTAAAAATAAAAAAATTAGCTGGGTGTGGTGGTGGGCACTGTAATCCCAGCTATTCAGGAGGCTGAGGCAGTAGAATTGCTTGAACCCAGGAGGCGGAGGTTGTGCCAAGATCGAGCCACTGCACTCCAGCCTAGGCAACAGAGTGAGACTCCATCCAAAAAACAAATAAACAAATAACTAAAACTGGGTAATTTATAAAGAAAAGAGGATGAATTAGCTCATGAATCTGCAGGCTGTACAGGAAGCATAGCGGTATCTGTTTCTGGGGAAGCCTCTAGAAGCTCCCAATCATGGTGGAAAGCTAAGTGGGGGCAAGAGAGAGCAAGATGCCACATACTTTTAAACCGCCAGGTCTCTCAGGAAGTCACTCACTCTCGGGAGGACAGCACCAAGGGGATGGTGATAAGCCATTCATGAGAAATGGGCCCCCATGATCCCGTCACCTCCCACCAGGCGCCACCTCCAGCACTGGGGATTACATTTCAGCGTGAGATCTGGATGAGGGCAACATCCAAAGTGCATCACTCTCTGAACCTTCATGTTCTAGTTTGTAAAATGGGAGAAGATCCTTCTAATGCTCTCATTGAAAACTTGTGGGATTTAAATGGGATAGGTGTGTTTTAAGAAAAAATGAAAATGGTGTTTGATGAAAGCAGGTTTTCAATGGCTCATACCCTTTTGTTTTGTAAAATGTTTGGATTTTGTCAGTTCATGGGTGATTACTGGTATTTGCAAGCTATTTGAAATGTTTTCTTTTCTTTTTTTTTTTTTTTTGAGGCAGGGTCTCACTCTTATTGCTTAGGCTGGAGTGCAGTGGCATGACCTCAGCTCACTGCAGCCTCTGCCTCCTGGGTTCAAACGATTCTCCCACCTCAGCCTCCCAAGTAGCTGGGATTACAGGTGTGCGCCACCACACCTGGCTAAATTTTGCATTTTTGGTAGAGACAGGGTTTTGCCATTTTGGCCAGGCTGGTCTCAAACTCCTGACCTCAGGTGATCCGCCCGCCTCGGCCTCTCAAAGTGTTAGGATTACAGGCGTGAGCCACCACGTCCGGCAGACATGTTTTTCTTTTTGATCAAACTGCATGCCGCATGCCATGTTTCATCCTTCCATTGTCTGAGCTTGCTGAACCCTTCACCAACATCTTTAAATTATAGGAAGGCCTGCTGTTTGTATGCAGACACCTGGGCCTCAGTTTTCACCAACATGCAACTGCAATGTGTCTGCACATAAATATGCAGTGTTTAGGCCCATGGGAACCTTCTCTCTTTCCTTCTCCCGTTCCTTCCTCCAAGCTAGAAGTGATCCATATGGTGTGTGAAGGACTGTGTTGACATCCTGGATTCCTGCATATAAGGGGCCCTGAATCAGGCAGCACTGGCTGAGGACCGTGGTCAGATTTCCTGACACTTGCTTCCCATCACATGTCGGCAGTGGCTGGAGATGTGCCGCCTGGGGAGGAAAGACCTTTGGGGTATGTGACAGGGCTTGAGCTCTGCTGGTGGTCTTGGGAGGACTGATGAGCCTTGCTTTAGGGAGCCTGGGATGGTAGAATAAGTACTGCCAAGGGGGGCTCATGGAGGCAGACCTCGCTCCACCAGACAGAAAAGGTTTCTAGCAACTCCTTTGATCTAAGAGTGAATGAGCTGCCTCAGAAGCGGGTGTGGTCTCCTTCCTAGCATGAAGCTGAGCAGTCAGGGCTGAGAGATAATGTCAGGGCGATAGATTTCTGAACTGAGCTGGAATTTGAGTTGGATGCAATCATGTCTAGGGCAGGTGTCTATAAAGCTGTTTAGGATGCTTAGCGGAGGTGCATCTCAGGGCTTACCGTCATGGGTTGTTTGCTCACAGACAGGCTCACTCCATTCCCCAGCTTTGTTCCGATCAGGAAGAAACCCTCGAACTTGAACACAATAAGTTGTCCATGGCTCCAGGTTTCTGAGGACCTCAAAGTCATACTGGGGAGTAATTTGAAACTAGTAATGGAGACAAAAATAAGAACATGACTAAGCAGTGGAAGGGCACCACCTTTTTTTTTTTCACATTTATCAGTGATAATAGCCGTTTTAGACTTAAAATAGGAAGGAGCAGGTAGCAGGTGCTCCTCTCAGTTCAGGGACCCTGAGGCCACTCAGGGGGTGCATCAAGGACTGACAGTGGTGCCCACAAACCATTTTGGTTCCTGAATTCTCCAGCTTAAATGACACACAAGCCATCACTTCTTTTTTAAAAAAGATAAAGCAGGCCGGGTGTGTTGGCTCGTGCCTGTAATCACAGCACTTTGGGGGACTGAGGAGTTTGAGACCAGCCTAGTCAACATGGCAAAACCCCATCTCTACTAAATATACAAAAAATTAGCCGGGCGTGGTGGCGCACGAGAATCGCTTGAACTTGGGAGGTGGAAGTTGCAGTGAGCCAGGATCACCCCACACTGCACTCCAGCCTCGGTGACAGAGCGAGACTTTGTCTCAGAAATAAAGAAAAAAGTAAATAAATAAATAAAATAAACTGGTCTTTTAATTATTATTTTTTTTGAGATGGAGTTTCACTCTTGTCGTCCAGGCTGGAGTGCAGTGGCACGATCATGGCTCACTGCAACCTCCGTTGCCAGGCTCAAGCAATTCTCCTGCCTCAGCCTCCCGAGTAGCTGAGAATACAGGTGCACACTACCACACTCAGCTAATTTTTTTTTGTATTTTTGTAGAGACGGGGTTTTGCCATGTTGGCCAGGCTTGTCTTGAACTCCTGACCTCAGGTGATCTGCCCACCTTGGCCTCTCAAAGTGCTGGGATTACAGGTGTGAGCCACCACACCCAGTCGCAATTGGTTAGTTCTTTTTTGGGGTTGGGGTCGTTGACAGCATGCCTATATGCCTCTACTGCATGAGGAGCTAAGCCCATGGAGGTCAATAATTGGATTAGACTTATGGAATATATGAAGAAAATGGTTTAACTTCTAATAAGTAAATTAAAAGACCAAAAGCAAATCAAAGCAACAACTGAAAAAAATGGCGGGCTTGCAGTTCCAGAAGTCCAGTGCCTCTAAAACCTTACAATGCAAATTTTTTCAAAGATTAAACTCAGAGGCAAGCAGGTAAGGTGGTGGCATAGTAGTAGAGGGACCTTCTCAATCCCTGCTGGGGCTTTTTCTGCCCTTTCACGTCTGGGCAACTTCTGGTTTTATCTTCTCACTTTCTCCCAACAGGAAGAAAGAATTCTCAAAAGCCCTTCATGCTGTGAGTTTAGGGACCTAGTCTGGCACCGCCTCAGGAATCTCTACATTCTAGAGGGGAACCATATAAGCCTGTATTGATAGAAAAATTAGCGGGGTGTGGTGGCAGATGCCTGTAATCACAGCTACTTGGGAGGCTGAGGCAGGAGAATTGCTTGAACCCAGGAGGCGGAGGTTGCAGTAAGCTGAGATCGCACCGCTGCTTTCCAGCCTGGGCAACGACAGACTGTGACTCTGCCTCAAAAAAACCCCCAAAAAACCTGTATTGGTGGCATCACAGGCACCTGTGAGAGGAGCAGTGCAGCAGGCAGCCTTTCCACACTCGGTAAGTCACACAGAAGGTTGCCACACAACTGGCCGAAGAGAGAGGACAAATGTGTAACCAGATGCCCATGTTGTGGGCATGTGTGAGAAAAGAAGCTAAACAGTAAGTGGAGTTTGCATTCACACTTGCCTCAGGAGGCACCTGACCCTGCTCACTGTAAAACTAGATCCTTAATTGAGGTCTGTTGCTAGCTCCCGGAGGGGAGCAATCTGCTCTTATCTTTATACCCCAGGGCTTAGCAGAGATGCCTGCATTTGATCAGTGATTGTGAGTATCAGAATTCATATGCTGAAACTTAACTGTCACTATGATAGGACTCAGAGGTGGAGGTTTTCAGAAGTGATTAAATAATGAGGGCAGAGCCTTCCTGAATGCCATTGGTGACCTTAGAAAAGAGCAGCAAGGGAGCTGTTTACATCCTTGCCCTTTGCCTTCCACCATCTAGGAGGCAGAGCACGCCAGTGCTCACCAGACACTGAATCTGCTGGTGCCTTGATCTTGGACTTCCCAGCCTGCAGAACTGTGAGAAATAAATTTCTAGTGTTTATAAGTTACCTAGTCTGTGGTATTTTGTTGTGGCAGCAGGAAAGGACTAAGACACTGCATCATTTAATGGAACATTTTTTGGGGAAAAAAATTAACTTGAGATTTTTTGGGCTATGCAGTGTGTGTATATAAATTTAACTACATCATTCCTAAGATAATAAACATGGGTGATCCCTTCTTCCCAAACACTTTGAGAATTAAGTGGTAAAATCAACATTTAATGTGGAAGGGATAACATATATGTAATATGACATACATAACATATATATGTCAGTTTAGGACCATGAATGGCATTCAGCTCAGAAGCATTAGGTGTCAGAATAAACCTTGACCAAGGATGAATAAAAATAACCTTAACATGTCTAGCAAAGAGGAAGGAAACCTCATGTACTGATGTACTGACCATATATACATCATTCCAGGCAATGGGATGAGTTTATATTTTCTATTATTTCATTAAATTCCCCAACAATCTTACGAAGTAGGTTATTATCCTTGTTTTATTAATAAAGTAAGTTATTATGCCCATTTTGCAGACTTGAGGAGGCTGGGGTCAAGAAAGTGACCAATGGCACATGGTGGCACGGGTGATATTCCGATCAGATCTTTTGACTCCAAGCCCATGTTTTTAAAGAAATTGTCCCCTGAAGAATAGAGCAACAAGGGGCTGTCTTGACCACGGACGTCCCTGATTTGCGGTGTGTGTGGGACACAGGGGTTGATGTCATGGGACAGTTGTCAATTTGCTGATCACCTAATTCAGCCAGCTCCAAGTTCCCTTAGCTAACTCTGACTCAACTGTGCCTTCCCCTGCAGCTGCCCTTCAGGGAGGGAAAGGTCTGCTGTCACTGTGCAGACTTTGTCCTGAAAGTCTGCTCTACACATATCCCTTAGGAGTCTGGGAAGCTTGAGCCAGAGATACCAGTAACCCCTCAGTCTGGGAAGCTCTTGGCTTACAGAGGACCAGTCCATAAGGTGCTGCCACCTTGCAAGATTCTGCAAAGAATATGAAAGCCTACTACCTCTGAAATGCAATTAGCCAACCTTACCTTTTCATCAGTACCGTTTTTCCAGTATTGCACATTATAAGTCCATGAGTTATACACATTCTTCATAGTCCAAGTTTCGTATTCATTCTCAATTTTAGGGGCTAAGAAACGCATATGTAAAGAATCAGCAAGTACTTCTACTTGCATTCCAGGGGGTCCAATAATGGCTAAGCAGAAGAACAAGCAAAATGACAATCAAAAATCACATTTTAAAAACTTCAACATTAATTTTTCATAACCATGCAGAACAATTAGTCCACGGAAGTACACTGCTTTGATATACTATTGTCATGACATTGATTGACATGGCTAAGAAGGGTAGTTGGATTTAGTTTCTTTTAAAAAATCTGATAATCTTTGTCTTTCTTAATGAAGTTTAGTCCACTTATGTTTATTGTGGTTTCTGATACATTTGGAATTATTCCAGCTACGCTATTTTGTATTTTCTATAAGGATTTCTTTTTAAATTTCTATTTTATGTTTTTGGTGTCTTCTCCTCTTTTATTCCTGCTTTTTGTTGGCTTGAATTTTATTTCCTTTTTCAGGATGGAAGCTACAGATGGCATCTCTATTATTTTTAGTGGCCACCTTTACATGTTTAACATATATAATTAACCATATATATTTCCAACAATGTCTAAAGCTGTTTCCCTTCTGAATGCTCTTTTACTAGATATTCATGTGGCTGGCTCCTTCACTTCATATGGGTCTCTGCTCAAATGCTACTTCCTCAGAGAGACTGTATCTTACCATTCTATGTAGAAGTGCAGCTCCCATTACTTTCTGTCCTATTGCCTTGCTTCAGTCTTCTTAAGAACCATAGTCACTACCTGTCATGTAATATGTATCTATTTATTTATTATCTGTATTCCTGATTAGCACATATATGCTCCATGAGGTATTTTGTCTCGTTCATTGTTGTAGCTTCAGTGCTCAGAATGCAGCTGTTACACAGATGTACTCAATAATAACTATAGAATGATTCATAAATGGTTCCAGGCAATCATGGTGTTTGAGTTATGTCCTGTATTCTTCTTTGGCTGCTGTTACTTTTTCAGGGCTGTTAATGGACCTGCTTCCATCATTCTAAAGTGCTCGTCTGAAAACCAGACAAGAAAACTTGTTGGAATACTTTGCCAAAGCAAGTATAAATAGGTTATGCATGATGCCTGGAAACACTTTCCTATCACTAAAATACATAGACTTCAAGAGGCAAATCTCCAATATTGGGTAGTAGTTGCTAAGAGCACAGAAGCAAGAGCCTGGGTCTGAATCCTTGCTCAGCCACTCATGACCTGTATGACTTTTTGACAAGCTGCTTAACCGTGTTGTACCTAGGCTCTAAAGGGAACTTCCATGGATGGGAGCTAACAGGATTTGGGACAAGTTAGGACCTGGTAAGCCAGTTAGCAATTATAGGAGCAAAAACTTGTACTTTTAACTATTGTGAAACTTACTTTTCTGTTCATCTTTCCTTTGTTTTTGTAAAGGTACCATTAGAAAATATAATCTAACTTTGATAATTTATGATTCCAAAAGTAAGACGTTTTTACCCAGGCTTGGGATGGAATTGGGAAAGGGAAGAAAGGCATCCTAGCATCATTCTCTACCAGGGAGGATGTAACTGTAGGGGTCATGGGGGTCCAGAGCAGGGACCGGCATAAAGACCACTCCCCATATAGAGACACTTCTTTTTTTGAGATAAGACTTCACTCTGGTCACCCAGGCTGCTGGAGTGCAGTGGTGTGATAATGGCTCACTGCAGCCTTGACTTCCCAGGCTCAGATGACTCTCCCACCTCAGCCTCCCAAGTAGCTGGGACTACAAGCACACTCCACCATGCCTGGCTAATTTTTTTTTTTTTTTTTTTTTGGTATTTTTTTTGTTTTTTGTAGAGACAGGGTTTCACCATGTTGCCCAGGCTGGTCTTAAATTCCTGGGCTCAAGGACAAGTGTGGTGGTTCATGTCTGTAATCCCAGCACTTTGGGAGGCTGAGGCAGGTGGATCACTTAAGGTCAGGAGTTCAAGACCAGCCTGGCCAACATGGTGAGACCCCGTCTCTACTAAAAATACAAAAAAATTTAGCTGGGCATAGTGACAGGCACTTGAAGTCCCAGCTACTCAGGAGGCTGAGGCACGAGAATCATTTGAACCCTGGAGGCAGTTTGCAGTGATCTGAGATCGCGCCACTGCACTTCAGCCTGGGTGTCAGAGTGAGACTTTGTCTCAAAAAAAAAAAAAAAAAAAAAGAAAGAAAGAAAGAAAAAAAGAAAATTCCTGGGCTCAAGTGATCCACCACCTCAGCCTCCCAAAGTGTTGGGATCATAGACGTGAGCCACCATGCCTAGCCAGAGACAATTCTTTTAGTGCTTTTCTCTATGTGAGTTTTGAAGGGCTGTATGTGAATTTTGTGAATTAGGTTCTTTTAACCTCTAATCTTCTTTACTCTCTCAATTGCTAATATATGGTTTAATTAGTTTTCAATTCCTGATATTCTAAATATGCTCATCTCATATTTAGGGGACTCTGGTGGTCACCATGACCCTCCAAATCTAACCTGGGAACAATATTTTTTTTTTTTTTGAGACCAAGTCTCACTCTATTGCCCAGGCTGGAGTGCAGTGGCGTGATCTCGGCTCACTGCAATCTCCACCTAACCTGGGAACAATTTTTGATGCTGACCAACCAGTCTGACCCAACCCACCTGCCATCAGCCCTATCCCTCCCTCTGTCCTTCGCTCTGGGCAAGCCGGCTGTCCGCATCATATTTTCCATCTCTACATCTGCCTTCATTCTTTTGCCTATCACGTTATGTTTCTTTGTTTAAGTCATAATTCCATACTGACTTTCTCCCAGAAAATTCACCACAAGAATCCTTCCAGAACTTCTCCTCAACAGCACGGGCCCCAACATAGTCACATCCTTGAGGCACTGAAGGTGTTAGATTTATATTTAATTGTTGCATTGATGATATGCCTATCTTTTTCTGTCTCTCCCATGAATTCTTTAGGGATACAACTCTCTTTATTATATTCCTTAAGCTCCTTGTGCAAGGCCATCCATTTGTGGGCCCTCAAAGAATTCTTGTTGATGGACCAACCAATGTGGAAAAAAACAAGGCAAGATGATGACATTACAAAAAAAGGGAAAACAAAATGGCTTACTGTCATCCACAGGACAGAAGGTGATGTTTACCCAGTCTGAATGCTCATCTGCAAATTCAGCCCTGACTCTCAAGGTGTGGTCACCATACTTGGAAAGACTTGAGAAATCACATTCCGTCAAGGTAGTATTCATGCATTTATCTTGGAATATCCTATAACTACACAATCAAAAAGATAGGTCAATCAGGAGAGTTCTGGCTTCAGTCTCCCTGAGGCTGACTGGTACTTAATTTGGAGGGGGGGGCGGCGCGGGAGTGGAAACTGTGTTAAACATAGAAATACGTGTCTTCAAAACAGAACTTCTCAGAGACTTGAACATCTTAATGACTACGTGCCTCTCCAAGGGGTTGAGTATTCAGCATACTTGACCAAGAAAGCTTGCTTCCTTGATTACGTATTTTTGAAAACAGGGGCATGTGATTTATGAGACATTGATTTACAAAAATTTACCAAAATAAAGATATTACAATGATTTTCAATAAAGTCATGTGCTGCATAATGACATTTCGGTAGATGACAGACCACATATACAACGTTGATGCCCTAAGATAATGATACTGTATTTTTACTGTACCTTTTCTATGTTTAAATACATTTAGATGTAGACATACCTCATTTTATTGTGATTTGCTTTACTGTACTTCACAGATATTGCATTTTACAAATCGAAGGTCTGCAGCAACCCTGCATTGAGCAAGTCTATTGGTGCCATTTTTCCAACAGCACATGCTCACTTCATGTCTTTATGTCACATTTTGGTAATTCTCGCAATATTTCAAAACTTTTCATCATGATTATATGTGTTATGGTGATCTGTGATCAGTGATCTTTGATGTTACTGTTGTAATTGTTTTGGGGTACCATGAACCACACCTATATAAGACAGTGAAATTAATCAATAGATGTTGTGAGTGTTCTGACTTCTCCACCCACTGTCCACTCTCCTGCCTCTCTCCTTCTCCTCGGGCATCCCTATTCCAAAAGCTGCAAAGGATTAAGCTTAGTGAGGAAGGCATATTGCAGGCCACAACAGGCCCCTTGGGCCAAACAGTTAGCCAAGTTGTGAATGCAAAGGAAAAGTTGTTGAAGGAAATTTAAAGTGCTACTCCAGTGAACACATTAATAATAAGAAAGTAAAACAGCCTTATTGAAAATATGCAGAAAGTCTCAGTGGTCTGGATAGAAGATCAAACCAGCCACACCATTCCCTTAAGCCAAAGTCTAATCCACAGCAAGACCCTAACACTCCAATTCTGTGAAGGCTTAAAGAGGTGAGGAAACTGCAGAAGAAAAGTTGGGGCTGGGTGTGGTGGCTCACGCCTGTAATCCCAGCACTTTGTGAGTCTGAGGTGGGCGGATCATCAGGTCAGGAGTTCAAGACCAGCCTGACCAACATGGTGAAACCCCACCTCTACTAAAAATACAAAAAAATTAGCCGGGCATGGTGGCATGCACCTGTAATCTCAGCTACTCAGGAGGTTGAGGCAGGAGAATCACTTGAACCCGGGAGGCAGAGGTTGCAATAAGCCGAGATTGTGTCACTGTATTCCAGCTTGGGCAACAGAGCGAGACTCCATCTCAAAAAAAAAAAAAAAAAAAAAGAAAAGTTGGAAGTTAGCAGAGGTTGGTTCATAAGGTTTAAGGACAGAAGCCATCTCCATAATATAAAAGTGCAAGGTGAAGCAGCAAGTGCCCATGTAGAAGCTGCAGCAAGTTATCCAGAAGATCTAGCTAAAATCTAGCTAAAATGATGAAGGTGGATACTCTAAACAACAGATTTTTAATGTAGATGAAACAACCTTCTATTAAGATGTCATCTAGGACTTTCATAGTTACAGAGGAGAAGTCAATGCCTGGCTTCAAAGCTTCAAAGAACAGGCTGACTCTTGTTAAGGGCTAATGTAGCTGGTGACTTTAAGTTGAAGCCAACACTGGATTACCATTTTGAAAATCAGAGAGCTCTTAAGAATTATGCCAAATCTACTCTGCCTGTGCTCTACAAATGGAGCAACAAAGCCTGGAGGACGGCACATCTGTTTACAGCATGGTTTACTGAATATTTTAAGCCCAGTATTAAGACCTACTGCTCAGGATAAAAAGTTTTCTCTCAAAATATTACCTCTCATTGACAATGTACCTGGTTCCCCAAGAACTCTGATGGAGATTTAAAAGGAAATTAATGCTGTTTTCATGCCTGCTAACACAACATCCATTCTGTAGCCCATGGGTCAAGGAGTTATTTCGACTTTCAAATCTTATTATTTAAGAAATATATTTTGAAGCTGGGCACAGTGGCTCATGCCTGTAATCTGAGCACTTTGGGAGGCCAAGGCGGGCAAATCACTTGAGGTCAGGAGTTCGAGACCAGCCTGGCCAACATGGTGAAACCCTGACTTTACTAAAAAAAAAATACAAAAATTAGCCTGGTGTGGTGTCACTACTTGGGAAGCTGAGGCAGGAGAATCACTTGAACCTGGGAGGTGGAGGCAGCAGTGATCTGAGATCATACCACTGCACTTCAGCCTGGGCAACAGAGTGAGACTCCATCTTAAAAAATAAAATAAAATGAAATAAAATAAAATAAAGAAATATATTTTGTAAAGTTATAGCTGCCATAGATAGTGATTTCTCTGATGGATCTGGGCAAGGTAAATTGAAAACCTCCCAGAAAGGATTCACCATTCAAAATGCCATTAAGAACACTGGTGATTCATAGGAGGAGGTCAAAATATAACATTAACAGGGGTTTGGAAGAAGCTGATTCCAACCCTCATAGATGACTTTAAGGGGTTCAAGACTTCAGTGGAGGAAGTAACTGCAGATGTGGTGAAAACAGCAAGATAACTAGAATTAGAAGCGGAACCCGAAGATGCGACTGAATTGCTCCAATCTCATGATAAAAGTTGAACAGATGAAGAGTTGTTTCTAATGAGTGAGCAAAGAAAGTGGTTTCTTGAGATGGAATTTATTCCTGGTGAAGATGCTATGAACATTGTTGAAATGACAACAAAGGATTTAGAATATTACATAAACTTAGTTGATAGCAGGGTTTGAAAGGATTCCAATTTTGAAAGAAGTTCTTCTGTGAGTAAAATGCTACCGAACAGCATCTCATGCTACAGAGAAATCTGTCATGAAAGGAAGAGTTAGTTGATGCAGCAGACTTCATTGTCATCTTATTTCAAGAAATTGTCACAGTCACTGCAACTCAGCAACCACTACCCTGATCAGTCAGCAGCCATCCATATCAAGGCAAGATGCTCCACGAGCAAAAGGATTATGACTTGCTGAAGGCTCTGATGATTGCTACCATTTTTCCGCAAGTAAATATTTTAAAATTAAGCTGTGCACATTTTTTTAGACATAACGCTATCACACACTTAATGGACTACAGTATAAACATAATTTTTAGATGCACCGGGAAACAAAAAAATTCATGTGACTCACTCTATTGTGGTTTTAGCTTTATTGTGTTAGTCTGGAACCAAAACTGCCTTATCTCTGTGATATGCCTGTATACAAATACCATTGTGTTACGATTGCCTACAGCACTCAGTACAGTAACATGCTGTACAGGTTTACAGCCTGGGGCAATAGGCTAAACCACATAGCCTAGGTGTATACGAGGCTACACCATCTAGGTTTGTGCAAGTACACTGCATGACGTTCACACAGCAAAACTGTCTAATGATGCATTTCTCAGAATCTACCCCAGTTGTTAAGTGACCCGTGACTGTCCTGTCCTATAAATGACTATCATTGCAATTACTCTGGAAAAATTATAAAACAATTCATCAGTCTCAGTCAGAACACCAGCCCCGACAGCAACCGCTAAAGGGAACATGACAGAAAGTGAAGTGGAAGAAAAGAGATGACATTTGGACATGCCTGTTGGATGCTAGGGAAATACAATCTCCTGAATCTAAGCTCGCAACAGCCAAGGAGGTGTAATTGGCTCCACGTGATCAAAGGAAGCCCAGGCTCTCATCCTGCAAAAAGTGAGGAGCTGGCCCGGCTCAGTGGCTCACGCCTATAATCCCAGCACTCTGGGAGGCCGAGGCAGAGGATCACTTGAGCCCAGGAGTTTGAGAACAGCCTGGACAACGTGGTGAGTCCTTGTCTCTACAAAAAATAAAAAAATTATTTGGGTATGGTGGCATGCGCCTGTAGTCCCAGCTACTCAGTAGGCTAAGGAGGGAAGCTCGCTTGAGCCTGGGAGGTGGAGGCTGCAGTGAGACGTGATTGCACCACTGCACTCCAGCCTGGGCAACAGAGTGACACTGTCTCAAAAAATTTAATTTAATTTAATTTAAAAATTTATAAAATAAAATAAAAAAGTGAGGAGCTATCTGATTGGTCCCCCAAGACATCTTCTGGTGCCAAAACCAATTTGGTTGCTCCCAGAAGTGATGATGAAAGTGATGGTGATAAAAATAACAACAGCCAACATTTATTAAGTACACAGGGGTCAGGCGTGGAGAGCCTAAGAAATCTGCCCAACTGAACTCAGATCTGTTTGACTTCATAGTCTAAGGTAGCACATCACATCTCACAGCATTCTTAGTGATACCTAGAAAAATCCCTTGCAAAAAGTAGATAGAGATCATTGGGATCATGCTATTTTTTCACTTAATATACCACAAATATTTGTCAATCAACCATTTCTTCACGGCTGCTTAACATCCCATCATTTGGAAAATCCAGCGGTCATTTCATTAAGGGGGTTTTCTCACATGTGGCCATATTTTTTTTCCTCCCTACCTTCTTTCTTCCCTTCCGCCTTCCTTCTTTCCAACTCAAGTCCAGCTAATTAAAAAAAAAAATTGTAGAGACAAGAGGCTGCTATGTTGCCCAGGCTGGTCTTGAACTCCTGGCCTCAAATGATTATCCTACCTTGGCCCCCCAAAGTACTGGGATTACTGGCCCATTTCCTTCTTTTAAACTAATGCATCAATTGTCCAGCATGTGCAGTATTTCAAAAGTTGTTTTGCAATAACATCTTTTTCACTAGGTTTTTTTTTTTTTTGAGATGGAGTCTCACTCTGTCACCCAGGCTGGAGTGCAATGGTGCAATCTCAGCTTGCTGCAATCTCTGCCTCCTGGGTTCAAGTGATTCTCCTGCCTCAGCCTTCTGAGTAGCTGGGACTACAGGTATGCACCACCATACCCGGCTAATTTTGTATTTTTAGTAAAGATGGGGTTTTGCCATGTTGGTAAGGCTGGTCTCGAACTCCTGATCTCAGGTGATCCACCCACCTCGGCCTCCCAAAGTGCTGGGATTACGGGCATGAGCCACCGCGCCTGGCCTTCACTAGGTTATTTTTATTGCATGTACAAATACTTCTCCCCGCATTAAATAGGTAATATGACCCATTCCTCATATTTACATCTAATTGTTTTGGATGTTTTTATATTAAAATCACCAGTACATCCTCTGAAGTGCCCCCGGCTCTGGACGCCCTGCCCCAATGCACGCAAACAACAGAGAGTTTGTGCTGTGCAATTGCTCATGCTAAACTCTAAACAACTCTTTTGTAGAGCCACATGAGGCAATCACATCTTTAGGGATCAAATATCTTCCCCAAGGACACGGCCAGCACATATTTTGTTTTCTCCAGCACATGCCATACTCACTCTGTAGTTCCACGCGGGGGAGACCTGGAACCCAGGTGTGGATACCCTCATGAAGTCACTTCATGAAGTCATTGGGATCGCTAACATAAAAGATAAACATGCAAAGCCAAGTGCCTCGACTATAATGGCAAAAAGGCATGGCATGGGCTGGGTGTGGTAGCTCACGCCTGTAATCCCAGCTCTTTGGGAGACTGAGGCAGGTGGATCACTTGAGGCCAGGAGTTCAAGACCAGCTCGGCCAACATGGTGAAACCCCATCTCTGCTAGAAGTACAAAAATCAGTTGGGCACGGTGGCATGTGCTTGTAGTCCCAGCTACTCAGGAGGCTGAGGCAGGAGAATCGCTTGAACCCAGGAGGTGGAGGCTGCAGTGAGCAGAGGTCGTACCACTGCACTCCAGCCTTGGTGACAGAGTGAGACCCTGTCTCAAAGAAAAAAAAAAAAAAAGGCTGGGCGCGGTGGCTCACGCCTGTAATCCCAGCACTTTGGGAAGCCAAGGCGGGTGGATCACGAGGTCAGGAGATCAAGACCATCCTGGGTAACACGGTGAAACAGTGTCTCTACTAAAAAAAATTAGCCGGGCGTGGTGGCGGGCGCCTGTAGTCCCAGCTACTCGGGAGGCTGAGGCAGGAGAATGGCGTGAACCCGGGAGGCGGAGGTTGCAGTGAGATGAGATCGCGCTACTGCACTCCAGCCTGGGCAACAGAGCGAGACTCCGTCTCAAAAAAAAAAAAAAGAAAAACAAACAAACAAACCCAAAAGCACAGCACAGAACAAGAAAAACTACAGGGAGACAGACAGACAGAGAAGAAATTTAATTTTCCACAGTAAAATCTCCGTGGCTATTCAGACTGAGTAGAGACAGCACAGAAAGCAAATGATAAAGCCAATCAGTACTAGAAAATGCACATCAGGAAAAAAATTAATTATAGAGTATGCCCTCCTTCAATCCTTGGGACAGCTGACAGTACTGGACTATGGACTGTAAATTAGATACAAGTATTTTATGAATGTAAAAGTTCCTGAGCTTCTCACTGTACTATGTGATGTAAGAGATTATCCTTGTTCTTGTGAAATACACAGTGAAATATTACAGCACAAAGGGCATGAGAGAGAGAGAGGAAGGGAGAGAATGTGACCAACATTAAAAATTGGTGAACCTGGGCCGGGCGTGGTGGCTCACGCCTGTAATCCCAGCACTTCGGGAAGCCGAGGTGGGTGGATCATGAGGTCAGGAGATAGTGACCATCCTGGCTAACACGGTGAAACCCCGTCTCTACTAAAAATACAAAAAATTAGCTGGGCATGGTGGTGGGAGCCTGTACTCCCATCTACTCGGGAGGCTGAGGCAGGAGAATGGCGTGAACCCGAGAGGCAGAGGTTGCAGTGAGCCGAGATCGCGCCACTGCACTCCAGCCTGGGTGACAGAGCGAGACTCCGTCTCATAAAAAAAAAAAAAAAAAAAAAAATTGGTGAATCTGATTGTAGGCTATTTGGAAATTCTTTGTATTCTACTTAAAATTTTGAAATGTTCTGTTAGTCTGGAATTATTTTGAACTAAAAGTTAAAAAACAAAAGCCAGCAATGCACAGACGAGGACTATCTTATTCACCTTTCTACTTCTTCTCTGATGTAGCAGGCCTTGGGGATTTTTGTGAAATGACAGCTGGATCTGGGAAGAAATTTCCTCCTGCCTCACTGAAGGACTTGTCTATCTTCGTATGTTTCTGAGTCACACAGAAAGCAGGTGTGTTGGCTTGTCAGCCTTGGGCCTCCTGCTGCTGTTTGCGCCTGGCCTAAAGGTGTGTCACCTGCAGTCCAGCATGTGGCGTATGGTGGCAGGCTGCCAAGGGAGTGCTGGCACTGACTTCCTTCACCAGGCGTAGGGAAACACTGACAGGCAGGAGAGGTAGAGGGCGTTCAGATCACCACTGAGATGACCGTCTAGGGTGACACTCACTCTTCCTTCACAGCCCCTGCTGTTGTCCGAGAATGGGGTTTTTAACAGTCAGTAGCTGTCTTACTTTTAATTTCAGGATGGAACCACGGAGAAACTGAGCACTCATTATGCAAATTATGTGCATCGCGCATGGCACTGGGGCATGATGTTATAATCCATTGGAGGGGAACAGGTGATATATGGTAGCAAGGGGCTTCCTGACCGCTTTGCATATCTCAGTTTCTTGGGTAGCATCCACTCAACATTGCTGACTTCCAGCAATACTACTCATACCTAGAGATGACAGCAGTGGTATTTTTCTTTTAAAATATATCAACTGTGACAAACAAGCTGGGATGGGCACAGCATGAGGTTACCACTATGGCTGATTATATCTACATACGCATGATAAAATGTCTGTATCTGCCAGCAGCCCTGTGATTAACAGTCAAATCGTCAACCATCACAACTAGAAAACCTAAAAGAGAAAAGGTGGCCACGAGAATTTCCCAGACAGCAAAAGGCTGGCAGGGAGGCTCCCTGAGGGTTGTCACAGTCACACGGTGACCGTAGTCAGACTCCCTTCCTCCTGTGGCCCAACCCAGTGACCAGCCCAGGGCTGGCTCCTCCGGTGCGTTCCTGCCAATAGTGAGGCCAGACCCACCTTAGGTACTGAGCTGTGAAAGTCAGGTTCCCTTTGGCAAAAGCAGGTGACTCCCACTGTAGAATGTTCTTGAAATTAACAGAATTCATTCTGACATTTTCGGGAGGTGGTACCATTCCCAATGCTATGAAAATAAGACAAAAACATTTACAACTTTTCTCCTCAAAACAGATGCCCATGAAAAAGCCCACATCCAGCACTTGGTTCTCCTCTATGGCTCCATGTCTTCAAAGGCCACGTGGGTGAGGGAGGGAGAGACAGGTTGGCTGTGCTGAGGAGTCTAGATTTTCTTTGAACAGCCGTGAGGAGAAATTTCTGGAGGGGCAGGAGTAAAATGGGGACAGACAAAGGAGCCTTGGATTTGTCTGGTGGCAGAAAGCTATGAGGGGGTAGGGTGGGCACATGGATTTCAGATATATTTCCAGACGTAAAAACAAACTGGAGACTTCCTGATACATTTGATGCATAAAAGCTGAGGTCAATGTCCATTTTGGGCTTAAGCAGCTGGTGCCCCGATTGGAGCTCAGCTGGGGAACTCACGAGTCCCATTTGAGCTGCATTAGGTTGGAGATGCTGGAGAGAGGCTGAAGTAGGAATGTCAGGGAGACAGCCAGATGAATGAGCCCAGAGGTCACACCAAGAAGAGATGTGGGCTAGAGACAGAAATTATTTTCAAACCTTTTAATAGAAAATTCGAAACCTGGCCAGGCATGGTGGCTCGCGCCTGTAATCCCAGCTCTTTGGGAGGCTGAGGAAGGTGAATCACCTGAGGTCAGGAGTTCGAGACCAGCCTGGCCAACATGGCGAAACCCCATCTCCAATAAAAATACAAAAATTAGCCAGGCGTAGTGGCACACACCTGTAATTCCAGCTACTCGGGAGGCTGAGGGAGGAAAATCGCTTGAACCCGGGAGGCGGAGGTGGCAGTGAGGCAAGATCAAGCCACTGCACTCCAGCCTGGGCCACAGCAACAGAGCAAAACCCTGTCTCAAAAAAAAACAAAAAAACAAAAAAACAAACAAACAAAAAAAAAAACGGAAGAAGAAAGAAAGAAAAGAAAATTTGAAACCTACATGCAAGTAGAAAAGTAGAAGACTATAATAAACCACCACCCATCACCCAACTGGTACCAAGAGAGATATAAATGTGCGAGTCATGGGCCTATAGCCCGTGTTTAATGCCAGGGTTTGGCTGAAATCCCCCAAAGGAACAGTGCCAGGGAAGGAGAGAAAAGGCCTTGGGCATCACAATTAGCTACATAGAAACCTGACAGAGCAGGAGGGTCCCAAGCAGAGACAGCCTGACAGGGCGGGAAACCGGAGGGGTATCCCGGAAGGCCAGGGAAGAGTTCATGAGAAAGGAAGGAGGTGACCATGGTGTTATTGGAACCTAGGCAGTCAATTTAGAGGACAGAAAAGGTTTCAATGGATTTAGGTTTAGAAGCCATGGAGCTGGGGCGCTGGGGGACAGAATCCAGATTTCAGGGTGCTCGGGCCTGAACCGGAAGGAGGGGAGGTGCAGCGGGTGATGGGAGGCACATCTGTAGGGAGGGCTGGCACTGAGGGGGCAGACTTGGGGTCAGGGAGGGCTGTCAGGGCACTCGGGGACTGGTGGGGGCCTCCACTTGAACTGATAGTCTCCAGAAGGGTCAGATGACAGCCACGGTGGGATCTTGGGTCTTTTGGGGAAGCTACTTTATTTAGACGCCCGCCAGCAGAGAGCTGCAGGAGGACAGGGAATCAAAAGACGCCGGGAGTCTCCCCCTGAGTTTAGGGCCCAGACGGTCTGTAATCCGGGCGCGGATGGGGCTTTCTCCTGTTACAGAATCGACGGCAGCAGCAGCCTAGTTGCGTCTCAGCAGCCGGCCGTGGCGTTTGCATCTTCTCTCCCGAGGCCCCGAAGGCTCTTAAGTCACTTGCAGGGCGCCCAGGGATGGGATCAGGGGCGGCATCTCGCGGGGCCTCCCGGTTCCCAAGCGCGCCCCCTCCCCGCGGACCCCTCACCTGACACCAGCAGGCAGCCACCCAGCCAGCTCCCAAGGCTCCACGCCATGGACGGACGCTGGGGGTTCCGCGGCTTCCTCCAAGCACACGACCCCCGCCCGCGCCCGGGAGAGCTTGTCCGCGGCGGCTTCCGGGAACCAGCGGAGATGGGCGGGGCGGGGTGGGGAGGGGCCGGGCGACCGGGCTCCCACCCCGCTGCAGGCCCCGCCCACCAGCCCGGGTCCACCCGCGAGGCGCGGGGCACAGGCTTGGCAGATGCACACGAGGAAGAGGAAGGGATCCTCGCAAGCTTTGAAAGGCGCCGTCAAGTCAAATAAATAAATGCCCTACAACACCAACCCAGGACTGAGATCTGCATGCTGGAATGACGGTGGTGGTGGTGGCTTTCAGTATTCCCCAGGTTTTGTCCGGAGCACCGGCACGCCCTCTCTTGAAGTCCGCTCTCCGCACAGGTGAGTTAAAAGCACTTCAGCAGCAAATCCAGTTTGAGGGTCTTCTTTACCCTTCTCCCCAGGGATAAACAACACAAAACCAAGTCATCTTTACGCAAATAACTAGTTTCTTTCAGAGACTACTAAGAAAGCGTTAATTTCCTCTTTTTAACTTGATTAGTGGTTAGACGGGAAGATCCGGAGCTGTCCAGTGTCTTGGGTAATGCACGGCATCGCCTGATGTCTGACGCTAGAACACCACGTAAAGTCAAGCAGAGGGAAGTGAATGCGCCCTAGGCCCCTGCAGGCCACCAAGAAGAGCTAGAGGGAGTTGGTGCAATCCTAGAGATGCCGGCAGGTGCACCAATCTGTGGCACACGTACGCTCTCCAATGGAAGACAACTCAAGACCACACCAAGTTTGTATTAAAAAAGTACTGTTGTGTTACTTTTTACCAACCTCCAATCATTATACAAAATGTTAAAAAATACACAAACACACACACACACTCACAGCCATAGAGGTTATCGCAAAAGATCAACCCAGAATCTTTCAGAATATGACAGATGCACTGAGAAGGCAGATAAATTGATTCAATATACAAAAGGCCTCTTTCCTATGGAATTTCATTAGATTAAATAAGGTGTTCCCTCCTCACAGCCTCATCCTTATGAGCAATCATATAAATAATCTATTTAAAGTCCTTGAACTATAACTTGTATAATTTTTAGTTTTCCCCCTTTGAAGGGGCCTAAGAGAAAGGTTTGAGAAACCAGCTCTTGAGGGGGGCAGGGGTGAGGGGTAAGAGGTCCTGTGCCTTTCATTCATCCTGGGAGCTTCTCAGGATTGCAGCATTTCCACCTGAGTGTTCATTCTTGTACATTTTCTCATCTTTCTCCTGGGTTCCTAGGATCTTGGAGATTACCTAGTCCAATCCTTTTACTTCAGAAACAAAAAACCTGAGGCTCAGAAAGGCTAAGTCAAATGCCTAGGGTCACACAGGGAAACTGTGGGAGTTGGATCCCTGAGTCCCAGTCCTTAAACTGGTTGCTACATGACATTCTAGAACCTCTCCCCACCAACTCCCTTTTTAAAGACAGGGTCTGGTTCTGTCACCCAGGCTGAAGTGCAGTGACATGATCTTGGCTCACTGCAACCTCCGCTTCCTGGGCTCAAGCCATTCTCCCACCTCAGCCTCCCAAGTAGCTGGGACAACAGGCACATGCCACTACGCCCAGTTAATTTTTCTAATTTTGTTTTGTAGAGACAGATTTGCCATGTTGCCCAGGCTGGTCTCGAATTACTGGCCTCAAGCGATACGCCTGTTTAGGCATCCCAAAGTGCTGGGGTTACCGGCAGGAGCAATTGCTCCGGGCCAGACTTCCCTTCCCCCGCCCACACCCCCCCAACCCGGCCTAGATCCACAGGCACTGTAATCACAGCTGACACACTCGACTCGGAATCAGCATAGAGAGCACTCTGAAAATTGTCAAATAGGGTCCCTGAAACTTGTATACCATACTTCTCCTGAAGATCTTGAAGCATCTTTGTGTTTGCTTTTTTTTTTTTTAACTTAAAATATGGCATTCAGGTTTTATCCCTCTCCCCGACGCCATGTTTCCTTTCTGTATTAGTCACACACGTGATCCTAAAGTCTGTCTTCCCCACTTTAACTGGGGAGGGCTGGACAAGGTGGAATTCCAATTGCAGGAGACAGGATGTGACATGGGTGAGGTGCCCAAGGCTCACCGACTGAAACTTCGATGGCTCTTCCCTGTTTCCTTGTGCAGGGCCCCCCTTCTCTCCACTGCTCACCTGGCTCTCCTCCTCCCTTCCTGCCTGCTTTGCAGCTCTTGCTACTATTTTCCTTTTCTTTCCCTGCTCCCACCCTGGCCCAATTTATTTCACAGAAATATCACAGGGCCAGCCAGGCACAGCGGCTCACCCCTGTAATCCCAGCACTTTACGAGGCTGAGGAGGGCAGATCACTTGAGGTCAGGAGTTTGAGACCAGCCTGGCCAACATGGTAAAATCCTGTCTCTACTAAAAATACAAAAATTTGCTAGGCATGGTGGCAGGCGCCTGTAATCCCAGCTACTTGCGAGGGAGGCTGAGGCAGGAGAATCACTTGAACCTGGGAGGCGGATGTTGCAGTGAGCCAAGATCACACCATTGCGCTCCAGCTTGGGCGACAGAACGAGACTCTGTCTCAAAAAAAAAAAAAAAAAAGAACGAAAGAAGAGAAATATCATAGGGTCCTGGACCACCTCTGAAACTGTGGGGAACCCTGCTCCCTGGTAGACATGATGCAGAAACATCCTAAGTGCATTAGTGTAAAGGAAAGGTGCACATGTGCTTCCTTCAAAGTGCACCACTTTGAATATGTAAACAATGCACTGAATGATACTATGGTCCCCATACTGGGAATGTGCATAGGTGATGTCACCTGGAAGAAAGGAACACCACAGTTTCCTCCTCCTTCCCTTGGAGAACACTTGCAGACGATAAGGCAGCAAGTTAGGATGCAGAGACAAAGAACCCTGTAGGTGCTTGTCTGTCCAAGTTCATTCAATAGTTTTGGAGTCATCTCATTATATAACCATCCCCAAGGTCAACATCTGACTCAGAAGTGTCACTTTGATCAGATGGAGCATCTTCGGACCACAGGCCCTCTGAAGAGGGGCTGGGAAAGGTTGGCTGTGTCCCTTCCCCGCTGGCCAGCAAATGGTTTGATTGCACATTATCAGGATCCTCTGGGTCAACCATCTCTTCCAGATGAGACGATAGCATCAGAGGGGCTTCTAAGTCGTCACTGTCCTCGTCATCAAGAACTCTCAAAAACACAGAGTTTAAGTCCACATTGAAGGTAATTCTGCCCCCAGACCCCTCCGTGGAGCTGTAGTCCTCTTCGGGAAAAGGGTCCTGGAGTGGACTCTTTCTCCTCTCACAGGGCCCACTCAAGAGTTCCAACTGCTGAGGGCTGTCCTTTGGCATCGTGGGGAGCTCCACATCAACCTCAGGCAGGTCAGGCTCCTCCTCGGACTCCGGGTCTATCAACTGGGATTCTGTAGAGGTGGCAGAGGCCTGACCCAGAGGCCTGACAGTCAGTCCATGCATGGTATAGCCACCGCCACTTGTCCTGGGCGCTGCCTCAGTATCGCTATCACTTTCATCATCATAATTATAATCCCACACTTTCTTCTTTCTGTTGATGTAAATGACCTCCACCATATCCATGGCTTCCAACGGTGGCAGGTTAGGAAATGGCCAGGCTAAAAAGTTATGAAAATTCTTAAAAAAAAAAAAAAAGAGAGAGAGAGTCCGTATCAGCTGTACTGTTTGCTCTTTATTTTCTACATAATAAAACTTAATCACTGGGGCACAGGGATGCACGCTTGTAATCCCAGCTACTGGGGAAGCTTAGGCAGGACGACTGTTTGAGCTCAGGAGTTTCAGACTGTAGTGCATTATGACTGCACCTGTGAATAGCCACTGCATTCCAGCCCTTAGCGAGACCTTGCCTCTAAAAAAATAAAAAATAAACTTAATGAGATTGAATGATGATGCAGTTGATGATGATGACAGCAATAATAACAGCTAACAGTTACACCATGCTTACTATATGCTGGGCATGACTCTTGGTGCTTTATATATAATTTACCTTTCCCTTGCAACTGCTCTATGAGGTATGCTTACTATTTTTTTTTTTTTTTTTTTTTGAGACGGGAGTCTCGCTCTGTTGCCCAGGCTGGAGTGCAGTAGTGCGGTCTTGGCTCACTGCAACCTCCACCTCCCAGGTTCAAGCAATTCTCTGCCTCAGCCTCCTGAGTAGCTGGGATTACAGGCGCCCGCCACTATGCCCGGCAAATTTTTGTATTTTTAGTAGAGAAGGGGTTTCACCATGTTGGCCAGGCTGGTCTTGAACTCCCGACCTCGTGATCTACCTGCCTTGGCCTCCCGAAGTGCTGGGTTTATAGGCGTGGCCACCGCGCCTGGCCAGGCTTACTATTCTTATGCCCACTTTACAGATGAGAAAATGAGGTGCAGAAGTTAAGAAACTTGCTCAAGGTTTGTGACTAGTGAGTGGGAGCAGCTGCCTTTCAAACCAGGCAGGCTGCTGGCCACATAGACTATGTTCTGACTTACTCCTCTTAACTTCCTCTCCTTTGGCTGCTTCTTTATATTTTTAAGATATTTATATATTTTTAGAGCTAGGGTCTCACTCTGTAACCGAGGCTGGAGTGCAGTGGCGCAATCACAGCTCACTGCAGCCTCCACCTCCTGGGCTCAAGCAATCCTCTCACCACATCCTCCTGAGTAGCTGAGACCACAGGCATGTGCCAGCATGCCTGGCTAATTTATTTTTATTTTCTCTAAGACAAGGTTTCCTTATATTGCCCAGGCTGGTCTCAAACTCCTGGGCTCAAATGATCCACCCGCCTCAGCCTCCCAAAGTGCTGAGATTACAGGCGTGAGCCACTGTGCCTAGTCCTTTTTAAATCTTTTTATAGGATAAATCCACTTTGTGTATATGTTCCACTGACATAATCCAAAACAAAAAGACGATCCATATAAAAATGTTTATTGTACTATTCATCATCACCAAAGAAAAGAAAAGGAAAAGAAATCCAAATGCCCTTTAGCTGAGAAATGGTTAAATGAAAAATGGTATGTTAATAATAATGAAATTCTACCTGATCATTATAAATTATGTGATGAAGTATAAAAACAAAACAAAACAAAACATTGCTGAGTGCAGTGGCTCACACCTGTAATCCCAGAACTTTGGGAGGCCAAGGCAGGTGGATCACTTGAAGTCAGGAGTTCAAGACCAGCCTGGCCAACATAGCAAAACCCCATCTCTACTAAAAATGCAAAAATTAGCCAGGTGTGGTAGCACACGCCTGTAGTCCCAGCTACTTGAGAGGCTGAGGCACGAGAATTGCTTGAGCCTAGGAGGCAGAGGTTACAGTCAGCTGAGATCACGCCACTGTACTCCAGCCTGGGTGACAGAGTGAGACTGTCTCAAAAAAAAAAAAAAAAAAAAAGGAAAGAAAACATAAAATGCACAGATGCACAGATACACTTACAACTGCACATGTATATATATGTAACTAACCTGCACACTGTGCACATGTACCCTAAAACTTAAAAGTATAATAAAAACAAAAACAAAACAAAAACCCTGCAAAATATACATTTATAGATATGGAAAAGAACTCAGAGTGAGAAAGCATTTTGGTGTTTATAGAAAATGAGATTTTCTTCTGTGAAAATATTTATATAAATACAAATTCTTAAGTTAAAATAAAAAACAAAGATAGAAAAAACAAAACAAAACAAAAAAACTACCTACCAAGACTTTGGGGAGGCTATTTCTTAAGCATATATAACCAATCCATTTCAGTGTCACTATGGTGCTTGTCAAGACCAATGCTATCAAAAACACAGTAATTATTCCTCCTATTTTGGCAGATTCTGCTGATTCTGTTGATGAAAAATTAAATGACTTTATTTCAAAAAATGCAATAAACAATTGCAGATGGAAATAAATGTACATTGGCCTGGTGTTACAAGATGATCAAGAAACCAAAGGTTTGAAAAAACAGTTTTATATTGAGAAATACCAGAGACTGGAGAATTATCTAAGTGTGCATTTTTTAAACAATAAAATAGACTTAGCTTTTAAAAGTAAAATTTCCTTCAGTTTATGTTCTATAACTGCACTGTACAGTGGAGTAGCCACTGGCTGCAGCTGGCTGAATTTAAATGATTAAAATTAAACAGAATTAAGAGCTCGGTCTCTCAGTCACATGAAACACATCTCAAACGTTCGGTAGCCACACTGGTTAGCATGCGCTGCGGGCAGGAAGAAGTGGGGAAGGAAAGTTTGCTTGAAAACAACCAACTGGGTCATTCTGAGGCTGGACTTTAGCCACGCTGGGGCCACAAGTCAGGGCTCTGCAGAACCTGCCTTGCTCTATTAACAGTTCCCCTTAGTTTCTCATCAAAATTCCTTTTGGAAAATTTCAGCTTTTTGACTGACCATAGTTATTTTCCTGAAGTGCGACCAGACTGAAAAATCAGTAGTTATATCACTAAGGCTCTCTTGCACTTCCAGAAAGGTCTTCATTAGTATTAATCCTCGAACTATAGCCTCAGGCAAAAATAGATAGAGGGGAGAAAAAAGGAAATCAAATGGATTATGTACTCTAAGTCTTCCAGAAGGTTAAGGAATGAATAGAAAGAAGTTCAGTAAAAACCCTTGATAGTTCAGTAAAAACACTGTTAGATAGCACAGGGTTCAAGAATCCACTCTCACCTCCATCAAGAGTGTGAAGGATTGGATTGTCATATCAATGACAGTTCCAGAATCAGATCTAGCCACAGAGGCACGCCTTTAGGATACAAAATTCTGACATGTATAGCGTTTACATTCTTGAAAGGGGTACTGTAAACCAAAGTGATTTCACTGGTGAAGGAATGGCATAATACAGAGATTGTGACTCATGTACCCATCCAACTTGCATATAACAGCTACAATGCACTCTATGTCCAAACCAAATTGTGTAAATTGTAGTTAATATGCTAGGATAATATTCCTCAATTTGGGGTATTCTCATGAGTCTGAGAATTCTTTAGGAGAACTTAGAATTTTTGTTTGTTTTCAGCTTGATGATAATCTAAAAAATAGAAATCTCACTTGGGGTCATGACAATTATACATGCATGCTATTTTTAAATATTCATATTTGAAAAGAGATGAATCCCATCAATGTTCTGACTCAGAAAGGAGAAGCTGTGATTGAATGTTACTGCTGTTAACTATCTTCTTCATGAAAGATGGACCAGATCAACCCATCTTGGGAAGGAGAGACCAGGTCGTGTCTTAAAAATTTGGCCTTGGACAAACCTGTCTGTCTCTGGATTCACTGTGGAGATATTTTAAGCAAAAAATAAGAAACCTCACAAGCAGAGGGCTGAACTGAGCAACGGGGTTGGTAATATCTGATCACAATGATCTTTAATGGAAAAGATAAAGAACTTTATGAAAAGACTGGCGATGACTAACATCAGTCTCTTATAGTTCCTCCCGTACTTACCTCTCTGGAACAAGTAAGACCGCCTCTCCCCTGGGTGACTGCAGTAATCAGCCCAGGGGTCACCTGGCTCCCACTTCAAGGCATGTGGATGGATGTTCCCTTTACATCCCACGTCAGATCACGGAGAGCAACCTGCTCACAACCCTCTGAGGGTCCCCATCTCTTGCAACGGCTTCTAAGTTCTATGTCATTCAGGCTCCTCCATCTTTTCTGACCAGAACTGTTACTATTCTTCCCTTGTTCAGTTCACTCCTGCCGTGCCGTGCCAGGCATATCCTGCCTCGGGCACTTGGCACTTGCTGAACCCCGCATATGGAACTCCTTCCCCTGATAGGTTTGCGTGACTCACTCCCTCACCTTGTGTTTGTTTCCCATTGCCACCGTAACAAATGATGCAAAGTTAGTGTCATAAAACAATATAAATATATTATATTAATAGTTCTGGAGATCAGAAATCCAAAATGGGTTTCACTGGGATAAAAAATATCAAGATGTTGGCAGGACTGAACTCCTTATGGAGGCTCTAGGGGAAAACCCATTTCTTTGCCTTTCCCAGCTTCTAGAGGCCACTTGCATTCCTTTGCTCATGGCCCCCTCCTTCATCCTCACTCTGCGACCTCTGCTGCTGCTGTGAGAGCTCCTTCTCTGCCTCTGAGTCTCCTGCTTCTCTTTTTGTTGAGACACAGTCTTGCTCTGTAGCTCAGGCTGGAGTACAGTGGTACCATCTTGGCTCACTGCAACCCCCACCTCCCGGGTTCAAGAGATTCTCCTGCCTCAGCCTCCCAAGTAGCTGGGACTCCAGACGCATGCCACCACGCCTGGCTAATTTTTGTATTTTTAGTAGAGATGGGGTTTTACCACGTTGGCTAGGCTGAACTCGAACTCCTGACCTCAGGTGATTCACCTGGCTCGGCCCCCCAAAGTGCTGGAATTACAGGCATGAGCCACTGCGCCTGGCCAAGATCTTCAATTTCATCACACCCACAAGCCCCTTTGGCATAGAGGTTAGCCTGTTCACATATCTGGGATTAGGATGTAGACATCTTTGGGGGCCATTATTCTGCTTACCACATCTCCCTTGGGTCTTTATTCAAATGCTACCTTCTCAGGAAGGCCATCTGTGGCCATCTGTGGTGGATGCTGTGGGTGGCCTGCCCATGTCCCCTTTTCCAGTCAGTGCACACCCACTACTGCTGCCGCACGTGTCTGCTGATATCTCTCAGAGCTGATCCTTCTCTAAGTGAAAGGTGAGGCCAGCTGGACTTCCTGGGTGGAGTGAGGACTTAGGGAACTTTCTTGTCTTACAAGAGGATTGTAAAACGCACCAATCAGGGACTTTCCTGTCTCACAAGAGGATTGTAAAATGCACAAGTCAGCATTCTGTAAAACGCACCAATCAGCACTCTAAAACGCACCAATCAGCGCTCTGTAAAATGCACCAATCAGCAGGATCCTAAAAGTAGCCAATCACGAGGAGGACTGAAAAAAGGGCACTCTGATAGGACAGAAACGAACACGGGAAGGGACAATAAGGGAATAAAAGCTGGCCACCTCCAGCCAGCAGTGGCAACCCGCTCAGGTCCCCTTCCAGGGTGTGAAAGCTTTGTCCTTTCGCTCTTCACAATAAACCATGCTACTGCTCACTCTTTGGGTCTGTGCCATCTTTAAGAGCTGTTAACGCTCACCAGGAAGGTCTGCGGCTCCATTCTTGAAGTCAGCGAGACCACGAACCCATTGGCAGGAACCAACTCCGGACACATAAGGAACTGCCCTTGCCCAAAAGGGGGCTGCCTCATCTGGAGGCCATGCCATAGATCACCACCAGTAACTGACTGGCTGCTGACTTGAGGATACAGTTCACGCTTCCGAGAACCCCTTGGGATCAGGCTCAGCTGAGAGCCACATGCCTGCTTAATTTCTCTCTCCCTGTACCTACCTGTTCCCTCTTTCCCCTTCTCCTAAGATGCCCCCACCAATAAATCACACTTGAATATGAATTCACATCCCAGGCTCTGCTTCTAGCAAATGCAAATCAAGACACTATCCTATTAAAAACAGCAACCTGCTCTCCTCAACCTGACATCCCCCTCACCTCCTTTCCCGCATAATTTTTTTCCATGGTACTTACTTAACATACTGTCTATTTTACATGTTGATCTTGTTATTCTGTCTCCTACTGCAATGTAAGCTCCACAAGGTGAGAAGTTTTTAATCTGTTTTGTTCACTGCTAAATCCTCAATATCCAGAAAAGAATCTGGCTCATAACAGGCCCCCAATAAACATTTGTCAAATGAATGAATAGAGCTTTTCCTTAGGGCCTTAATATTAATAAAAGAGACAAACCATTAGTTTTAAGGCTTGACAAGGGGAAGGTGTTTCTCCAGATGTCTGGGCTAAAATCCCCCCATATCAGTCTGCCCTAGGATTGGGTCACAGTGCTTACTGCTGAGCCTATGTTAATGCTGGTCTCAGGCTATCCTTCCAAGACCCCTCACCATCCAAACCTGTCTGGTTTCTGAGTTTGGCTGGTTGAGGGCACGTCAGATGGCAAGCAGATAGTGACAGAGGCCACGTTATCTGAACCTATTTGCTTCCTGAGTTTCAAACAAGAATTTGACATCAGGTACAGTATTTGGATAATTAAAGAGAGCGGTACTTGACCTATCTCGGGTAATAATCAAAGAATGAGGGCTGACTTGATGTGCAACATGACGCATTCACGCCAAGTAAAAATGGAATGACCTGAGAGGATGTTGTTACATGAACATCTTAGTAGGTGAAATGGAAAAGAGTCAGGGGAGAAAGTGAGTCATCACAGAATTCATCAACCTCCAAGGAGCTTGTGCCTTCTCATCAGCAACACATTCACCTTGGAACTGGGGACTGAGTTTCAATAAACCACCATCTGTCTGCCAGGTCACTAATTTCAGTTTTTATTGTCTATAAGAGTTTCGTTTGTATGTAAGATCAATGATATAATAAAATATACATATATATCCAGTCTTTGTCCCTAGTTCCTGGAGCAGAGCTTCAAAAACCTGTGGAATTTCCTGAACGTTAGGAGTGTCTTTTGTTAACAAGCCTCTTTTAGGGGCCACATATGAGTTTATGCTTGTGAGGTGATGGGGCAGGGTGTGGATAGCTTCAGGATGAGGGCTGGTCCCTAGAAAAACTAACCACATGATCAGACGGTTGGAACTTCCAGCTCCCCCATTTGACCTCTATCCAAGGAGGGGAGTGGGCTGGAGACTGAGTTCAATCCTGCAGCCAGTAATTTAATCAATCACACATACATAATGAAACCCAATACAAACTGTGAACACCAAGGGTTGGGGAGTCCCCAAATTCATGAACAGATGAATGTACAGAGAGGGTGGTACACCTGACTCCCCAGGGACAGAAGCTCCTGCACTTGGGACCCTTTCAGACCTTGTCCTGTGCACCTCTTCAATGGCTGTCCATCAATTCCTTTATAATAAAATGGTAATCATAAGCCATAACACTTTCCTGAGTTCTGTGAGTCATTTTAGCAAATTATCAAACCTAAAGGGAGGTCATGGGAACTCCTGAATTTGTAGCCAAGTCAGGTGGAAGTGCAGGGAACCTTGTCACCCATGACTTGTGGCTGGCATCTGAAGTGGGGGCAGGCAGTTTTGTGGGACTGAGCCTTTAACCTGTGGGGTCTGTGCTAACCTGGGGTAGTATCAGAAATGAATGGAATCATTGGACAACTAGTTAGTGTCAGATAGCTGGTGTTAGAACAAAGACATGCACATTTATTTTGGATTTATATTTTTGAAAGAGCTATAGTCAGAATCTATATGCAGTTTTAAGTTTGCCTGTATTTGCTGACATAAAAATAACTTACGCTAAAGGTGTTTGACATGTTTTTTCCTTTAGAACCAGCCTGTGCATCATCTGGTCTTGAGGAACACTAGAGAATCAAATCATATTGCCCTGTAGTGAAGCCAACACAGAGCACCGTTATGTGCCAGGCAACGTTCCGTGGCTCACTTCATTCACAAGTGACCATATCACTTTGTCAATGAAAAGAGCCAAAGTCAGTAACATACTTGAAGAGATTCAGTCTGAGTCAAATATGAGTGACCAATGGCCCATGACACAGCCCCAGGAGATCCCGAGAACCCTTGGTCAGGGTGCAGCTTGGTTTTATACATTTTAGGGAGACATAAGGCATCAATCAATGCATGTAAGATGTACACTGGTTCAATCTGGAAAGGTGGGACAATTCGAAGTGGGGGGGCTTCCAGGTCATAGGTAGATTCAAAGATTTTCTGATTAAAAACTTGGAATTAATAAAAGGAAGCATCTGGGTTAAGACAAAGGGTTGCGGAGGCCACGGTTCCTATTACGCAGATGAAGCCTCTGGTAGCAGGCTTCAGAGAGAACAGACTGTAAATGTTTCTTACTGGACTTAAAAAAGTGCCAGACTCTTAGTGAATTCTCTCTTGGATCAGGAAGAACACCTGGACTGGGAAGGGGGTTCTTTATAGAAAGCAGATTTTCCCTGCAAGAGACAGCTTTGCAGGGCCATTTCAAAATATGTCAAAGAAATGTATTTTGGGGTAAAACACTTTGGTTTCTTTTAGGGCCTGCTATCCATCATGCTGGTATTAGTGCTACAAAGCATCTTTTTGTCAGTCTTAAGGTTTCTGTTTTAATATTAGTGCTGGCCAGCTGTGCCTGAATTCCAAAGGTAGGAAGGTCCCGTGAGGCACGTCTGGACCACTCACTCCCATCATGGCCTGAACTAGTGTTTCAGGTTTACTTTACTTTACTCGGCCCTTGGCTGAGAGGAGGGATCCATTCAGTTGGTTGGGGGGCTTAGAATTTTATTTTGGTTTACAACTAAAGTAATTTCTTTATAGATCCTACCTTATTTTTATTCTGGTAAATCAGAACATTAAAGATACTTCCATTGGTGTCAGAGGCATTTGAGCCAGAGCAACTCCATCTTGAGCTGGGTAAAATGGGGCTGGGACCTACTGGGCTGCATTCCCAGACAGTCTAGGCATTGTAACTTACAGGATGAGATAGGGGGTTGGCACAAGATACCGTTGGTAAAGACCTTGCTGATAAAACAGATGGCAGTAAAGCCGGCCAAAACCCACCAAAACCAAGATGGTCGTCCTCACTGCCACACTCTCACCAGCACCATGAGTTTACAAATGCCATGGCAATGTGAGGAAGTTACCCTACATGGTCTAAAAAGGGGAGGCATGAATAATCCACCCCTTGTTTAGCATATCATCAAGAAATAATCATAAAAATGGGCAACCAGCAGCCCTCGGGGCTGCTCTGTCTATAGAGTAGTCATTCTTTACTCCTTTACTTTCCTAATAAACTTGCTTTCACTTTACGGACTCGCTCTGAATTCTTTCTTGCGCAAGATCCAAGAACCCTCTCTTGGGGTATGGATTGGGACCTCTTTCCCCTAACACTGCGGTTGGGACATTTAGAAGGGCTTCTTTGAGGGAGACTTGCATAGCTTCTCACTTTTGGTAAAACAGGTGGAAACTTGGCTACTTCCTGAGAAAACAATCAGCAGGGAGTTCCGAGGCTTGATTGTTCTCACTCCAAAGGGGAAGAAGGTTTGGGATCACACTGTTTATTGTTCTGATGTCTGTGTAACAGAAAGGTGTTCAGCCTTCATCAGTGATTTTCTCGTACACCCTGGCAAGGGTTCCTTTCATCTATGAGCGAGAGCTGATGCCAGATCACATCCATGAACTGCACCCAACCTCGCTGCTTCCACCTTTTCACCCCTTAATGCCACTGTATACCACTGTCTCAAGCAACTCCACCTCTTCTGGCATTTGGCTTCAGCAATGGCCACACAAAGGGCACACAGTGCTGAATTTAATCCTGACTCCCTGAAACAAAAGCGTTTCCATTTCAAGATTTCTGATCTCATCGAGTAGTATCTGATTGTTTTTTGGTATGACAATATAAAAGTGACTCTACCAGATCATACACACGAACCAACAGAAAACATCTCTGTGAGGTGTTTACTGGAAGAAAGACCTTTAGTGCTCCATGAATTCTTTTCAGATTCTTTTCTTTAAATAGGCTTGCCCTCAGAGTAAAAGCATGAATACTCAAAACATGAATTTAAAAAAATGAACATACCTGATTCCTGGCCAGGTGGAAGGAGGGTGCATTTTAAGGGAGACTTTATTACTGCTTGCTCATCACTGTGCTCTAAATAAACAGATACACAGTAGTTCGTGTTTGGAATTAACTTGTCAATGATATAGGTGAAATTTCCACTCATGTTTCCTTTTATTTCGGGTTTATGCTGTAAACATAAGCAAAAAATCAGTAAGACTGAGAATTTCATTTAGAGGTAGGCCTTAATCTCTTTTGGGATTTGTCTTCAAATCTCAAACAGGGTTAGATTTATCACAGGCTTGGTAAGAAAAAGGATTTATAAGTCATCTGGAGCAAGTAATTTATCAGAAAACTACACCTACATGCACTTTTAATATACACCTGCACACACACATATTTTATAACCATGACATCTAGTCTAGCGCCTTCATTTTACAAATGAGATAAAAGTCTTCAAAGAGGAATAAAAGTCTCTGTGACGTCATTTTTACAAGATTATCTTCTCTCATGGACAGTGTGTGTCTACTTTACACTTGAGAAAGTGCCTTCATAAACATTAACCCTTTTGACTTTCAAAACAGTCTGCAAAATAGGCATTACCTCCATTCAACGGATGAGAAAACTGTAGCTCAGTGTGGCTAAGTAACTTCTCCAAGGTCACAGAGCTTGTCTGTGACAAAACTGACTGATGTCTAGTTTCTCATCTTCTCCCTTTATCAATAGACAGATATAGATAGATAGATAGATAGATAGATAGATAGATAGATGGATGGGGTCTCACTCTGTTGCCCAGGCTGGAGTGCAGTGGCATGATCTTGGCTCACTGCAACCTCCACCTCCTGGGTTCAAGAGATTCTCTTGCCTCAGTCTCCTGAGTAGCTGGGATTACAGATGCCCGCCACCATGCCTGGCTAATTTTTGTATTTTTAGTAGAGATGGGGTTTCACCATGTTGGCCACGCTGGTCTTGAACTCCTGACCGCAAGCGATCTGCCTGCCTTGGCCTTCCAAAGTGCTGGGATTACAGGCGTAAGCCACTGTGCCCAGCCATCTCCCTTTAAACACCTTGCCTCTTCTTTCCTGTAGTTGCATTTCACTTCAGAATTTAAAAGATGATATGAAGGCTCTTTCATGAATAATAACTTTTGTATCATGTTTTACAGTTTTTAAAATACATTCTTACTAGCAGTTTAATAAATGAGGATTCCTAGCAGCTCAAATACAGCCTTCAGTAATGATGTTTTTCTGTAAATTTCTGTTTGGGAGGAGGAGTTAGTAAACAAACAAACTTACGACCCAACAAACTAAAAGCTTCCCCTCCAGTGGCCAGCACACAATCTCCTTCCCTGTTTGGAAAAATTCCTTGGAAGAATGAGCTCTCTTCACTGTCTCCAATTTTTCTCCTCCCACTCTTTCTTGAATCTACTCCAACCAGCTCTTTGCCCCTAACTCTATTAAAACTACTTTTATCAAGGACACAATGTTGCTAAATCCAATAGTCAGTCCTCTTCAATTGTCCCATTTACAGCACTGGACTCAGTAGACCACTTTCACCTTCTGGAAAGTTCTTCTCTCAGCTACCGGGACATCACTCTCACCTGCTTCTCTCCCTACCATGCTGGTTGCTCTTTCTCAGTCGATTTTGCTGTTTCTTCCTCATTTGCCAGATCTCCAAATTTTGGAATGTTCCTGGGCTCTGTCACTGGATGTCTTGTTTTCTCTCTGAGTGTCTATTCCCAGGTGACCTCATCTGGTCTTAGGGCATTCAACATGCACCAAGAAGCCAGTGACTCCCAGGCTCTCTCTCTAGCTGCGGGTTCTCTCCTGGACAACAGACTGGCACATCCAGCTCCTTCCCCACGTCTCCTCCTAGATTCCTTACGGACACCTGGAATTTAACATGTCCCAAACCCTCTAACCCTATCTAACCCTCACCTGCTTCATTCATCATCTTCCATAGTTAATGGGGAAGTTAGTCTTGCTCCACATGCAAAATATATGCAGAATTATGAGCTGGGCATGGTGGCTCATGCTTGTAATCCCAACACTTTGGGAGGCTGAGGTGGGTGGATCGCCTGAGGTCAGGAGTTCAACACCAGCCTGGCCAACACAGTGAAACCCTGTCTCTACTAAAAATACAAAAAATTATCTGGGTGTGCTGGCGGGTGCCTGTAATCCCAGCTACTAGGGAGGCTGAGGCAGGAGAATGGCTTGAACCCGGGAGGCGGAGGTTGCAGTGAGCCAAGATCATGCCATTTCAGTCCAGCCTGGGCAACAAGAGCAAAACTCCATCTCAAAAACAAACAAACAAAACCCAAAATATATGCAGAATTTGATGGCCTCTCACTACTCATTACCCCTCTACTATCAAGGTCCAAGCCACCACCATCTGTTGCTTAGATTATACTAGTAGCTTATTTTTTTTTCTGGATTTAAAGGCTAATTTTCCTTATGAAGAAGATGCCTATTAACTACAGTTTTTCCTCTTATAGAGTAGTCAATATCCTAATAAGCAACAGTCTCTTATTTTAGGAATCATAATCTAAAACATAGAGTTAGTTGCTTATGGGGTGAACACAAACGAGACATGATTGAAACAGATTTAATGACACTCCACATAGTCCTTAGGCCACATAAACTTATTTTTCACCCATTTTTGCTCCTTTTCCTAGAGTACTGATTATAATCCATGTCGATATTAAAAGAAAAATGATAATAATCATATAATTTGTTACTGCCTCTTAAGTGACTGCCACCCTGGATTGTGTCTTAGTTGGTCTCCTAACTCCCATCTTTGCCCCTGTGGTCTATTTTTAACAGCCCAGCCAGGATGCTCTGTTAAGCCTTGGGTTCCACAGGCTTCCATCACACTCAGAAGACCCAGACCCACAAACTCCTACCAGGTCCAGCCACATTTACCCTCTGACCTCACCTCCTCTTCATCTCCTGCCTGGTCACTCCAGTTCAGCCACCTCTCCTCGCTGTTGCTGAAATACACCGGGCCCACTCCAGCCTCAGAGCCTTTGAACTTCCTGTGCCCTCCGCCTGAAATGCATCTACCCTGATTATCTCTCAGGCTGGTCTCACTTGCAAGGGTTTTATACTTGGCAAAGGGCTCTACAGACATAAGCTGCTGCTACACCGGTGAGAGCAATTTGTCCATTTCCACTTATTCCAGCATTTGGAGGGCTAGGGACAACAAAAATTGAAGATGCAGGGCTGTCTGATACCAGATAACCCTGAGGTTACTGAGAGTCAGGTCCTTTGCAGAAATTAGGAGAGGACAGAACCTGCCAGATAAGCCACTTCCTTACTGTGTGTGAGGGCCAGAGAGGCAGCGACAGATGCTTTTCACGGGTGGCTCAGCTAAACTCTCCTTTTCAAATAAATCTCTCCAGGGTTCACTGAAATTTGGCTGTACTCTGCATCTCCCTCCCACACCCTCTCTCCTGTGTGTTCCTTGATGTTGTGCATGTGGCTTACTCTTTTTTTTTTTTTTTTTTTTTGAGACGGAGTCTTGCTCTGTCACCCAGGCTGGAACACAATGGTGCGATCTCGGCTCACTGCAACCTCTGCCTCCTAGGTTCAAGCGATTATCCTGCCTCAGCCTCCGGAGTAGCTAGGATTACAGATGCCTGCCACCACATCCAGCTAATGTTTGTATTTTTAGTAGAGATGGGGTTTCACCATATTGGCCAGGCTGGTCTCAAACTCCTGACCTTAGATGATCTGCCCGCCTCGGCCTCCCAAAGTGCTGGGATTATAGGCGTGAGCCACCAGGCCCAGCCGTGGCTTATTCTTTTAAAGAACACTGTGCTGCAGGTTTAGATCAATAGTGAATGAACCATAGTGACTTCTTCCCTAAGTCGGACCATACTGAAGCCTGACGTTTTAGCTTTAATTGTTCAACTGCAAATTTCCTTTCAAAAGAGACAGTCAAGTGCATTGATTGCCCACTCAGAACTGTTTTGATCCTAACAGGAGAAGCCACTTACCTTCTTAACAATTCCCTCTGACTGTTCTTCAATGACGAGAGATAAATCAAACTGTAATTCTTCCTCAACAATAGATGGAAATTTCACCATCACATTAATGTGGTTGGTAAAACCAACAATCTCAAACTCTGGTGGTTCAAAAGACACTGTGCAAAAAACAAAAACAGACAGGAATATGTCACAGAGACCATATGTGGCCCACAAAGTCTAAAGTGGTTCTTCTCTGGCCCTGTATAGAAAATCTGCCAAGTCCTGATTTACATCATAATTTTTCATTGCTAATGCTATTCCACTAAGTGACTGTATCATGATTTAACTGATTCACTGTTTTGAACATTTAAATTGTCTCTGATTTTTATTAAAGACTTAATGTATCATGGGATATTCTTGGAACTAAATTTTTGCATTTGTCCTTAATAATTTCTTTCTTTCTTTTCTCTTTCTCTCTCTCTCTCTCCCCCCCTCCCTCCCTCCCCCCTAACTTTCTTTCTTTCTCTCTTTCTTTTTTAATGTAGACATAGGGTTTCCCCATGTTGCTCGGGCTGGTCTTGAACTCCTGAGCTCAAGTGATACACTGGTCTAGGCCTCCCAAAGTGCTGGGATTACAGGTGTGAGCCACTGTGCCTGGCCTTAATAATTTCTTTGGGACAAATTACTAAAGAATTCTGGATTAGAGTAAGCACATGTTAAGGTTTTTAATACATGCTGCCAATTACTTCAGATGGACCATGCCAAAGCACACTCTTTGTATTCCCTCTAAACCTGGATATTTATGTATTTTTCATATTTATCATTTGAGCCATGAAACATATCTCACTGTTACTTTAATATGCATTCTTTAACAACCCAAATACCATGAACTATAAATTCTGATTTTCTTTCTTTTCTGTGTGTACACACAGATGTCTGTTTATACACATACGTAAACATGCACACAAATCCAGCAAATGTCGTATCCGAATTGTTTGCCACAGGGGGATTCAGTTATCCTTACCACTTTGCTAATCATGTATGAGCACGTGCACACCCGCATAGCCTACAACAGGAAGCTGAGACCAGATGGTTCTCTTGGAAACTCGTTGTAAAGTGGGAAATTGAAAAAGTAACACAGCTGGGGCTGTTAACACAGTGTGTTAGGGAACTGACTTGAGTCACAGGGAAAGAAAGAAGGGGTAGGCCTGTTCTTGGGGTCTAGTCTTCTCCTCTGAGCTTTGGGTACTAGGTGCATGCACACTTGGTGTTCACACACAAAAGAACATTGGGTTATAATGAGGGGGTGGAGTTGCTGTATTAAGAAAACACTGGGGCCAGGTGTGGTGGCTCATGCTTGTAACCTCAGCACCTTGGCAGGCTGAGGCGGGTGGATCACTTGAGGTCAGGAGTTCGAGACTAGCCTGGCCAACATGGTGAAACATTTCTACTAAAAGTACAAAAAATGAGCCAGGTATGGTGGTGTGTGCTTGTAATCCCAGCTACTCTGGAGGCTGAGGTGGGAGAATCGCTTGAACCTGGAAGGTGGAGGTTGCAGTGAGCGAAGATCGCACCACTGCACTCTAGCCTAGGTGACAGAGTGAAACTCCATCTCAAAAAAAAAAAAAAAGAAAGAAAGAAAGAAAGAAAGAAAATCCTGGGCCAGAGAGATGAGAGCGCTAGATCCAGCCCACCTGAACCTGGCTCCAGACTTCCTGTCAGGCTGCAAAACCGAAAACAGCAGTTCCTACTGCCTTATACAGGCACGGGGCAAATCTGCAAAGTACAAATTATCATTCCACTTTTCAGATTTAGAAAACCAAGGCTCAGAGAAGCAAAGCAGTCCACGGTTACAGAGCTAGGAAGTGGCAGGGCCAAGAGGTGAGCCCAGCCCCAGGTCTAAAACACCTTTGTAGACCTCCTATTTCATGGAATAGCAAATAATAAAGATCTTGATGATGGGGACGAAGTGGAGAAACAGAGATAAAACTCACTGTCTATGGCCAGCCAGAAATTGTGTGAGCAACTGAACAACGTTGTGTTCCCGCTGAATCCTTCTAGGACGGTGACATAGGCCTCGTGTGTGCTTCTCCACTCATCTGTGAGGTCACAAAATGATCTTGTGGTATTTGCACAGTTCTTAACCACCTTCAAATCTTCTGGTTTACTTTGGAAAGAAAAAAATGGAAAAAGGAAATTGTTAGCATTGATGTAATGAGAGTCTATTTTTGGGCGCCTTACTTCATTGTTTCCTTTAGGGCTCTGCCCAAATATCATTGTATTAAGTGATCTTCCCCAACCATCTTATTGAAAATGGAACATCTTATGCCCTCCCCACCCCTGCACTTTCAATCCCTCTCTTTTCTTGATTGTAGCATTTACCCACACCTGTCACATTATACCTTTGTTTACTGATGTCTCCATTTACATAATGTCTGCTCCAGGAGGGCAGGGACTTTGGTTCACAGTTGGACCCCCTGGCATGTAGTAGGTGCTCAGTAAAACTTGCCGGAGGAGCCGGGTGCAGTGGCTCACGTCTGTAATCCCAGCACTTTGGGAGGCCAAGGCGGGCGGATCACGAGGTCAGGAGATTGAGACCATCCTGGCTAACATGGTGAAACCCCGTCTCTACTAAAAATACAAAAAATTAGCTGGGCGTGGTGGCGGGCGCCTGTAGTCCCAGCTACTTGGGAGGCTGAGGCAGGAGAATGGCGTGAACCCGGGAGGTGGAGCTTGCAGTGAGCCAAGATCGTACCAGTGCACTCCAGCCTTGGTGACACAGTGAGACTCCGTCTCAAAAAAAAAAAAAAAATTGCCGGATGAGTAAATGAATGAATGAAACTTGGGCCCTCATGGTGGAAGCCTCAGATCTCCCTTCCTCTATGGGACAATTATGAATGCCTTCCCTGAGACCCCCTCCCTCTCTGGCTAAGACTAGATGATCCAGTCCTAAGTCAGACCTGGGCTATTTCAGGGACAATGCAGATATCTCATCTACCAAGCTTCAGTTAGTTGGATGATACATGTGACCACTCAATGCAGAGAAAAACTTTTTAGCAGGCACCGAAGAGAAACTCACAAGAGGTCTCCCACTGGCTCAGTCAATAAGCAGTAGCAGCAGCAGCTCTAGGCCAAATAAATAACCATCAAAAGGACACTCCAAGGGGCTGCTGGATCAAAGCAATGACTTCTAAGGGCGATTGGTAGGTGTGGGAAGACAAAAGACAAGCAGGACTCCATCCATTATGTCACGAATCCTTGCAGCAACCCCTCAGCAGAGGCATTAGCTTAGGGGCTGAGGTCCGTGCCAAGTGTCAAGCTGGTTAGTGACCAAACCAGACTATGGACCCAGGCCTGTCCCAGACTAGGCCAGGCAGCTTTCTGGTGTCCCACCAGAGTAAAGAAAAGTGAACATAAACCATCAATATGGTCAATAGACCTTTGGATTCCTGTCCTCAGATAACAGGACTTTTAAACATTCAGACTGACTGAATTAGAGAAATCATTGCCTAACCCATACACAAGAATTATTTTGTATGTGAGGTTCTGACCTGTAGAAATTGGCTTTGATGACACATACAAGCTTTGTCAAAATAGATTTGGATTATTAAAGTATTCAACTGAATTAAAAATGGATGTGTGATGGTGTTTTGTCTTTGGCTTTTTAAGGCTCTGAATAAGAAACGCAGAGAGAAGGAGAGGTAGATAGGAAAAGGGAGAGGGAGAGACAGAGAGAGAGAAAAGATCACCTCTCCCCATATAACAGAACAATAATATGTTTACCAAGAGAAAATGAAATATCAAACCAACCTCATGATTGTATACAGCAATGTATAGTGAGTTGGTACAATGGAGTGGTTTTTTAATTCCCATGATAAGATGGACCGGAAATTTCGCAATGATATCTTGAAAGTGCAAGATTCATCTGTGTAATCTAAAGAGAAGAAGAAAAAGGGCATTGAAATTTGGAACCCACAGTTGTATTCTGGCCACTGTTCAGTCATTTCTTGGGATCTAGAACCCACACCTCTGGCAGATAACCTCTCCAGAGAGCCCTGGTGTCTTGAAAACAGGAAGTCTACAGGACATGGGAAATAAATTAGTAAGTCAATTAACGAGCAACATATTGTCAGGGCAGGCAAGCATGGGAAACAGGGACTGTGCACTGTGTAAGGAGAGTCTGGACAGAAGGGCTTCTCCGATGCCCTTGGACTGTCCCTCCATGGTTCACTGGACCAAAATAACCCAGGCCATCCCAGCCCACATGATGCACTTCCTTTCACTCTCCCCTACCCATTCTCCCTCCCCAAGCCGTTCTCTCAACTCTGCTCCCAGCTCCTCCATGAAGTCCTCCTTAAGTAGCTCAGCCCGCTGCAAATTTTCCTTCCTCTGGATTCCCCAGCTCACTTATTCCCTGGATCACAGAGAGCAGGGGAGTATAACATGAGCCCAGACTGGCCCTTTCTAAGCATTTAAGCCCCACAACAATGCTGAAGTAGGCACTATGAAAAGATTCATTTTACAGACTGTGAAACTGAGTTGAATTATACAATGTCATGTAGGTGGGAAGTGGCAGTGATAAATGAGACATTAAAGCCAGACTTGCCAAATTCTGCCTTATACGGTTAAATTTTTAAAGATCACTGAAGTTTCCTGTGGTTAGGACTCAGGCCTTTGTTTCTCAACTGCCAACTCTTCACCCCCAACCAACACTTAGCACAAGGTTGGACACATATTTAATACTTAGTGAAGTTTTGTGGACAGATTTATATACGTAGGAAGAAGTTTAGTTAAAAAAAAATTATTGTCCTTTGTCTGGAATCATCAGGGTGGAAGAATGTAAATTAAAGAGTAAATATTTCTGGGCCATTTTTTATTTGGCACAGTCTGTGTCTCCTCATTCTTTTATTAGTGAGATTATTAAGAGTTTGAATATTCTTTAAAGAAGTTTAAAAATGATCTCTAGTGTTCATTTCTTAGACTAGTTTTGTATCTCTCAAAAAACCAGAGTTAGCTCATTTTAGCTCCTTTTACAGAGAAAGAATCCCAATAAAACAGGCAACAGATGTACAATCAGAAATCAAATCTCCCACATTTTATACCTCTGAATGGTTGCCCCAACACTTTCACTCTTATACAAAATTTAGTGAAGCCAAAAAACATCTCTTACCAGGCGAATCATATGAAATACCAAACACGAGGCTGATATACACTAGAAGGAAGAAAACACATTAGAGAGGCAATAGTTTTATCTGGGCTCAACTTGCAATGATTACTCTAAGTCTGACATTCTTTAACACACATTTATTGGTATCAGATTGAGATTTTTCTTGTGCCAAAAAAATGCCCACATAGATGGTTTTTACTCTACATTGGTGCCAGCAGCACATGGTGCAAGGACTGTGATCTGAGATAAAATAAGATCCATTTGGGAGCTGACACTAACAACAATATGTACGGTCCCTGTTCTGCCCTGCTTTTTCCACTTAAAAATATATCTGGGGCCGGGCGTCGTGGCTCACGTCTGTAATCCCAGCACTTTGGGAGGCCGAGGTGGGTGGATCACACAAGGTCAGGATTCGAGATCAGCCTGGCCAACACGGCAAAACCCTGTCTCTACTAAAAATACAAAAAATTAGCTGGGTGTGGTGGTGCACACCTGCAGTCCCAACTACTTGGGAGGCTAAGGCAGGAGAATAGCTCGAACCCAGGAGGCGGAGGCTGCAGTGAGGTGAGATCGCTCACTGCATTCCAGCCTGGGTGACAGAGGGAGACTCTGTCTAAAAAAAAAAAAAATGGCTGGACACAGTGGCTCATACCTGTAACCCCAGCATTCTGGGAGGCCAAGGCGGTGGATCACTTGAGGTCAGCAATGTGAGACCAGCATGGCCAACATGGTGAAACCTTGTCTCTACTAAAAATACAAAAATTAGCCGGGCATGGTGGCGGGTGCCTGTAATCCCGTCTACTTGGGAGGCTAAGGCAGGAGAATCGCTTGAACCCAGGAGGTGGAGGCTGCAGTGAGCTGAGCTCACACCCTGCACTCCAGCCTGGGCAACAGAGTGAAACTATGCCTCAAAACACACACACACACACACACACACACACACACACACACACACACACGCACACGAGATTTTTTTTTTTTTTTTTTTTGAGACAGAGTCTTGCTCTGTCAGGCTGGAGTGCAGCGGCTCGATCTCGGCTCACTGCAAGCTCCGCCTCCCAGGTTCATGCCATTCTCCTGCCTCAGCCTCCCAAGTAGCTGGGACTACAGGCGCCCGCCACCACGCCCGCCTAATTTTTTGTATTTTTTAGTAGAGACGGGGTTTCACCATGTTAGCCAGGATGGTCTCGATCTCCTGACCTCATGATCCACCTGCCTCGGCCTCCCAAAGTGCAGGGATTACAGGCGCGAGCCACCGCGCCCGGACACACACGAGATCTTTAACATCAAAGAATTTCCTTGTTTTTGTTTAAGTACTTGGGCTGGCTGAGGGAATGTCCTCAGAGGCAATTGTCCATCCTAGAAATATTCACAGAATATGAATAAGCATGTTGCTAATTAATCAACTTTAGAGGTAAAAGACATTTATCAAAGATTGGGGAGGAAGAAAGCGTGTTAGGAGAAATTACTCTTCAAATTATGGCGAGGATAGTCCTGATTATTATTGCCTTAAGTCACTCATTTGTTTTCCTAAAATTAACAACAGGACAGGAATCTACATTGAATCTAAACTACTAGTGTAGGTTTCCTATTTGCTTTCCACTTAACTCCTGACACTAGGCAGGGTGGTACTGGGTCCTCTAGTCAGGGAAATGAGTTTGCGACTTCCTGCCAGTGCTCTCAGTGAGGATGGCATCACAGCTTGCTTCTATAAGAGCTAAGATAAAAAGCAGCACTTACCCATGAGAACCAAATTAAGTGATCTGAAGATGAAGGCATTCTGGCTCAAAAGCATCTTTGCTATTTTTAGAGTCTTCTCTTGACTTTTACATCTGAAATCAACATTAGGTGATCAAAATTCTGAAGTGTCTAATTAAACTGCAAATATAAAAATGGGAGCAAAGACAAGATAATGAGAGACCTGTAAGGAATAGTAAAATTCCTAGTCATTTACCCCATTTATTCAAGTGAGCCTGGTCTCAGCTTCTGGGCCCAATCCCCTACCTAGTCTGGGAGGAATTTTAAATTTAACTTTTGAACAGGCAACAGTCGTTGGGTTCAACAATTTTAAGCATTCAAAAAAAAAATTGTGAAAAGTCTTGCTCCCTTTAGAAAACTTTTTTTTCTTTTGTGAATCCTTCAGAGTATCTTCATGCATAAGCAAAAACAAATACATATTCCTAATTTCCCCATCTTTTAGACAAGAGATAGCATGTATAGTCCCTGTTCCACCCTGCTTTTTCCACTTAAAAATATGTTTGGAAGATCTTTCTATCCTTGTTTTTTAAATAGCTGGATACAGTTCTACTCTATAGACACACCATTATTTATATAATTAGTACCCCTACTATAGACATTTGAATTATTTCCAGTCTCTTCTGCAAGGAAATCTCTTTCATTTTGCACATGTGCCAGTTTAAGTGTGGGAAAATTTCCAGAAGTAGAATTGCTAGACAAAGGACATATCAGTTAGGGTTCTGGCAAGAAACAGCTCATTCAAATTAGGATACACGCTTTTTAAAAAAATAAATTTAAGGGGTACAAGTGCAGTTTTGTTAGATAGATATATTGCATAGTGGTGAAATTTGGGCTTTTAGTGTATCCATCACCTGAATAGTATACATTATACCCATTAAGTAATTTCTCATTCCTTAACTCCCCACACCCAATCCACCCTTCTCAGTCAGTAATGACTATCATTCCACATTATATATATGTCAATGTGTGCACATTTTTTATTAATAGCTCCCACTTATAAGAACATGTGGTATTGACTGTTTCTGAGTTGTTTCTCTTAAGATAATGGCCTCCAGTTCCATCCATGTTGCTGCAAAAACACGATTTCATTCTTTTTTATGGCTGAATATACTGTGTGTATATATATGTAACTTTTTTTTTTTTTTGAGACGGGTCTTGCTGTGTTGCCTAGCCTGGAGTGCCAGTGGTGCAATCATGGCTCACTGCAGCCTCAACCTCCCAGGCTCAAGCAATCCTCCCACCTGTCCCCCTAAGTAGCTGAGACTACAGGTATGTGTCATCACACACCGGCTAATTAAAAAAACCTTTTTTTTGTAGAGATAGGGTCTCACTATGTTGCCCAGGCTGATCTCAAACTCCTGGATTCTCGCCTTGGCCTCCCAAAGTGCTGGGATTACAGATGTGAGCACCACACCTAGCCACATTTTCTTTATCCAATCATTTGTTGATGGATACTTAGGTTGATTCCATATCTTTGCAACTGTGAACAGTGCTGTGTTCTGAGAAATTCATTGTTAGGCTATTTTGTTGTATGAACATCAGAGTATACTTAGACAAACCTAGATAGCATAGCCAACTACACATCTAGGTTATATGGTATAGACTATTGTTCCTAGGCTATAAATCTGTGCAGCATGGTACTGTGCTGAATACTGTAAGCAGTTGCAACACAGTGGCATTTGTGTATCTGAACATATTTAGACACAGAAAAGGTACAGTAGAAATATGGTATAATCTTATGGGGCTATCGTCATATAAAAGGTCCATCTTTGCCCAAGACATCATTAGGGGTTGCAGGACTATATTTACAAATGTGTGAGAGGGCTGTAGGCAAACCAGAAGGGAGAGTATAGAATCTGCAGCTCACAACATTGAGGCCTGTGACCACTCTGGGGCCCAGAAGGGAGACTCCAGAACCTGTAGCTCACAACATTGAGGGCTGTGACCACTCTGGGCCTGCAGAAGGGAGAATATAGAACCTGTAGCTCACAACATTGAGGGCTGTGACCACTCTGGGCCTGCAGAAGGGAGAATATAGAACCTGTAGCTCACAACATTGAGGGCTGTGACCACTCTGGGCCTGCAGAAGGGAGAATATAGAACCTGTAGCTCACAACATTGAGGGCTGTGACCACTCTGGGCCTGCAGAAGGGAGAATATAGAACCTGTAGCTCACAACATTGAGGGCTGTGACCACTCTGGGCCCCAGGAGGGAGAGTACAGAACCTGCAGATCACAACATTGAGGGCTGTAACATTCTGGGTCTGCAGAATGGAGGGTATAGAACCTGTAGCTCACAACATTGAGAGCTGTAGCTCACAACATTGAGGGCTGTCACCACTCTGGGCCTGCAGAAAGGAGAGTATAGAACCTGTAGCTCACAACATTGAGGGCTGTGACCACTCTGGGCCCCAGGAGGGAGAGTACAGAACCTGCAGCTCACAACATTGAGGGCTGTTACCATTCTGGGCCTGCAGAAGGGAGGGTATAGAACCTGTAGCTCACAACATTGATGGCTGTAATCACTCTGGGCCGGAGGGGGAAGAGAAGCCAACATTGCAATTTGTAAGGAGAAACTCCTGTATGAGCAGCTATGACATGAGACCACTGGACACAGCCAGACCAAGAGGACAGTGCAGGCAGGAAGCTGAGGGATAAATATCACTCACGGTGTCCCTTCCTTCTCTTATTTGGGGCTCCCCATCGGCTGAACACAACCAGAAGCCATAGGGCAAGGGGCCTGGAGTTGTATCCTTACCAGACAGGGTCCTGGGCCAACTAAACAGTGGGGAGAGGGGAGGGTGGGTCTGAAGAAGCAGACAGAAGAGACCTGGCAATGAAACTATGCATCTGTAATTTGGATAGAAACTGTCACACTGACCACCCGCGGGGCTATACCAATTTACATAACCACCTGCAATGTGTGAGAATTTTCGTTTCCCTACCGTTGCTTCTTAGAGGTATATCATCAAGTTCTTGGATTTTTCTCAAATTCATAAATGAAAAGTTGTCTTTCACATTAATATTAATTTGTATTTCTCTTACTCTTTGTGATGGAACACCTTCATCTTTTCATAGGTTTAAGAGCGATTTGCATCTCCTTCTCATTAACTGTTCGTGCCTTTGGCAATTTTTCTGTTGAGCTGTTGCTATTTTCTTACTGGTTTGCAGTTTTTTTTTTTTTTAAGTAGAAGGGAAACTGTGATATGAGTCACATCTTTTTCTTCTCTCCCCAGTTTGTCACTTGCCCTTTGAGTTGCTTGTGCTGTTTAAAAAAAACAACCCCCCCAAAAAAACACCCAGAAGTTTTTGAGTTTTATGTTTTCAGATTTAAAGGTATTTTCTTTCTTAGCTTCTAAATTTTGAGTCATAATCAGAAAGTCTTCCCTACTCCAAGGTGAGAAAGGAGTTCTTCAAGAAGAATTTTAAGGAGCCCCAGTAGATCTTGTTCCTTCTCTCTCTCTCAGATATTCTGTCCCCATCCATGTGACTAAGACCTATAGATTGTGGGCATTCTTCTGTCCCCCAAACACTGGGGAAATATCATCAAAATAAAAAAAGACCATGAAATCGCAGACTTGTCATGGCTTGTGGCGACTGTCTGTGGCTGGTGACATAGGAGTAAGAAGAATTTACCATGACAGTTTAGGTCAAGAAAGGCAGATTTATTAGAGAAAGTAGGAAAATACATTGCAAGGGAGCAATGGGCAGGTCAGTAAGAGACGAGTTGACTGCCAGGAGACAAAGGCTTGCTGGGGATTTTATAAAATGCAATTTAAGCTGAAGAGTGCTATGTGGAGGACTGACAACGCCAAGGTAGCAGGGAGCTAACTTGCATTTTTCGGTCAGCCGAGATGTTTGATGATAAGTTGAAGCATTTGATGATACGCAGGAAGATTGTGAGTTATGTGTGCAGGAGGGTCGTATGTCCTGGGCCATAAAGAAAGGCAGACCTATAGCTTATCTGCTTCTTCTTTTTGTTTGTATGTCCTGGACCATGAAGCAAGGTAGACCTATGGCTTATCTGCTTTATCTCTTTGCTTTCCCCTAGACCCCCAGCCTGACTCCTCTTCCCTAATTAGGACTTCACAAGACGAAGTTCAAGCTAAAAACAATGTAATTTTTAAGTCTTCTCTGCTGCCACAGTAACACATCCAACCTGGGGTATTCTCTTAGAGAAATCCAAGTGATTCCAAGTCAAAATTTCCAGCCTTGCTACAGACTCCACCACCCATGAGATATCCAAGCACGACTGCCTGGAACTAATCCCATAATACTGTACCCATTGAGAAACATCTGCTGAGATATCTTGATGTGTGATGTCATCTCCCATAATCAATCCACAGCAGAGGCGTTGCCTAGTTGTGAACATTCCCCTAGATACCACCACATCCAGATTGTAGAAGGGCAACTTCTTTATTTTTTGAGACAGGGTCTCACTCTGTCACCCAGGCTGGAGTGCAGTGGTGTGATCTCGGCTCACTGCAACCTCTGCCTCCTGGGCTCAAGCGATTCTCCCACCTCAGCCTCCCAAGTAGCTGGGACTACAGGCATTTGCCACTACACCTGGCTAATTTTTGTATTTTTTTTTTTAGAGATGGGGCTTTGCTATGTTGTCCAGGCTGGTCTTGAACTCTTGGGCTCAAGTGATCCTCCGGCCTCAGCCCCACAAAGGGCTTGGATTATGGATGTGAGCCACCATGCCCAGCCAGGGCAACCCCTTTATATTTGAACACCTGACCTGACCTCTGACATGTGGCCTCTGGTCCCCATTTGTCTCCAACGGTGGCACATCTTCATCTTTGTTATATATCTGCAGGAACACTCAGTCTCTTCAGCAGCCGAGAAAACACACACACACACACACACACACACACACACCCCATTCTCCCCCTCTGGGCCAGGGGATGGCTTCCTTCCTTGCTTTCTGGTGACTTATACTTCACTTGGAACCATATGCCTGATTACCAGATTCTTCTTGCTTGGAAAATATAATATCCCATCTTGGCATCGTGCCTAAATTGTTAATGGAGCTCCTTAAAACTCTTGCTGACTACAAATAGATCAGTCTTCCTAAAGCATGGCTCCTGTCAACAGGGCTAGTCTCAGTACCCCCAGGCCCTGCAGCTAGAAGGATCCTACACTTGGCTTGAGGTTCTCCTGTGGCTATCCTGAAATTCTTAACCATTTTATCTTTCAATGTGAGTTTTGTGCTAGGAGCCCCAGCTCACACTTGGATCCTTCCCCATCTCCTGCAGTTTAGGCTCCCAGCAGAGGAATCCCAGGCCCTGTCTGGCTTCAATCTCTATGCCTAACAACTGCTGCTGCTACTGTTGGCATGGGGCATCAACTGGGACCACATTCCGCTGAAGCCCTCCTGGTGCAGATGCTGGAGAGGTCAGGGCCAGCACTCCAGCCTCGCCCCATGGACTGGAGTCAGAGGGTGACTGGCTGGAGGTTGGGTCTGGCAGGGATGAGTCTCTGGGTCACTCTTGACCCAGGTACCTAGCATATCTGAGGCAGAGACGTAAAGACCCTTGGACGTGGCCACTACACTGTGGGTTAGGATGGTAGGTGCTTGGGAAAGGGAGATGCAAGGCTTGACTTCCACAGAGCCTGCCCCAGGCTGGATCGAGGGGAAGCTAGCAGGAGGGGGATGCCTAGAAGTCAGGTGCAAGTACATGCATCCTAGAGTCACCAGGGCAGAGGGGCCCCAGGGACCTGTGTGAATCTGCTCTGGCTCCCTCGGTATCCCTGAGCCTGAGGGAGGGCTCCCTTGGGTGGCTCTGTGCCTGGTGGAGACCCTCTCTTCCTCTTTGCAATCTTCCTCTGTCTGGCTTCAGTTTGCTTCTTCTGGCTAGTTCAAGGGAACCTCCCAAGATGTGCTGTAAAGTACTAATGGTATAACTTGGCAATTCCATATATGAATTAAATGCTCTTATTTAAATCTGGTTTTGCATAATATAAAGAACTGCAATATTCATGCTAATAATTCAAGTTTTTATTTTTATTTTTTATTTTATTTTATTTTTTGAGACAGAGTCTCACTCTGTCCCCCAGGCTGGAGTGCAGTGGCGCAAACTTTGGCTCACTGCAAGCTCCGCCTTCCGAGTTCACTCCATTCTCCTGCCTGAGCCTCCAGAGTAGCTGGGACTACAGGCGCCCGCCACCACACCCAGCTAATTTTTTGTATTTTTAGTAGAGACGGGGTTTCACAGTGTTAGCCAGGATGGTCTCGATCTCCTGACCTCATGATCCACCTGACTTGGCCTCCCAAAGTGCTGGGATTACAGGCGTTAGCCACCATGCCCGGCCTATTTTTTTACTTAGAATGATATTAAATAGCAAACAAAAAAACATTACGTGTTGAGAGAGAGAGACTGTGGAAGAAAAGGCTTTATATTTTAGTACCTTTAGTGGTACTTTCTCAGGCATTTTTATTTGGCTCTGGGTGGGCCCTGTGAATTATGTAGTGAGCTCAGTCTGTAGCTCACTGTTGCCTGACAATGCACCAAGCTCCTTAGGTTAAATTCAAGGCTATCAGCCTTTCCAGTTTTTCCTAGAGTTATTGTCCTGCTGAGCCCCAGGTGACAGGTCACCCCCTGCTCTTGTCAGAGGTGTTGGAACCAGAGTGACTCCATCTTGAGTAGCAGCTGGGTAAAATGAGGCTGAGACCTGCTGGGCTGCATTCCCAGGGGGTTAGGCATTCTTAGTTATGTGATAAAACAGGAGGTCACAAAGACCCTGCTGATAAGACAGGACGCAGTAAAGAAGCTGGCCAAAGCCTGCCAAAACCAAGATGGTGACAAAACTGTCCTCACTGCTTATCATATGCTAATTACAATATATTAGCATGCTAAAGGAAACTCCCACCAGTGCCACCACAGTTTACAAATGCCATGGCAACATGCAGAAGTTACCCTATATCATCGAAAAAAGTGAGGAACCCTCAGTTCCAGAACTCCCACCCCTTTTGCAGACAACTTATGAATAATCCACCACTTGTTTAGCATATGATCAAGAAATAACCATAAGTATACTTAGTGGAGCAGCCCATGCTGCTGCTCTGCCTATGGAGTAGCCACCCTTTCATTCCTTGACTTTCTTAATAAACTTGCTTTCACTTAATTCTGTCAGCTTGCTCTTTAATTCCATCCTGTGCGAAGCCAACAACTCATGTGGCTTCCCAGGCTGAACCCCAATTTTGTCACAGGTTCACCCTGTGACACTGTGGCCTTCTCCATTCTGAAAGAAGAGCTCTACCTGCTATTCACCCTGAGACCAGACAAACCCTGCCAATTTTCAAGGCCCAGATAAAATGGATGGATTGAGTGAAGTGATTCTTTGAATTCCAACTCCTCCTAGACAGACAAACAACCCTCCAGGAACTCGCTGCCTCATAGTCTCCTGGTAAAGTATGGCTGTGTCTTTCCTTCTGTTTGACATAGACTGATGCACATTGTCAAGGAGGCAATGAATAATGAATGAAGTGGATTCAGAAATGTTAGACAAAAACAATTACATATCTTTTTCTGGAAATTAGAAAAATATGAAAAAGTACAAATAAGAAAGTAACACTCATCCTTATTCCTACCATCCAGCATCAACAATTGTTAACATCTTGGCATATTTGATTCTAGCTTATTTTTCAAACATCTTTCTTTTTTCTTCTGTAAAAACTATTACTATCATTAATATTAGGCGAACATAATCCCACAGATCTTTCTATGCATAAACACACACACACACACACACACACACACACACACACACACAGTGTTTCTGTTTAATGTTACTTGGGAAAAGACTAAAATAAAGTCAAAGGAGTTGTTAAAATTTAAATTTTTTTGTCCATAAGAAAGTATAATTTCCTATGATATCCCTCTAAGGTTTTAAATAAAACTTATGAAAGATATTAAAAGTTGCAGTATTATATATTCACATAGCATCTTTTAATTTTATACCATATTTACTATTCCATTCTTTGAAAGAAGAGAATATTGGTATTCTCATGTTTCCTTCCATCTTCCTCTCTGACTTCTTTTTTTTTTGGCTGTATATTTTTGTCTAGATTAATAACAATCGCATTCTATCTTACCCACAATTTCTATAGATGTATTACTTCTATATTTAAATAGAATAAATACTCACCAAGTCTTTTTACCTTTCTCTACTCTTAAGTTCTTTATTTTGATTTATCTCTTAATTTGCTATTTCCTGGATTTTATTACTCAGCAAGTTTTTGTTTTTCCAAAAACGGTTCATGGGTGCTGAATTCCCTTTGTTCTTCCGGAAAAAAAATATGCCCCTCGGAAAAGTTTCTTTCCCTTGGAACTGTTTCCTCACAACCATCATAGTCTGGCATTTAGTGCTGCACTGAAGTCTGAGGCGAGCTTGATTTTGTTTTTCCCTCCTTTACTTTTTCTTCTTAGATTCCTAAATCTTTTTCTTTGAATTTAAATAGTTTAAGATATCGTAGTGCTTCCGTATTCCCACATGACATTTTCTGGAACATGGCATGTTCCTTTGGCCTACAGACCATTTTTTCTTCATCTCAATAAGCTTTCTTTGGACTTATTTTTATTTGAATTTTCTGTCCCATTTGTTGACTTCTCTACATCTGGGACTTCAGTGGTCCCAATTCTTGATTGTATTTTGTCTTTCATAATAGCTTCTTTCTTCTTAATCTTTGTCCCTTTTCAGTTGAATTTACTGGGCTTCCTTACTGGGCTTTCTTCTATTAAAATACTTTTATTTTCAGCAGTATTGCTTCTGTTCTTTCTCCTGACTTATTTATTCTGTCACTATGTTTTTACGGTCTTCAATTTTCCTTTAGGTCTGCAATCTCCCTTTTCATCTCCAGTTTACAATTTTCTCATCTTTGAGTTTGTTTTATTGGATTTATATTTTTATCAAGTTGTTGCACAGTGTAAGGCAATGGTAATGAATTTCTTCTGTTCCAAGTGTAATTCTTTGTTTTTAGTAAGACGTCTTGCAATCCACGTTGTTCTTTCCTTTCCTATTTTTCCCCCTTACCATTTCTGTTCACTTTGCTGCTACTAGTTTGGCTTTAGTACCTCCTACTGATATGGCAGAGTGAAACCTCGACTTCCTTTCCACAACTTTATCTGATTCCAGCTTGTTCTGTAAAGCCTGGGCAATTTCTCTAGCCCAGAAGGTTGGTGCCCAGTGAACCTTCCCCCATCTCACTCACCTTCACCCAGCATAAAGGGCCCACTGTTCCTTTGTGAGAAAAGAAAAAAGCAAAGTATGTTGTGATTCAGTTTCCTCTTTTTTTTTTTTTTAACAAGGACTGGATCAGTCTCCTTCTTTCCTATTTATTACAGAGAAATCTCACTATAGTTTCTGGTGGTTGAGACACATTTAAATTTTAAATTTTTTTTTAAACTTGAGAATTAAAAACAAACAAATGAAAACCAATGACAATGCTGATGGATATCTCCACGTACCAGATGATAAAACCCTGGCTTGTGGGGTAACTCGTTTTCCTGTTAGGGCCAGAGAAAATTTTCAGTGGCTCTGAACTCCTCCCCATCATACATACCTCTCTTTTTCCCTCCTTTGTTTTGTCTTTTCCATACCTCTAAGTCAGCCAACCTCCTCTGCCAATTACCTGTTTTTCCTTTATTCTTCCCTGAATTGCATAGCCCCCAGTTTCATTCTTCCAAAGGAAGAAGAAGGACCCTCAGGGCCAGTGCCGTCAAGCTCTGCTCTAACTCACTAATATTTCACAAATTATAAAATGCCCATTTTCTTTTAACATTTGAGAATTTCTGAAATCAGAATGCTTTCATTCTGGTGGCATGGCATAGCATGATTGACAGTGTTTTTTCTTACTTCATTACATAAAATGAAAGTGCATCTTATAAGCAATGGCATTTTAGTTTGGGTTTTAGCTTTGATAAAACATGATGATTGAGCCTGTAATACTAGCACTTTGGGAGTCCAAAGCAGGTGGATCATTTGAGGTCAGAAGTTCCAGACCAGGCTGGGTAACATAGTGGAAATCCCATCTCTACTAAAAATACAATTAGCCAGGCGTAGTAGCACACGCCTGTAATCTCAGCTACTCAAGAGGCTGAGGCAGAAGAATCGCTTGAACCCAGGAGGGGGAGGTTGCAGTGAGCCAAGACAGTGCCACTGCACTCCAGCCTGCGCGACAGAGCGAGACTTTGTCAAAAACCAAACCAAACCAAACCAAACCAAACAAAACAAAACATGATGATTGATAACGGAAGATGATACATACCATTGACTCTTGAACAGTTTGAAGGTTTATAAAGGTAGCAGAAAAAATGAGTCCAATGTGGCTTTGAGTGTGCAAGTGTGAGCCATGGAATATATATTTTAATAAATGTTTCACGTCTATGACAGTACCTCTAGGGTTATGATCCTTTTCATACTACTTTTTGAAATGACTTTTAGACAAATCACCATTGTCAAATTATGTGAACCAAAATCAGATTTTCTTTAACTTTTCAATAAATACATGAGAAACTTTAGAGGAAATAATAGGTAAGAAAAATGAGTCATGTACATTTTTGATTATCTAAAATTGTGGAAAACAACTTTATGAACAATAGAACTTACAAGTTCAAGTCATTTTCTGCGACAAACAGATCAAGCCTTATCAGCTATGCCCTAATTGCTAGGAGTGTTTATCGAATATTTTCCTTAGGGTAGATTTTGATAGAGTATCTGCTACCCCCTCACCCCCTCAAGCCTGCACAGGTGGATAGGGGGTGGGTGGACAGGATACTGAGAAACCTTGGCAAGCAGTGGGACTTAGCCCCTGGGCCAGTGAGCACACATGGGAAACTCCACCTCTCCCTGAGCCAGCTCCGGCACTTCTCACCACTGAATCAACGCCCAAGCATGCTATATTCGTTTCTAAGACTTCTTGCTAAACAAAACAAGGAAATAAAAAAAAAAATGTTAAAAGAAAGGAGGTGGGAATACTCAGAGTCAATATAACCATCGCTAACCAAATAAACGGGCTGATGGAGTCAACTCGCTACTGCGTGTAACGGATTGATTTGCTCAGGGTTGAAATGCAAGTGCCGATCGCCTCTCCATATTCGCGGAGTATCTTCCCAGTATCTCCCCTCTCCGACCCTGGGAGGGTGCACCCTTCTGTCTCCGCGGCCACGTCCCCTCGCCCCTTCCCCCTCCTGCCTCCACGCAGCGGATCCGGAGGGGTGTAGGCCGCTCCAGCCCCGGCTGCAGTCTGTGACCCTGACGCAGGTCGAGGGGGGCTAATCCCAGGGGACCTCAAGGGGGCGGGCTGGAGATCCCGAACCTGAGCACCCAGCTGGTGAGCCGGTTTTGCAAGGCGGGGTGGACCTGGAGGAATGTGACCCTCAAACTTAGCAACGACTCACATCTTGCAGTGGCAAATGCCCGGTATCCTGGGCATCCTTGGTGGGGTGGGGTGGGACGCGGAGGGGTGCAACGAAAGCGGACTCCCAGCAGGGGCGACGCGTGGAGGGCGCAGGACAGGGCCCGGGAGGGGTCCTGGGGTCGCAGGTGCGGCCCCGGGAGAGAGGAAGGGCGCACTAGCCGCATACTCAAGACGCAGAGGGAGGGCAGGAGGAGGAGGAGGAGTCGGGGAGAGCGAGAGGGAACCGGAGGGGATTCCGGGAACCGCTGCAGGGAGGCGGCGTTTTCCCTCCAGTCAGCTGGCCACGCGCTCCGCTCCCGCGACCCCGCCACGCTGCGTTACCTTTGCAGCTCTCGCCTTGCGGCTCCCGAGAGATGCTAGCCTCGGGCCCCAGCCGCGCCCGGCTCTGGGACCCGACGCTCGCGGTCAGGATGCGCCTCGCGGGCGGCCTCTCGGACAGAAGCGGCGGGCGGGGGACAAAAGCGGCCCGTGCGGCCGGGTGGTGGTCCGCGGGCTGCGCTCGGGGAACTGTTCGGCTCGCCGGCGGGATTCCTACCCGCCGGGAAGAAGCGTCTTTAGTGCGGGTGCGCGCGCCGAGCCCCGGCCTACGAGGAGCGATACGGAAGCGCGGGCGCCGCGCCGCCGCCGGCGCGGGGGCGGGGGCGGAGCCAGGGGCGGGGCCGGAGCCAGGGGCGGGTCCTGGGCCGCTGGCGGGGCTGGAGCAGGGCCGGAGGCGGAGGCCGGGCCGGGGGCTGGGCAGGAGAATAGAAAAAAGGTCCGGTCATTTACAATCGTCTGCTGCCGATTGTCAGCTCCTAACCAATCCCGCCTTCGCCGAGAAAGCTCCATAGGGGAAGAATTTGGGACTGTTTTGTTTACTGAAGTATCCTTAGGGGTTAGAATAGTGCCTGGCATTTAGAAGACACCCAAAGATGTGTTGACTGACTGAATGAATGAATGAACTAAAGAGTGAATGGGTTCTCTCCTGGCTCCCCCACTTGTTAATTGTATAAACCTGCATGATATAATTCTCCAACTAGTAAAACGAGGATAAAAATACCTACCATTGAGTAAATGTTGTAAATATCTACAACATTATCCGTTGTAGATTCTCCCCTCTTCTCCGCGGGTCTCTTCTCCATACTCCTACCCTTCCCTCGACCCCCCACTGATCAACGTGTTTCGGGATAGGCAGAAAGACAGATGTTCTTCATTAATTTGTCTGCTTGTTATTTATAGCCTGTCAACTTCTAAAATAGACTATGAGGCCGGGAGCGGTGGCTCACACCTGTTATCTCAGCACTTTGGGAGGCCAAGGCAGATGGACCATCTGAGGTCAGGACTTCAAGACCCAGCCTGACCAACATGGTGAAACCCTGTCTGTACTAAAAATACAAAAATTAGCTGGGCGTGGTGGCGGGCGCCTGTAATCCCAGTTACTTGGGAGCCTGAGGCAGGAGAATTGCTTGAACCTGGGAGGTGGAGGTTGCAGTGAGTTGAGATTGCACCATTGCACTCCAGCCTGGGAGACAAGAGCGAAACTCTGTCTCAAGAAAAACGAAAAAAAAAAGAAAATCCAAAACCAAAATAGACTATGAGGCAGCTTTCAAGTAAAATGTATGTATATTCTAAACATTACAGCTACTAAAATGGAAATGTTAATATCTTTTTGAAGGAGAGGGAAAAGATACACTAACCACCTAAATTGTTTTAACTGAGTATTTAATCTCTCGTTCAGCTTTCTGGCCTCCTAGGAAAGGGAGGAGGAGGATGTTTCATACTTTTTGTAGATGGGAAAAATGAGCCTTTTAATCTATGAAGTCAACCAACATTTGCTGATACTCCTTTAAGGCTAGGCACAAGGGTGATCATAAAGAGGATGTCACGGTCCTGCCTCTTATGTGACCCTTGGCAGAATTCCCACCAGCCCCATACGATCTGAAGGGAACTTATCTAGGATCCTATTTCTTATAAAAGACATTCAACATTGAAAATATTTTCAGCCACAGTTTTAGAGAATTTGCAGAAATAGCCTCTGAAAATGGGAGAAATCCAATACCAAACTCCATGTGCTGCATGCACTCTTTTATATAAACATATATATTAAAAATAAAACTATGTCAAAACCTTAACTATGACTTATTGCAGATTGGATGATAGTAGGTGATTTTTATTTTGTTTCCTTTCCAAACATTCTACAGTAAACATCCTTACTTATATAATTAGGAAAAAGATTTTTTAAAAAACAAATGCAGTCCTGGCTAACACGGTGAAACCCCGTCTCTACTAAAAATACCAAAAAAAAAAAAAAAAAAAAAAAAAAATTAGCCAGGTGTGGTGGCGGGCGCCTGTAGCCCCAGCTACTCAGGAGGCTGAGGCGAGAGAATGGCGTTAACCCAGGAGGTGGAGCTTGCCGTGAGCCAAGATTGCGCTACCGCACTCCAGCCTGGGCGACAGAGCGAGACTCCGTCTCAAAACAAGCAAACAAACAAAAAACAAAACAAAACAAAAGCAAATGCAGTCTATGCCAAGGTGTGAAGAGCTTGAAAGCTGTCACTCCACTCCCCACAACAAGAGAAAAGCTGAACAAATTGAAGATTAACAACTCTTCTTGTTTCAGTATCAGTGAATTGAGTCACAGGGCAAACTGCAAAAACTGAAAGACAGACAAATGCAAAGAATCACAGTTTACAGGGACCAGAAGCCTCTGAAATCATAGCAAAACTTAAATTGTAATTGACTAATTGCTGGAGACTGAGTGTGGACTAGCTTGAGAATTAAACACTGTTGGGTACTCAGTCTTAGAGGGATGCTCCCCAAATTGTTAAAGGTTTACTCCAAGAAGCTCTACCAAGTTCTCATGGTAAAGACCACAGAAAAATTCCTGACTGGCCGGTGGGAGGGGAAAAGTAAACATTTTGAGATATGCCCAGAGTGTTCTGTAACAAAAACCTGTCCTCAGGGCAATTACATTACTGGAGCCTAAACTGACCTAGCAGAAGGGCAATTAGACAACTCAGCCCCCTCTAGCCTTCCTGTCTATCATGACTGGAGGAAAAAAGCAAAAGTTAAGAAACTTCTCGGAGGGTCATAGCCCAGAGACTCAGGCCCATTAAAGAAAACTCTGGGAATTAATCATAAGATTGTAGAATGTTTTGCCTCCACAGTATCTTACCACCACATCAACAGGACTCTGTAGTATAATAACGGTGGATTACAACTCCATTTAAGAAGGCATTTCTAGGAAAACCCAAAGACAATGGAGGAGACAAAAATGAGGACACTAAATAAAACTGAAGCCTCTGACACCTACAACTACAGCAAACATTTAACACAGCCTAACTCTTAGCCAGATAAACCTAACACCTTATCCTAAAGGGCCATTTATCTCAGCTCCCATGACCTGATATGTTATATCTAGTTTTTAACAACGAATTACAAGGCATGCTGAAAGGCAGACAACACCAAGCACAATTGGAAGAGACAAAGCAAGCTTAGAAATAAGACTCGGAGATGGCAGAGAATTTGCAAATCAGACTAGGAATTTAAAATCATGATGATCGCTATGCTAAGGGTTTTGTTTTTTCATAGAAAAATATATGGTCTGGTTCCTGCCTAGAGCTCCTAAATCCCCTGCAATTTCCTGAGTAATAGGGGTGATAGGCGTTATAACGAGGCTACTGTTTTTGTTTTTGTTTTTGTTTTGAGACCGAGTCTCGCTCTTTTTCCCAGGCTGAAGTGCAGCTGCGCGATCTCGGCTCACTGCAAGCTCCACCTCCCGGGTTCACACCATTCTCCTGCCTCAGCCTCCCAAGTAGCTGGGACTACAGGCACCCGCCACCACACCCAGCTAATTTTTTTTTTTTTTTTTTGTATTTTTGTAGAGACGGGGTTTCACCATGTTAGCCAGGATGGTCTCAATCTCCTGACCTCATGATCTGCCCGCCTCGGCCTCCCAAAGTGCTGGGATTACAGGCGTGAGCCACCGCGCCCAGCAATGAGGCTACTCTTGGTGAGCCCCTGGATAGCTTTTAGATGGAGGCTGGTCACCAAAAAGACCAAGCCCAATAATCAATAAAGCCTGGAACTTTTGGCCCTACCCCCTCCACCCCAACCTCCAGGAAGGAGAGAGGGACTAGAGACTGAGTTAATGATCAATCATGCCTACATGATGTAACCTCCATAAATAACCCCTGAACAACCAACAGAGTTTGAAGAGTTTCTGGGTTGGTTAACACATTAAAGTTCTGGGAGGTTGGTACACTTAGAGACGGCATGGAAGCTCAGTGCCCCTTTCTCCCATACCTTGTCCTAGGTATCTCTTCCACTTGGCTGTTCCTGAATTGTATCTTTTATATAAACCGGTAATAGTAAGTAAAGTGCTTTCCTGAGTTCTGTGAGTAGCTGTAGGGATTCTGTAGATGTTCTTTATCAGGTTGAGAATAATTGTCCAAATAATAATAGCAGCAACATATTGGTTGATTATAGCTTATGAATAAGTGAAATGTATAATAACAATGTTATAAGGGTTGAGAGGGAGAAATTGGGGATACTCTTTTCTAAGATACTTGTGTACTACCCATGAATTAGTGTATTGTTATTTGAAAATGGACTTAGATTAGTTATAATGTATATTGCAAACTCTAGGGCAGTCACTAAAGATTTGTTAAAAAGAAGTATAATTAATGTGATGGTTAATAGTGAGTTTCAACTTGATTGAATTGAAAGATGCAAAGTATTGTTCCTGGGTGTGTCTGTGAGGGTGTTGTCAAAGGAGATTAACATTTGAGTCAGTGGACTGGGAAAGGCAGACCCACCCTCAATCTGGGTGGGCACCATCTAATCAGCTGCCAGCATGGCCAGGATAAAAACAGGCAGAAGAAGGGGGAAAGGCTAGACTGGCTAAGTCTTCTGGCCTCCATCTTTCTCCCATGCTGGATGTTTCCTGCCCTCAAACATCAAATTCCAAGTTCTTCGGCTTTTAGACTCTTGGACTTCACTCCAGTGATCTGCCAGGGGCTCTCAGGCCTTTGGCCACAGACTGAAGGCTGCACTGTTGGCTTCCCTACTTTGAGCTTTTGGGACTTGGACTGGCTTTCCGGCTCCTCAACTTGCAGATGGCTGATCGTGGGACTTCACCTTGTGATCATGTGAATCAATTCTCCCAATAAACTCCCTTTCATATATACATCTGTCCTATTAGTTCTGTCCCTCTAGAGAATCCTGACTAATACAATTAATGTGCTAAGTGAGGGGAGAATGGAATCATATAAAATATTCAATTAAAACCAGAGAAGGGCTGGGCATGGTGGCTCACACCTGTAATCCCAGCACTTTGGGAGGCCGAGGGGGCGGATCACGAGGTCAGGAGATCAAGACCATCCTGGCTACCATGGTGAAACCCTGTCTCCACTAAACATACAAAAAATTAGCCAGGCGTGGTGGCAGGTGCCTGTAGTGCCAGCTACTCAGGAGGCTGAGGCAGGAGAATGGTGTGAACCCAGGAGGCAGAGCTTGTAGTGAGCCAAGATCGTGCCACTGCACTCCAGCCTGGGGACAGAGCCAGACTCCGTCTCAAAAGAAAAAAAAAAAACAAAAAAACAACAACAACAGAGAAGGCAGAAAAAGAGAAGGAAGAAAAACAATAACAGCAACAACAATAAACATAAAAAGAACAAGTGCATTGAATAGAAAACAGTTACAAATATGGGAGATATTAATCTAACTATCAATAGTATATTTAAGTGAATGGTCTAAGTGTACCAATTAAAAGACAGAGACTAATAGAGTGGATTTAAAAATAAATCAAGGGCCAACTATATATTGTCTACCAGAAACCCACTTTAAATATAGAGACACTGATAGATTACATTTTTAAAAATGCCAACCTGACCAACATAGTAAAACCAAAAAAACAAAAAACAAAAAAATTTTAGCTGGGTGTAGTGGCAGGTGCCTGTAGTCCTAGTTACTCAGGAGATTGAGGTGGGAGGATCACTTGAGCCCAGGAGTTCAAGGCTGTAGTGAGCTATGATTGTGCCACTGCACTCCAGGCTGGGCAACAGAGGCAGATCCAGTTTCAAAAAAAAAAGAAGAAAAATGGAGAAATATATGACATTCTAACATTAATCAAAAGAAAGCTGGAGTAGCTGTATTAATTTCAGGCAAGCAGATTTCGGAACAAAGAAAATTATCTGGGGTAAAAGACAATTATATAATGATAAGAAAGTCGGCTTTCCAAGAAAGCATAACAGTCCTTAGTGTATATGCACCCAACTCCAAAGTGTCTAAATATATGATGCAAAAATTAATAGAACTGCAAGGAGAAATAGACAAATCCATCATTACAGTTGGAGTTTTCAATATCTGTTTATCAGTAATTGACAGATTGAGCCAGCAGGGAGAGAATCAGTAAGGATATAGTTGAGATGACCAGCACCATCAATTAATTTGATCTAACTGGCATTTATAGAATATGTCATCTAACAGCAGCAGAATACCCATTCTCAAGTTCTTGTGAAACATTAATTAAAATAGACCACATTCTGGGCCATAAAACTCATGCTAACAAATTTGAAAGAATAGAAATCACACAAAATATACTATTAGATCTTATGGAATTAAACTTGAAATCAATAACAGATAGCTAGAAAAAGTCCCAAAATATTTGGAGATTAAACAATAAACTTGTAAATAACACATGGGTCAAAGAAGAAGACTTAGGAAGAATTGGAATATTTTAACTGAATAAAAATGAAAATAAAACATCAAAATTTGTGGAATAAAATGAAAGCAGTGCTTAGAGGAAAATGTATGGCATTAAATGAATACACAAGAAAAGAAGTGTAAACCAAAAAATATAGTTATAAGCAGCCCCTGCCCTCCCCCCAACCATCTGAATGGATCTGTCCTCTCTGCCAAGGGCATTCCAAAGTTAACCTGAAAAATTTGTTCAGGCCATGATGAAAGGTGGGGTCAGACATGCCTCATTATACCCTCTTCCCTTGTGGAATTCAGGAAAAGCTGACCAGCATTAATATCAACACAGACCTTAAGTCTGATAAGAAGCATTTACAATCTATCCTCTCTGAAGCCAGCTACTTGGAGGCTTCATCTGCGTGATAAAACCTTGGTGTCCACAATCCCTTACTGTAACCCAGACATTCTTTTCTATTGATAATAACAACAAATTGCCAATCAGAAAATATTTAAATCTACCTGTGACCTGGAAGCCTCACCCCACTTCGGATTAACCCACCCTTCCAGATCTAACCAATGTACATCTAACACATATCTGAGTGATGTCTCATATCTCCCTAAAATGTATAAAACTAGGCTGTGAGGCCGGGCGCGGTGGCTCACGCCTGTAATCCCAGCACTTTGGGAGGCCGAGGCGGGTGGATCATGAGGTCAGGAGATCGAGACCATCCTGGCTAACAAGGTGAAACCCCGTCTCTACTAAAAATACAAAAAATTAGCCGGGCGCGGTGGCGGGCGCCTGTAGTCCCAGCTATTCGGGAGGCTGAGGCAGGAGAATGGCGTGAACCCGGGAAGCGGAGCTTGCAGTGAGCCGAGATTGCGCCACTGCAGTCCGCAGTCCGGCCTGGGTGACAGAGCGAGACTCCGTCTCAAAAAAAAAAAAAAAAAAAAAAAAAAAACTAGGCTGTGCCCTGACCACCATGGACACATGTTCTTGGGATCTCTTGAGGGCTATGTTAGGGGCCATTAGTCACTCACATTTGGGCTCAGAATAAATCTCTTCAAATATTTTACAGAGTTTGACTCTTTTTGTTGACAGAACACAGACCTAAAATCAAAAACTAAGCTTCTACCTTGGGAAACTAGAGAAAGAAGATCAATGTAACCTAAAACAAACAGAAGAAAAGAATTAATAAAAATTAAAACAGAAATCAAAGAAATTGAAAACAGAAAATGAATAGAGAAAATCAACCAAACCAAAAGCTCATTCTTTGAAAGATCAGTAAAACTCATAGACCTCTAGGTGGGCTAACCAAGAAAAAAAAGAGAGAGAAGACACAAATTACCAATATTAGAAATGAAAGAGAGGTCATCACTACTAATCCTATGGACATTCAAAGGATAATAAAGAAATATTATGAACAATTTCGTGCCCACAAATTTATTAACTTAGATGAAATGGGCTAATTTCTTGAAAGACACAATCTATCAAAACTCACACAAGGAGAAATAGATAGTCAAAATAGTCCTATATCTATTAAAGAACTGAATCAAGGCCAGACGTGGTGGCTCATGCCTGTAATCCCACCACTTTGGGAGGCTGAGGCCAGCGGATCACCTGAGATCAGGAGTTCAAGACCAGCCTGGCCAACATGGTGAAACACTGTCTCTACCAAAAACACAAAAATTAGCCATTGCAGTCCTGCTTGGGCAATAAGAGTGAGACTCTGACTCAAAAAAAAAAAAAAAAAAAAAAAAGAGAACTGAATCAACAATTGATAACCTTCCAAAAAGAAAACACTAGGCTCAGATGATTGTACTGGTGAATTCTGCCAAATATTTAAGGAAGAATTTATAGCAATTCTCTATTATGTCTTCTAGAAAATTGAAGTAGAGGGAACACTTTCTAGTTTATTCTGTGAAGCCAGCATCACCCTAATGGTAAAACCAGTAAAGACAATACAAGAAAGGACAACTATAGACCAATATCTCTCATGAACATAGACGCAGAAATTCCCAACAAAATATTAGTAAGCCAAATCCAACCATATATAAAAGAAATTATAGGCCATGATTAAATAAGATTTATTCTAGTTACACAAGGCTGGCTCATCCTTTGAAAATCAATTAATGTAATCCATCATATCAACAGGCTAAAGAAGAAAAATCACCTATCAATAGATGAAGATAAAGCATTTGACAAAATCTAACATTTGTGATAAAAACTCTGAGCAAACTAGGAAGAGAGAATGTTCTCAACTTGTTAAAGAATGTCTACAAAAAACCCTACAGCTGATATTATGCTTTATTGTGAAAAACTGGATGCATCTTCCCTAAGATTAGGAGGAAAGCAAGGATATCCATTTCATTAGTCTTATCAACATTGTACTGGAAGTACTAGGTAATACAATAAGATAAGAAAAAGAAAGATGTACAGATTGGGAAAGAATAAATAAAACTTTTTAAATTTGCAGATAACATAATTATCTACATAGGAAATTCCAAAGAACTGATTAAAAAAAAAAAACCCTCACAAATCACTCCTAGAAATAGTTAGTGTTTTAAATGGTAATAAGGTTGCACGATACAACATTACTATACAAAAGTCAATTGCTTTCCTATATATCAAGAATGAACAATTAGAATTTGAAATTAAAAGTACAATACCATTTACACTAGCACAGAGTGACAGAGAGAGAGAGAAATCTAACAAAATACGTAGAAGATTTGTATGAGGAGAAATATAAAACGTTAATGAAAGAAATAAAAGATCAAAAAAAAATAGAGGGATAGTCCATGTTAATGGATAGGAAGACTCAGTAGTGTTAAAATGTTAATTCTTCCCAATTTGATATACATTTAATGGAATCTCAACCAAAATCCCAACAAGTTATTTTGTGAATAGCGACAAACTGATTCTCAAGTTTATGTGAAAAGACAAAGGACCCAGATAGCTAACATAATGCTGAAGTAGAATAAAGCTGGAAGACTGATACTATCTGACTTCAGGATTTACTATAAAGCTATAATAATCAAGACAGTATGGTATTGGTGAAAAAATAAGCAAATAGACCTAAGAAACAGAATAGAGAGCCCAGAAATAGACCCATAAAAATACAGTAGACTGATCTTTGACAAAGCAGTAAAGACAATCCAATGGAGAAAGAATTATCTTTCCAACAAATGGTGCTGGAACAACTGAATATGTGAAAAGATGTATTGAGACACACATCTTTATACCTTTCACAAAAATTAACTTGAACTGGATCATAGACCTAAATGTAAAAGGCAAAACTCAAAAAATTCTACAAGATAACAAAGGGGAAAATCTAGGTGTCTTTGAGTTTGGTGATGACTTTTAGATCCAACACCAAAAGCACAATCCATGAAATAAAAAAAAAAATTGGATTTTATTTAAATTAAAAAGTTCTGCTCTGTGAAAAACACTGTTAAGATAATGAAAAGACAAGCTACGTATTGGGAGTTTACACCTGTGTTTTCCTTTTTAAATACTGAATAAATAGAAAATTTGATGAAGAACAATACATTTATATAGTCTCAAAGTGTCTCATCACAAAAATGCTTATTAATTACAAAGGGGAAAAGAATAATTTTACAGTGGCAAACCCTGGTGAGGTCATCTTAAATGGTAAAATTGAACGTCATCAATAATGAGACAAAGCAGAGCTGTGCATCATGCAACAGGAAGTGATGAAAACAAGGCAGCACCTCATGTGTGATGCTTCCACCAAAGGTGCATACCAAATTGGCCCAGGGCCCAGCCCTCAGCCCTCTTCATCTGTTTTTTGTTTCTGATTTTTTTGTTTTTGTTTTTGTTTTTGAGATGGAGTCTTGCTCTGTCGCTTGGGCTGGAGTTCAATGGTGCGATCTTGGCTCACTGCAACCTCCACCTCCTGGGTTCAAGCGATTCTCCTGCCTCAGCCTCCCGAGTAGCTGGGACTACAGGTGCCTGCCACCACTCCTAGCTAATTTTTGTATTTTTAGTAGAGATGAGGTTTCACCATGTTGGTCAGGCTAGTCTTGAACTCCTGACCTCAGGTGATCCACCCACCTCGGACTCCCAAAGTGCTGGGATTACAGGCATGAGCCACCATGCCCGGCCTTCGTGTGTTCTTTAGGTGACTCCTGCAACTGGTGGCTTAATGTTCCAGCTCTATGTTGATGATGCACAAATATATACTTCCATCTTATACTTTCTATGGAGGCCTTTACATGGGGGGAAGGAAAGGATGTCCATGGAAGCCGATCATAGACATCCTACGAAATAACTGGCCTGTAGTCTCCATAAGTGTCAAGGTCTTGAAGGCCAAAGTCTGGGCAACCATTCAAGACTGAAGGAAACTAGATACGTGACCACTACATGTGATTCATGATTCTGAACTGGATCCTTTTACCATAACAGACATGGCAGGTGAAACTTGAAGGTGGTCAGAGGATTAGATGGTATTAATGAATCAAAGTTAATTTTCTGCTTTGATGGTGGTATTATAGTTAGGTAGGACAATGTCCTTGTTTGTAGGAAATACACACAAAAAGTCTTTAGGGGTGATGGGGCACCAGGAAATAGCTCAGAAAACAACTTGTTTGTACTGTAGTTCAACTTTTCTGTGAAGTTTATAATTGTCTAAAAGTGACAATGGCAGGGTGTGTTGGTTCATGCCTGTAATCCCAGCACTTTGGGAGGCTGAGGTAGGAGGATCACTTGAGGCCAGAAATTTTAGGCCAGCCTGGACAACACAGTGAAACTCTGTCTCTATTAAAAAAATTTAAAAATTACCCAGACATGGTGGCGCATGTTTGTAGTACCAGCTACTCAGGAGCCTGACACAAGAGAATCCCCTGAGCCTGGGAGGTCAATGCTGCAATGAGCTGTGATCGTTCCACTGCACTCCAGCCTGGGTGACAGAATGAGACCCTGTCTGAAAAAAAAAAAAAAAAAAAAAGGTATTGAAGACATATAAAGACAGCATCAAAGAGATATACAATTTCAGGCCTCAGTGGAAAAGTGTGAGGTGGAAATGTAAACTTGTGAATCATCAGCATAGAGCTGGAGCCATCATTTGTATGGGTTCACCTAAAGAACAGATGAAGAGGGCTGAGGGTGGGGCCCTGGGTCACGACCATGTTTAGACATCCAGTAGAGAAGCAAGGCCAGGGGACCCAGGAGCATGGAGACTGGATGTCATGGAAGCCAAGAGGAGAGAATTTCTTGAGAAGAAGGGAGAGATCACTCTTGCTGAATGTGGCTGAGGGCTCAAGCAAGATGAGGGAGTGACCCTGGGCCTTTGCAACCCAGAGGCTGCCGGTAACCTACTGAAAAGAGCTATTTCAGGAGAGACCAGTTAGAGAAGGTGGAAGGCTGATCAATGGCCCCCCAAAATGTCCACCTCCTAATCCCCAGGATCTGTGAATATAATATCTTACATGTTCAAAGGGATTTTGCGGATTTGACCAAATGAAGAATATTGAGATAGGGATGTGATCCTGGATTATCCAGGTGGGCTCAAAGTAATCACGAGGTCTTCATAAAAGGGAGGCAGGAGAATCAGAGTCAGAGAAAGAAGATGGAAGGACAGAAGAGGAGGCCAGACACTGAAAGAGGCTGTGCTGCTGGCTTTGAAGATGAAGTGTCAGGGGCCATGAACCAAGGAATGCAGGAGGCTTCCAAAAGGAACATAGCCTTGCCAGCACCTTGACTTCTGACCTCCAGAACTGTAGGATAATAAACTTGTGTTGTTTAAGCCACTAAGGTTGTGATCATTTGTGACAGCTGCAGTAGGAAACTACTACAGAGAGAGGGCTGAGAAAAAAATATTGGAGGTGAGAGAAACCAATTTGGAAGTTTTGCTGTATAAGTGAGCAAAAGAATGGCTGGGAACCAAAGGAGGCCTTGCGGGGCAAGGGTGGATATTTTTATTTTTATATTTTGAAATTAATAGACTTTCTTTTCTAAAGCAGGTTTAGGTTTACAGAAAAATTGAGTGAAAAGTATGGAGAGTTCCATACTCCCCACCCTGAGCCCATGCTGTCAGTTTTCCTATTATCAACATCTTGCATTTGTGCAGAATGTTTGCTATCATTGATGGACCCAACTGATTTAACACTTCCCCCCTTTTGGTCATTTTCTCAATTTTGAGAGATTGACCAAAACTGTAGTCATTGATGTCATTATTACCAAAGTAAGTTACTTATTTGGTCTTGAAACCCACTGGGAAAGTTAAATCAAGTTTAGCCTAAAGCTGGCTTCTTATATATTTAAGTTCGGCCTAAAGGTTTTTCTGTACATCGTGAACTATAACAAGTCGAGGTATAAACTGACTGTAGCCTACACTTGTGTCGATCACTGAATTTTGGCCAATGAGATGTAGCCAACTGTCAGAACCATGTTCAAATAAGGCAAACACTGAGCTGTAACCAATCTAGCTGTTTCTGTACCTCACTACCATTTTCTGTAGGTCACTTTTTTTTTTTTTTTTTTTTGCTGTCCATCAAACTTTTCCCACCATGTGGAGGGGCTGGAGTCTCTCTGAATCTGCTGTGATTCTGGGGGTTGCCCGATTTGCAGTGAATCATTCATTGCTCAATTAAACTCCTTTAAATTTAATTCAGCTAAAGTTTTTCTTTCAACAACCCCAAAATCACTAAGCCAAGGGAAAGTCAAGCTGGGAACTGTGTCAGGCAAACCTGCCTCCTATTTCATTCCTAAATAAGACAGCAACAATGATTTAAAAAAAAAAAAAAAAAAAGCTACATACTTCTCTCACACTTTGCCCACAAGGAAATTCCTTGTGTGGACAAAGGACAGAACTCAAAGTGCCCCTCTGCTCACGTGAGACAAATGAATATCTGATTGTTTCCTCTGCCCTATTGTTTTGCTAAGCCAGACTATTCTTCTACTCTCCACTCATGTGTAAATTGTGTATTCAGTGAAGGCTCATCAGAGACTCAGAATAATGCAACCGTTTGTTTCTTACCTACCTATGACCTGGAAGCCCCCTTCTCGCCTTGAGTTGTCCCGTCTTTCCGGACCAAACCAATGTACATCTTACACATATTGATTGATGTCTCATGTCTCCCTAAAATGTATAAATCCAAACTGTGCCCTGACCACCTTGGGCACATGTTGTCAGAACCTCCTGAGGCTGTGTCATGGATTTGTCATGGGTGTGTCCTTAACCTTGGCAAAATAAACTTTTGAAATTTACCGAGACCTGTCTCAGATATTTTGGGCTTACATGCTCTTAACAGGAAATATGTGGCAATATTATCTGCGGAGAGAGGATCACGAAGGAGGTTTGTGGAGAAAGAACATTTTAAACATGGAATACTCTTGTGTATCAAAGACTGCCTGATGGAAGGTGACTCAGTGAAAGCATTTCTCTGGGCTGGAGAGACTACTAATGTGGGTTTGATCCTTCTCTTCACAAAATCCATACCCCTACAACTTTCTAGTCTCCCAGGGGGTCAGGGGAAGGAGTGCCAAATTAGGGGAACCGAATCTAGCCCTGACTCTGGCATGAACATCTCATTGGTCACATTTGCTTGTGAGGCCAAATATTCAACTCTGGCTTCCTCTTGGGAGGCCCTGGCTGAGGTTCCAGATGGCATTGTTCATGAGAAGCTATGAGGTCAACTTCAAATTTGCACATATGAGGACAGTGGGGGCCGGTTCCCTCACTGAGTCTCTGACTGAGAAACTGCAGACTAAAGTTTGACCACATGTAGCCTCTGTCTTTCTCCAGCTGCCCTCCTTAGCCACCCCAGGCAGGTGGAAGGAAATGAGTGGGGAGGGACTGCTTCTTCCTGCTCAGCTGCTACATGTTGCTACAGGTTGAGCGACTCTAATGTAAACATCTCAAATCCAAAATGCTCCAGGAGTTCCACTGAGTGCTCAAAAAGTTTCAGATTATGGAGCATATTGGATTTGGGATTTGGATGCTCAACCTTTACTAATAGGGCATTGCAGCCTTGGCAAACTCCTGGCTTTGTAAGATTGAGAAAGACGCAACAGCTTCCAGCACACCCAACTTTGACCCAGTGACTTAACCACATGCACGTGACCTGGTTTCTCCACCTCTGATTCTCAGAATTGCTCATTGGCTTCCTCTTTCACTCTCTTTTTAAGCTAGGGTCACTAACTTGGGCTTGGTTCTGCCCACAGCCTCACCCCACCAGCCTTCTCACAGGGAAGGTGCCAGGGCTCTGTGGCTGCCACAGTCCTGTGGTGTCCAGACCATTTCTCAAGCTTGCTTTAGATTGTGGCAATGAGTTAATTTTGCATAGACATTATTGAATATCATTCAGTGAGTTACTACAGAAATGTAGATTCATAAAAAAACAACAACAACCCAAGTCTCATCAACTGTTTCTCAAGTTTCTTGGGTCTCCCAATGACCCATGGCCATCTGCTGGGAGATCTCTGTGCATGAGGACCTGATGGATTTGTAGGAGATCCTGCTCTTCTATGGGAGTAGCCCCAGTGGGCACGCTGCTCAAATGAGGCTGGTAAGGGCTAATGAAGGTGCCTAGACTCAATCTTAGGTTTTGGGTATAGGACCCTTCGATGGTCCCCAAACTCACCCCAGGGAGAATGCAATCAGTGTCCCCACAGGGAGAGCTGTAGGAAACTCACAGAAGAATGCTGTAGGGAATCCTGCCAAAAGTGCAATTCTGGAGAGCTCCAAACCACACTTTGGGGACTCGAATGATCTATGATGCTGGCAGGGAGCGAACTTGCACTTGAAATTTCAATAATTTCTCTGGGTGTGAGAGAAGAACCAAGTAATGTTTCCAGAATCATTTTGTTGCTGTTCAGACCTCTTCCTGTTCATCCCTCAGGCAGGTGTAGCCAGGAAAAGTGAGGATGACATTTGTTTGCAAACAATATTTACTGAACCCCTCGAGTTCAGAGCCCAAATTGGATTATTTTGTTTCTGATTAACTGATTGGGGAGTGATGAAGGAATTTCCACTGGCTCTGGAAATTGGGAAGGAAAAAAGGTGAGGATGATAAAGTCAGCAAAAGAATAAGCATTCAGGGTTGGGCATGGTGGCTCGCACCTGTAATCCCAACATTTTGGGAGGCTGAGGCAGGCGTATCACTTGAGGTCAGGAGTTTGAAACCAGCCTGGCCAACATGATGAAACCTTGTCTTTACTAAAAATACAAAAAATTAGCCCATGTGGTGGTGCATGCCTGTCCCAGCTACTCTGGAGGCTAAGGCAGGAGAATTGCTTGAACCCAGGAGGTGGAGGCTGCAGTGAGCTGAGATCATGCTACTGCACTCCAGCCTGGGCAACAGAGTAAGACTCCATCTCAAAAAAAAAAAAAAAAAAAGAAAGAAAGAAAAAGAAAAAAGAAAGAATAAGCGTTCAGCAAAAATCAGCATTCAGTAAGAATGCCAAAGCTTTAGGGGGAGGGTTCATGATGAATGACTCTGGAGTAGAGAGTGCCATGGTAGGAAAATGGGATTCCTGGCTAAAGGACTGAGATATGTGATTAGAAAGTTGGGCTTGAGCTACATGTGTGGGTTGGGGTTAGTGGTAGAAGTCCAGTGGTGGGGTATGTTCACCCCCCCGGGAGACATTGTGGAAAGTTGTGGGATCAGAATTGGTTATCATGATGATGGGCAGGTGCTACTGGCACTTGGTGGGTAGAGGCCAGAGATGCTAAATATTCTGTAATTTCAGGATGGTCTCCCATGTTGAAAGTAGTTCTGAGCTCTTCAAGACTCTTGAATCCATGGTTAGATCTTTTTGTAGGTAAAAAACAAAAACAAAAACAAAACATGTTTCTAATGAGTTGAGCTTAGAACCTAACTCTGTTTTACATTTTACCATACTTTCTGAATCGTGACCCCTCAAATTCATATGTTAAGGTCCTAGCACCTGATGTGATGGTATTTGAAGGTTGAACCTTTGGGAGGTGACTAAGTCATGATCATGAAGATGGAGCCCTCACAGTGAGATTAGTGCCCTTATAAGAAGGGACAGGAGAGAATTCTCACTGTCCCTACAAGTAAGGACACGGCAAGAAGACGGCCATCCACAAGCCAGGAAGAGAGCCCTCACCAATAACCAACTCTTGATCTTGCCCTCCAAGCCTCCAGAACTGTGAGAAAGAAATTTCTGCTGCTTAAGCCACCCATTTGATGGTATTTTATTATAGCAGCCATGCAGACTCAGATAGTAGGGTTTTAATATCACTGCATTTTCCAGAATTGTAACTGCTGTGTAAATTGAGAGAAGATTGTACTCTGTTTTGTTCAGAAATTTACCACGAGTTCTTCTCCATTTTGGAAAATCACATACCAATAACACTCATGATGTCTGAGTCAATGAGAGATCCCACCTGTACCAGACTGTGTGACAGCTGTGGCATTTGCGAGGAATCCAGATGATGTAGGAAATTCAACATGATCTGATTCACAAGTTAACAAGCTTTCTCTCTCTTTTGCTGTGTCTAGGAAAGATCTGGAGAAAGTAAGACTGGAAACTTGAGTGCAGCGAGGATACTCTTGTAGCAGTTCAGATGTAATAGAGCCCTGGACTAGGAGGCAGTGGGAGTGGATGAGAAATGTTGAGGAAGAGGAGTACATAAAATTTGGTGCTAGATTGGCTGTGTGAAGTTTGGGTCATATAAGGAACTGAGGCAAACTCCCAGGATCCTGGATTAAGGCATCTGTTAGACGGTGGAACCATTTTCTAAGATGGTATGTGTGATGGTTAATTTCATGTGTTAATTTTGCTGGGCCACAGTACCCAGTTGTTTGGTCAGGCACCAGCCTAGATGTTGCTGTGAAGGTATTTTAAAGATGTGAAAACACGTACCATGAATAAAGCAGATTATCCTCCATAATAGGGCCTGGCCTCATCAGATCAGCCTCAGGAGAAAAGACTGAAGTCCCTGAGCAAGAGGGAATTCTGTTTCTAGCTGCCTTCAGACTCAAGCTGCAACATCAACCTTCCCCTGGGTCTCCAGCCTGCTGGCCTGGCCTGCAAGTTTCAGACTTGCCAGCCCCCACAATCTTATGAGTCAACTCCTTAAAACCAATCAGTTTTCCTCTCCTTCTCCCTCTCTCCCCTTCTCTCTCCCTCTACACACATACCTCATTGGTTCTGTTTCTCTGGAGAACCCTAATATAGTATACAACAAGAAGCAGCATGCTGAGGGTGAAAGAAATGATTCATTCAACTGAAGGCACAGAGAGGTGGAATTGCTAAGGGCATTGCAGAGGTTTCCTGGAGGCGGCTGCTTCCATATGTCCAGAATGAAGACGATTTAGACTGCGAGAATGGATCTGGAGACCAGCAGTGTCTGGCAACAGTTGGTCCTGTGAGTGCAGATGAACTATTCCAGAGAGATTGGAGAAAGGAAACAGGATGTGAGGGCAGAGCTACAGGCAACAGCGAGCAGACGAGACAGAAAAGGAGCAGAGAGATTATAGAAAAGCCACCAGAGCGCCATCACAGCTGCGAAGACAAAGGGTTCTGGGAGGAAGTGGCTGACAGAGTCCAAGGTCACTGAGATATCAGGAGGGATTAAGTGCTGAACAAGTCACTGGTGACTTGGTTGAGTGCAGGTTTTGCACAATGGGGAGGAGACGAGACAAGAATGTAGAGGACTTGTTATTGACAAGTTTGCTAGGAAGGCAAGGAAGGGAGATATGTTGCAGCTGGAGGCAGATGTGGGGGAGGAGAGGGGTCCTGCTTCATTCTTTCTTTTTTTTTCTCCCCTAAATGGGAAAGTCTTGAGTGTGTTTATTTTTCTATTTTTATAATTAAAAGAATTTTTTTTTTGAATAGACACCGGGTCTCACTATGTTGCCCAGGCTGGATTCTAATTCCTGGGCTGAAGTGATCATCCTGCCTCCGCCTCCCACAGTGCGCCACTGAGTGTTTTTAAATGCTGCTGCAAAGGAACTAGTGGTGCCTGGGCGGGGGTGGAGGAAACAGGAGTAAGAGGCCGACTGAGGTCTCAGGGGTGACAGTGCCACCTGATTATCCTTAGTATTTTCTGACTAGGCTTCTCCAAGAACAAATAATAATTTCGATTTACATTTTGGAAGTTTTCCAGGGAGAGAGGTTTGACCTGAGGAGACAAATCCCTTGGCGCTTCTTTGGTGCTATCTGAAAACCAGGCTGCTTCGCCGGCCCTGGAGGGAACACATTTTGTAATTCCATAATATGTTCTTTCATTTCTCAAATCTTTTTAATCTTTTTTGTTTTCCTAATCTTTTTTTTTTTTTTTTTTTAGACAGAATCTTGCTCTGTTGCCCACGCTGGAGTGCAGTGGTGCAACCACAGGTCACTGCAGCCTCAAACTCTCAGGCTCAAGTGGTCCTCCCACTCAGCCTCCCCAGTAGCTGGGACTGCAGGTGCACCCCACCATGCCCAGCTAATTTTTCTGTATTTTTTGTAGAGACACGGTTTTGCCATGTTGCTCAGGCTGGTCTCAAACTCCTGGGCTCAAGTGATCCACCCCCGTTGGCCTCCCAGAGTGCTGGGATTACAGGTATGAGCCATCGAGGCCGAACTTCTTCATTGTTAGACATCAGGTGCACAGAATAGGAAAAATCATAAGCATTCATTCATGACATTCTCTTCTCATTGGTCCATATTTCTCCTGCTTTAATTTAGTTAGTTATTCATTAGTTATTTTAAATAGTATAATGGCATCTATGAACCCACAGACCCCTCCTCCTGCTTCCCCCAAATCTGGGCAATGAATTCAGAATCCAGTTCCTCTCCTTCCTTTCTTTTTTATATTGCTTTATATTTTCTATATGTGTTCCTTAAATGTACTTTTAAAATTTTAGTTGTTTTAAATTTACAGTCTTTTGGGTCTATATTTTCTATATATCAAATTGCCAAGCCTCATCCTTTTGTTGAAGGCAGCTATCATCCACTCTACCTGACTGCTGTGTAATATTTCACTGTGTGAATAGATCATTGTAGGACACAGAATTTGAAGATGGCTGCCAAGATTCTGGGCCCTGGGGAACATACAGTGTTCAAACTTGAATCTAGGTGCTACTGTGATGGGTTTTGCAGACATAATTAATGCCCTTCATAATTTGCAGACATAATTAATGCCCTTCCTTGATTAGATCAAGGAAGGGAGCTTGATCTAATCACATGAACACTTTAAACCTGGGTCTAGAGTCAGAGGCAGGCAAGTCAGACATCCAAAGTAGCAGTGAAAATCTCCTGCCAGCCTTGCAGAAGATAACTTTCATGTCGTGGAAAACACCATGGGGCCAGCAACCTCTAGAAGCTGAGAATGGCTCCAGCTGACAGCTAGCAAGATGGTGGAGACTCACTCCTTCACCCTCTAGGAACTCAATTCTGCCAACAACCAGTGAGCTGGGAAGAGGGCCCTCACCTTCAGATGAGATTGCAGCCCTGCCAACACCTTAATTTCAGCCTGGTGGGCCCCTGAGTAGAGAACCCAGCCATGACATGTCCAGACATCTGACCTATAGAACTGAGATAATAAATGGGTGCTGTTTCAAGCCGCTACGTTTGTCATTTGTTACGTAGCAATAGAAAATGAATACAACCATAGTTTATTCTTCTCCCTTTTCTTGATGAGCAGTTGAGTTGTTTCCAGTTTTTGGTTATTGAGAACTGTGGTGCTATGAACATTCTTGTATGTGTGCAAGCATTTTAGGTATAATTCTTAGAGTGAAATTGTTATATCATAAGATATGTGAATTTTTTTTCTTTTCCTTTTTTTTTTTTTTTTGAGACGGAGTCTCGCTCTGTCTCCCAGGCTGGAGCGCAGTGGCATGATCTCGGCTCACCGCAAGCTCCCCCTCCCAGGTTCATGCCATTCTCCTGCTTCAGCCTCCCGAGTAGCTGGGACTACAGGCACCCGCCACCTTGCCTGGCTAATTTTTTGTATTTTCAGTAGAGACGGGGTTTCACCGTGTTAGCCAGGATGGTCTCGATTTCCTGACCTCATGATTCCCCGCCTCGGCCTCTCAAAGTGCTGGGATTACAGGCGTGAGCCACCGCACCTGGCCTAAAAATGTATCATTTAAGTTTTCGAGGCATAACTTTCTGTATTCATTGGGTGAAGTTCAAATCTTTTACATTCCTGCTGAGTTTTTTTGTTTACTTGACCCATTATTTACAATGATATGCTAAAATCTCCCATTGTGAAGGTGGATTTATCAATTTATCTGTATATTTCTATCAATTTTTGCTTTATATATACTAGGGGAATTAAACTTTTTATCATTTTGGGGGCCCTCCTCATCCTTCATATTTTCTGATCTATTTTATATACTATGACTGACCATACGTCCTGATTTGCCTGAGACAGTCCTAGTTTACTCTGTCTTTTCCTGATATAATTCTTAAATAATACCTTTTACTCTCAAAGGTATTCTGATTTAGACAATTATATATAGTAAATCTAATTTTATATAATTTAACATTATGATACAAATATTCCTGATCTATACTTTTAAGTCCAGGCAAGTGTAAGTCTCTTTTTTCTTGTTCATTGGTCTTAGAATTTTTTTTTTTTTTTAAATCAGAGTCTCGCTCTGTCACACAGGTTGGAGTGGAGTGGCTTGATCTCGGCTCACTGCAACCTCCATCTCCTGGGTTTCAGTGATTCTCATGCCTCAGCCTCCTGAGTAGCTGGGACTACAGGTGCACACCACCACATCCAGCTAATTTTTGTATTTTTAGTAGAGATGAGGTTTTGCCATGTTGGCCAGGGTGGTCTCAAACTCCTGGCCTCAAGCGATTCTCCTGCCTTGGCCTCCATAAGTGCTGGGATTATAGGCATGAGCCACCACACCCAGCCTGGTCTTAGAATTTTAAAAATTTGTTGTTTACTACAACCAACTTTTGTAAGGTATTTGATTATTTTTATTTGTTTCTCCAGCAACTCTTTGATTTGTTTCTCTACTTATTCAAGTTTTGAGGTCTTATATGACTGAGAATATTTGTTTCATGCCCTGATACTTAATTAAAGGGCAGTTTGGCTGGATGTATATTTCTAGGTTCTAAGGTCATATCCTTCAGTACTTTGCTGATACTGCTCCATTGTTTTCCTGGATCCACTGATGCTGTGGGGAAATCTGGTGTCATTCTCGATGTTGGTCCTTTGTATGATTTACTCTGCAGAATTTTCTTTGTCTTTCATAGTCTCATATTTTACCATAGGGTGTGATATATTTTTCTCTTTCTTCTCTTTGTCATTCTGTAGGCCCTTTCATTCTGAGGTATTTCTTTTTTTCTTTTTGAATTCTAGGAAATCTAGCTTCATTATTCTTTCAAATACTTCCTTCTTTTCATTTTATTCCTCTGACTCTCTGAGCCTTATCATATGGATGTTAGCATTTGTATGTAAATACTCCATTTTTTTGGCTTTTCTCTAATATTTTCTATTTTTTGTCCCTCATTTGAAGAACTTCCTCAGTTTGAACTTCCAACTCACTAATTTGTCCTTGAGTTTTATTCATTCTACTGTTTAGTCACATTTGTGAGTTCTTTCCTTCAACTACTATATTTTTTATTTCTTATGCGTGGTTCCTTTTTAATGTTGTCTTAGTATTGTTTCATTTCTCTTTATTTCCTATTAAGCTTATTAGGCTAATTTTAACTTCTTGGACTTTTCCAACATTTCCTCTTCTGATGGAATCTATAATTCAATTTTTTTTAAATGGTTTACTTCTCAACTATCTTGCTATCTTGACCTCATTCTCCATGGCAGTGGCGAGGTCAGTTGGCTTCTCTGTTAGGCAATATCTATGGAGAGATGGGGTGGGGACAGATCAGTCCCAGACAACTGCGCCACCCTCAGTTACTCCACACCCAGCAAAACAATGTTTCAGGTCAGTGCTCCATCTTTGGTCCCCAGGGAGGAGTGGTTTAGAAAGGGGCACTTTTTGGTTCTCAGTTCCCCTGGCCTGAGGGTTTGGAAGGGGTGGTGTTAGAGAAGGAAGCAACTGCCTAGGGTTTTTCTTCCCACCTGTTTTTTCCAGCTCCTCACAGGCACAGGACTTGTGAGATGCCTGAATTTTACTCCTGGGACATCTGGACACAGGTCTAAGTCATCATCAGGGTAGGGGCAGGCACTGTTTGTCCCTAGCATTGGTGAGGGAAGGGGCAAGGGCAGACACCCATAGTTCCTTTTCTGTTTTACCCTTTCCACAGCCACCCACTGATCCTGCTCCTGGCCAAAGTCCCCTGGCCCTTTCCCAGCTGTTTCCCTCCTGACACATCCCATGGATTTTCTCAAAATTTTGTCAGTTCTCTCTTTATAGTTCCTCCAAGGTTTATCTTAGGGGAATTGGCACTAGATATTTACTGAATGTCCGTTTGCAAGACACTGTGCTGGGAGCCGCAGCACCCATAGTCAATGAGGCTGGCTCATTCCTTGTCCACAGGGCTGCTTACAGAGCAGTGAAGATGGACATTAAATACTTTTGCAACTAGGTAATTCATGACATTTGTGGTCAGTTCTAGAAAAGAGACAGTCTAAGCACTTTGAGAATGCACAGGGATTTATCCAGGGGCCTGGGGAGGCTTCCTGGAAGAAGCAGTGTTGAACCGATGGGGAAGAGTGTTGGAAGAGCGATGGAAGAGTGTTAGGCATCGGCCATGGGAGGGAAGGGCAGGTGGGGAGGAACCTCTCAGGCAGAGGGAAGGGCATTCATTAAGGTGGGGTGGTGGAAGGGGAACAGAGCCATTGAGGAACTGGCAGGAGGTCAACGTGGCCAAAGTAAGGGGAAGTGACGCTGGAAAGGAAGGCTCCGGGAGACGCTGCAGGGCTGTCCTCAGAGGCAGGGCTAAGGATTTGGGCTGTAGTCTGAGAGGAATGGGAAGCCACTGGGGAGTTTAAGCCAGAGTGATAGGATCAGAGCAGCTGTTTTGAAGATGACGTGTTGCAGTGAGGATGGGGGCTCTGAAACAGGCAGGAATGAAAGCAGGGAGACCCGGGAGGGGCTACTGCAGGAGTTCAGGTGGAGATGACAGTGGCCAAGATTAGCGTGCTGGCAGTGGAGGGGAAGAAAAGTGGATGGGTGTTGCAGAATTTAGGAGCTGGATTGGTAGGATTTGGTGATTAGGTTGGGTGTGGAGGGAGAGGCAAGTACAGTCTGCCCTCGATATCCGTTGGTTCCACATCTGAGGATCAACCAACTGCTGATCAAAAAAATTTGGAAAGAAAGCCCCGATAAAACAATACAAGAATAAAAATAATACAAATTAAAAATATAGCATAACAACTATTTACATAGTATCTACATTGTATTAGGTATTATAAGTAATCTAGGGCTGATTTAAAGTATACTAGGCTGGGCGCAGTGGCTCATGCCTGTAATTCCAGCACTTTGAGAGGCCGAGGCGGGCGGATCACGAGGTCAGGAGATTGAGACCATTCTGGCCAACATGGTGAAACCCTGTCTCTACTAAAAACACAAAAATTAGCTGGGTGTGGTGATGCACGCCTGTAATCCCAGCTACTTGGGAGGCTGAGACAGGAGAATCACTTGAACCCGGGAGGTGGAGACTGCAGTGAGCCGAGATTGTGCCACTGCACTCCAGCCTGGCAACAGAGCAAGACTCCATCTCAAAAAAAAAAAAAAAGTATACTGGAGGTGTGCATAAGTTATATGCAAATACTATGCCATTTTGTATTGGGTTGGTGCAAAAGTCATTGCGGTTTTTGCCATAAAGACGAAAAAGGCAAAAACTGCAATATTTTTGCACCAACCTAATACAAGGGGCTTGGGCATCTGTGGATTTTGGTATCCCTGGGGGCCTGGAAACAATCCCCCATGAATACGGAGGATTGGCTTTATATAGATGACTCCCTTTGCTTAAATACCTGGCTTCATGGTGATGGTGAGCATAGAGGAAGGACATCTTGGAGAAGAAGCAGATTTACAGAGAAGATGATGAGTTGGCTTTGGACACGTTGACTCTGATGTGCCTGTTAGATGTCTAAGGGGAATACCAGTGCTCAGACGAGAGGTCTGGCTGGGCAGGCCTTGGCTGGCAAATGGTAACCGAATCTGTGGGAGTGGATGCCATTGCAGTGTTTCTCTATGGAGTGTGGGTATTGGCATGCGAGGATGGACAGTTCTTTGGTGATACTGCCTTCTGTTTGGTCCCTCTGCCGCCATCCACTGAACACTAGTAACACAGCATCCACGCTGCTGTTGTGACAACCAAAGCCACCTTCACACATTTCCCAATGCCACTTCCCCTTAAGAACTTGTAGTCTAGAGAGAGAATCTAGAATGAAACATGAAAAAGGCCTATATTGAGATGTTGTAGAGCAGGGGTGTCCAATCTTTTGGCTTCCCTGGGCCACACTGGAAGAAGAAATGTCTTGGGCCACACATAAAATACACTAACAATAACGATAGCTGATGAGCTAAACACACACACACACACACACACACACACACACACACACACACACACACATCTCATAATGTTTTAAGAAAGCTTACGAATTTGTGTTAGGCTGCATTCAAAGCTGTCCTGGGCTGTGGGTTGGACAAGCTTGATGTAGAGGAAGAGGAAGTGGCAAAAAAAAAAAAAAAAAAAAGAAAGAAAGAAAAAGAAAAGCTGAGAAGTGGCCAGAGAGGGGAGAAAGACCAGGTGTTACACAAAGCCCAGAAAAGAGGGTGTTTCTAGAAGAGACGAGGAAGGCCAATTGTCTTGAACCTGTTGAGAAGTCAAGTGGGTACCTAGCAATGATGAGGTCAGTGGTGTGTGGGGAGGAGTGTGAGCTAGCGTGGGCTGGGGTGAGATATGAGTGGTGACCTGGCAGGGGTGGGTCTTTTGTTCACTCCTGTGTGTGCAGGTCCATGCATTCATACGTGATCACTGCACATCCTGGATTTTCTAGGACAGTACCATTTAAAAAAATGTAATTCTGGCTGGGTGCGCTGGCTCATGCCTGTAATCCCAGCACTCAGGGAGGCTGAGGTGGGTGGATCGCTTGAGCCAAGGAGTTCAAGATCAGCCTGGGCAACCTGGTGAGACCCTGTCTCTACAAAAAAATACAAAAATTAGCCAGGCGTTGTGGCACACAACTGTAGTCCCATCTATTTGGGAAGCTGAGGTGGGAGGATCACCTGAGCCCGGGAGGTCATGGCTGCAGTAAGCCATGATCACACCACTGTGCTCCAGCCTGGGTGACAGAGTGAGACAAAAACACTTAATTTTTTTTCTAACAAAGGCAATTCATTAAAAAGTCACTTAAATAGAATTAACTTTATTTTGTTGTAGTTTTCATAGAAATCATATAAAACAGAAAAAAATAATCAAATTAAGACCCCCTTGTCTTAAGTCTTAGTTGAGGAAAAAACCTTTTTTTTTTTTTTTTTTTTTTTTTTTTTTTTTTTAAAGAAACAAACCCAACTGAGGCCAAATATTCTAGTGATGCAGGCATTGCTCAGACGTGGTCTAAGAAGCGTGCAGCAGCTTCAAGGGGAATTCTGGAAGGGAATTCCCACATTTTGAGCAGTGGCCACATTCCTGGGATAGGCGTAGAAGAGGAAAGCAATCTTGGCCCAGGTGCTTCTGCAGTGCCTCTCAGGAGGTTGAATTATCCACTAAGGCTGAATAGGGGCCCTGGTCTTAGCGCCAGAAATGTGTCTGCCCGGAACAGGAGATATGATCATCTGGGTTGAAAATTAACTAGGGAAGGACATGGTCCAGATGATTAAATTCCTCAGCAACCACCGAGTCATCATCTAGCAGATTCAGTCATGGGCTGTGGACTTCAAGTGTGTATTTTTCAGCCTGTAATGTCTCAAGTTGCTCCACTCTGTACTTCTGTGTATGAATCACCAGATATGATGGATTTTGCCCTGTGTTTATAGCTTCACCTATTAATAGCAGGGTTGACAGTTGAAGAAAGTTGAAGCCCAACACACAGACACACACACACACACACACACACCCACACCCACATCAGCACTTATCCTTGTGCCACATGCTCTACTTTATCCTATCCTATCCTATCCCATGCCTTTCTTTTTCTTTTTTAAAAAATGTTGTCTGAGACTCACTAATTTGATGTGTCATGACTCAGCTGTACTTTGGAAAACATTGATTTTAGAAGGCGGCAAAAGAAACCTGCAGGCCATTGTGAAATGAAGGGGTGATTAGAAACAAAAACCAGTGAGGTTACTTCTTAGGTCAAACGGAGCTGTGCCGACACTGTGAAAGGGTCTCTCCTCGGGCTGCCCTTGTCCCAGCTGGTGACGAGGCTCTGCTTCTCCCATTCTTGGCCAGGGCAGCCCAATAGTAAGGTGGCCTACTGCTATGGCTATGTCTCAGGACAGGGCACCCCTAGTGTGAGGCTTACCCCACTTAGAGGTCAAGGGCAGACCACAGGTCAAAGCTCCATTTCACAGACGTTTAAGGGTTTCCTTTGCCTCCCTCCAAGTCAGTGTTTTCTGAACCCCTGCTCAGGCCTATTAGTGGGTCCTGAAATCAATTCAGTGAGTCCTACTAAGAAGAAATGGCATGAAATGGAACAGAATAGAAAATAGCAGGGCACATAGTACATAGGAGGGAAGTAGTGACCTGTTTTGTGTGTGTGTGTGTGTGTGTGTGTGTATGTGTGTGGTGTGCATATGGTGTTATTGTCGGGGGGCTGTGGGGTATGTGGTATGTGTGTGTGCTGTGTGGGTGGTGGATGTGGTATTTGTGTGTTATGTGTGTATGTGATGTTTGCATGGTGTGTATGTGTGTGTATGATGTGTGTGCCATGGTGTGTGTGATGTGGGTGAATTGGATTGTGATCAGAAGTGGCTTGACCCCGAGGCTAGAACTTCGGCACCCCCCACCCCAACACAGCCCCGAGTCTGTTGGGGTTGGTGATGCGATCTCACACCCCAGTGTGGGTTAGGTGACCCTCCAATAAAGCCCACAGTACCCTGCATTTCCACCATCGTGACATTGCGACCCGGTACTGCGGGTTTGCTTGTCCCTCTGTGTGTGTTTATTGGGTCCCTCTGGTGCCTCCACACGGTGGCATCTAACATTACTGAACTCGCTCCATGCTGGGCACCGCTGTTCGTGCCTTCCAGCCACGAATTCAGTGACTCATTCTCTCACACCAACCCTAAGAGTCAGCTACTATTATCACCTTCCCTATATTGTGGACAAGAAAATAGAGGCCCAGAGAGGTTAAATAACTTGCCCAAAGTCACACAGTAAGTGGCGAATCCAGGATTCTAACCCCAACGTCTGGTTCCAGAGCCCCTTTTGTGACCACAATGCAGAAGGCATTCAATGAGAATTGGTTAAGATTGTTAAGAGAATGGACATTTTGAAACTTAAAATTACAATTAAAATATGATTTTTAAAAAGGGTAGATCTTATTAAAGAGAGGGTTCAGGGGAGCTGCTAGAAAGGATTGGAAATGACAGGTGGCATAGGGGCTGGAGGGAGCTGGAGTTCCCTACAGATAGATGCCCACCATGGCACTGAGTGGGTTAGAGGCAGCGTGGGGTGTGGGATTGAGGGGTTAGGAGAGGGCTGCAGTGAGGGTGGGCACTGGGTGGCAAAGGAGAGAGGGAGAGAGACAGAGAGAGCACAAACTTCTGCCCCCTGAGGGAGGGCATCGGGAAAGGGGTGTGGGGAACAGAAATGCCAAAGCACTATTGTGAGGTCATTTGCTGTGGAGTATGTGCCGTAATTACTGAGCCACACCCCACCCTGCCTCTCTACCATACTTTCCAAGGAGCCCACAGTGCTTCTTTTGTGTGAGTGGATTCCTCTGGCAGACTTGAAGAAGTCCTGAGGTTACAATAGTGTAAATGGGGAGATCCAAAGACAGGATGCAGGGTCCATGAGTTGACATCTTGGGTCGTATATTAAAGGGGCTGAGCCAATGGCACTTCCATCTCCAAAGGGAAAGGCCCCTGCTGACTTCTGCAGTCTCGAATCAATGGCTGAGAGATTCAGTGTTAATTCAGAACTACCTGCTGTTTCATTAGACCTGCCCCTATCCCCCAACCCAGAGGGGTGTGGAAAGCTTTGCATTGGCCAGGAGTTGTGGCTCACGCCTGTAATCCCAGCACTTAGGGAGGCTGAGGCGGGAGGATGGCTTGAGCCCAAGAGTTTGAGGCCAGCCTGGGCAACATAGGGAGACCCCTGGGGGTCTCTACAAAAAAATTTAAAAATTAGCCTGGCATGGTGGTGTGCACCTGTAGTCCCAGCTACTCGGGAGGCTGAGGTGGAAGGATCATTTGAGCCCGGGAGGTTGAGGCTGCAGTGAGCCATGATCGTGCCACTATACTCCAGCCTGGGTGACAGAGCGAGACCCTATTCAAAAAAGAAAAGAAAATAATAAAAAAAAAAGGAAAAGAAAAGAAAGGAGCAAGCCTCCTCGCCTTTTGAACCCAGGCACTGGCTTTCAATCTCTTTGAGAAATTAAATTACACCTCTAACATCCTGGTACACTCAGCAAGTCACAGTAATCTTATGGTAAAGTGAGTGCACATAGAATCCTACTTTAAGCAAAGGGCTGTTCTTTCTGGGTCCCATCTACTATAATGGCAGTGGTCATGGTCTATTTTGCATGAAATCTCTTATACATGATTTTGTAAAGAAGGTTATAACAATATTTTTCTAATGATGTTTGTTTGCAATAAAGTGATTGTAGAGCAAGATAATCACTTTATTGCAAACAAGCATCATTGATAATTATTTAGATACATTCATGCATCCTTAAGACAACCCTTCAGATATGGGTAGATTACATTTTGAGACAGCAGGGTGAGGTCTGTAGTGGGTCTATAAGCCAGTTAGCATGATAAGGGTAACCGCCATCATCCCAGCTCCAAGGCTGTAAGTAAGGGATGTATGGGACAAGAATCTGTTTGCCTGGGGAGGCTGAGGATGCGCCACTGTAGTCAGAATGCTATTGTCTAACCGTGGGGTTGATGAAGCACATCTGGTCCAGTGAGTTGTTCTCTGTGCAAATCCAGGCTAGCCAATCAGCAGAACTGCCAGGCCTTGGGTGTGTAAAGTTGGGACAGGAGAGGGGGGAATCAGAGGGAGGAGAGTCTATAAGACTGGTTTCAAAGATGTCTGGAATGGCTCCACTATCTTGTCCTTAACATTTGCCATTCTCCATTTGGTGGCCTCTGCAGATGGCTGCCAGCCACCCTGCATGTGTCTATCTTCAAGACTTCCTTCTATATCTAGATATGTGAACTTGCAGGATCTGCTGAAGGCAGGGACTCAGGTCTGAATTTCTTCCCATCTGAGCACACCATGGATGTGTGCCAATGTGGTGGTAGGACAAAGACTTTAAACCATTGACTTATTATGGGAGTCAACACAATGGGCAATCTAACCTATAGAAAACAACAGAAAAACATTTTGAAATGTATACATGTTTGAAAGGCTACTATATATAGAAGTCTTATCCCTCAGTGCCTCTGGGGGATAGGATTCATATATATATATATATTGAAGCCCAAATATCTATATGTTGAAGTCCTATCCCCCAGTACCTCTCAGAATGTGGCTGCATTTGGAGAAAGGGCCTTTAGGAAGGTAATTAAGGTAAAACGAGGTCATGGGGAGAGGGGGCTTTAATCTGATATAACTGATGTCCTAATAGGAAGAGGAGATTAGGACACAGACACAGAGGGGTGACCATGTGAAGACTCAGAAATCCGCCATCTATGAGCCAAGAAGAGAGATCTCAGAAGGAACCAATTCTGCTGACACCTTGATTTCAGACTTCCAGTCTCCAGAACTGTGAGAAAATACATTTCTGTTGTTGACGTCACCCCTCTATGGCAGCTCTAGTGGAATAATACTAATAACAGTTGCTGTCTTAGCAGGGCCTATAGCTCCTTTCATGTTAGGAAACGGCTCCCTCTGCTGGGTCTTTGTGTTAAAAGCCAAATGATGCCCTGAAAACAATGACTCATGTTTGGACGGTGCAGAACAAAGTGCTTAGATTCTTCTTTTACAGAATCTATATAGAATAAAGAATGTAGAATCTTTGTAGAGTTCTTTGTAGAATCGATCGCCTGTAATCAGGGTTGATATTGACAATATTTAGCAACTGTTGCGGCTCTCTACTGTGTCTGCCATTAACCCTGTGGATGCTGGACTGTGAGGCTGGGCTGGGGATGGTCCTGGGGTGGGACTCAGTGGACAGGGTAGTGTGGGGAGGATTGAGATGGGGACATTCAGGGAAGTGACTGTGTACCAACCAGTGCAGAAGGATCAACCAGGCTGGAAGATACAGTCTCAAGGCTGAAGATCCGTGTGTCATCATAAAAAAATAGTTTCCTAATATCTGTTCTATAAAACTATCTTTTTATAAAACATCTTCAACTTAGTCTATTGCTCCTGGAAAGAGCCCACAAACAAATATGCTCTTATAAGCAAAAAATCTCTTCCTGGTATGGTTCACGGCTCTCCAAGACATATTCCTTGTCAGTCGGATTCATGCTATTATCCTCACTCTCCTCCTGGCAGTCAGGTTGTGTTGCTGAAACTATAAACACCGCAAGTCTGGAGATAAGATTTGGTGAATTGCAGTTAGAATGTTGAATTTTCTATCACTTTCCGCCTTGTGTTATTGCTACAAAACCAAACCTATCTATCACGCAGCAAGCGCTAACCACAGCAGCCTCTGTGTTTCTACCCTAGTTTTTGATTCTCTATTGTCCTAGTCTCTTGCAGACTAGAAATTGTAAGAGGAGGCATGGTTAATTGAGGGTGGGGTAGAAAGAAGGAAAAGAGGAGGCTAGCAGGGTAGAAACATAGATGATATTGACACATTGAGAAGAGATTGCTAATCTACCATCGTCATTGCTGGGACTCGAGAAGGGCCTTACTGGGATCCAGCCAGGATTAGCTCAGCCACTGCTGCTGTGGTTAGGGTTTGCTACACGATACTCTTTTGAACACATGCCATGGGGACAGTTCTGCACTTCTGCTCCCGTCTGTGGTGTGACAAGGCCGGCTCTGTTCCCTTTTTCCTTCTCAGTCTTAGCTTTTGAGACGCCATGAAACTGACAGTACTGGTTCTGATTATGTGCAAAAACTGGATTCCAACTGCCAAGCATTTCTTTCTCAACTTCTGATTAGCTGCAACTTAGTAGTCATTCAACCTTGAATAAAACAATTTCACCTGAATATAAAAACACGTTTAAAATTAAGAAATTGCTTGCTTACACAATATATTATTCTTTCTTTTTCTGGCATCTTCCTTGCGGTTTAGATGTCATATCGTAACTTCTCCTTCCCCAAAGGGTCAATCCAACTCTAGTGTCTTGTTCCATGTGGGTCTTTTGTTCCTTCCACCCATAATCTAAAGGTCCCAAGGCACTTCCCCTATCCTCCCTCAGCCAAGCTTCATCCTTGGGCTCTGCCCTAGAGTAACTCAGCTGACATCTTAAATATGTCTGATCATGCTAGTTTGTATAATTCCTGTTTTCTGCATGCAGACTATGTGTTTTTCCTAACACACCAGCAAATATTTAGTAACTTTAAATTTATGTGCCAGTATTTTGCAAAGTGCAGTGGGGGGGTACAAAGAATTGAAAACCTGATCTCATCAACTGGAGTTGACTACACATATGTAGGTACGGGAAAGAGTAAGATATAGAGGGTACCACCTGTAGCTGGAGTACCTCCAGCACCGGGCGATGCTTCCCACTTCTCTCCTCTGTAATGCACAGGAAACATTATATTTCCAAATATGATGCATTCCCATGGGTAGCAGTTGCTCTGCCTCTTTCCCAACCAAGAAAGCCTATGGAATTTAGGGATTGTTGGGATGTGATCAAAGGGACAACCTTAAATATCCACTGTTTCTAAGAAGGATCCTTGTTTAGACACTTAGGAACAAATTAACTTATCCCCCTTATCCTGCCCAGCATCCATCAGTGGGTTAGGGAGGTATGGCAGAGGATGGCTGGCAAAGATAGGGCCATTTTCTGCATACAGATCACACTGCAGAGAAATAAACTGAGTTCCCTAGCGGCCTTTGCCTCTGCACTGCTGATTGCAGTTGGTGCCACACTGTGCCAAGTGATAAGCTCTTGAAAAGGAGCAGTTGCGTCGTGTCCTCAGAGGAGGACTGTGTGGAATGTTTGTGTCTGCATATTCAAGCTTGTTGCCAGATCTGCTGTTTCTGGGCCTCTCTCATTCTCAACTTCCTTGTGTTGAAAAATGAAGATATGAATTCCTCTCTCACAAGGGCTGTTGTGGAAATTCAATAAAAGTAATTTTGTGAGAGCTTTTAGCACGGTGCTGGCATTCAAGTGGTTGGTTGCTCAATAAATATTTGCTGGGTGAAAAAAATCTGATATTTACTTCAGAGTTCACTATGTCATTTTTCTTAATGAAAGTATATCCAAGTAGATATCTTGCTAAAATAAGAACAGCTGGAAACTATCTTAAGTGGAATTGCCTGAAGAAGAGGTGTGTCCATTTTCATTGTTTTGTAGAGTTTAGTTCATCCAGCATATCCCTCGCTTCCTTTCCTTCTTTATAGGGTTCCACAAGGAGCTTTGCTGTGGGCGAACTGTTAGCTGGAGCTGTGATAATTAGGCCAAGGTCATGCATCTGTCCCTTGTGGGCCAGTTAGCTCAGCTTGGCTCCATGTCCATACGCATTGATCTTAACCCAGCGGCAGACTCACAAGTGTGTGACCGCATCCCAGAGGACTGCGGGGGAAGGGTTTCTGTGGATCAGGGCAAATCGCTCCTGCCGGAGAAGCACCTTCACGGTCAGCTCTCTTATGGTTATTATGACCTGAAGGTGGCGCTGTTTCTCAAGGAAAACTGGCGTAGGGTCGCCGACAGTCTATTTTAAAGTGAGTGTGAAATGATAGAATGTCAGAGTTGGAGAGAATCTGCGAGGTAATCTTTGGATCGATTTCCTCACTTTCCAGCCAAGGAAACAGATCCAGAGGGATAAAACTCTTGTCAGAAGTCACACCACAGATTCCTGACAGAGGCATGGCTAGACACGGGCCTCCCAGGTCATAAACTTTTACAATTTTCACTGCACTAAGGGTTTCCTGATCCTAAATGGTATCAAGCAATTAATAATGCTTAAAAGAAAACTGAATGAATCATTGATAACTAACCTGGTGATATTGTCAATGAATTAAGTTACTGAATTTCAAATGTCTGTTATTTCTAATCACAGGTCAGATTCAAGTTGTTTTGGCTTTTACTACAAAAAGCATCTTTACATATATCTGCAATTTAATGGATAATTTATTTTCCCTTTCCATACATCTGAAAGAAGAAACATAATTGGTATGAACAGCACTTAATTCCAGACTGACTTCTTTTGAACTGTAGGTAAGCATTATTTGTTTGAATGATTACAATTGAGACAAAATGTGGGTTTTTAACAGCTGCTCACAGATTGCAGGCTGATAATGACAGTAACTCTATGGCAGCTATTTGTAACCCCTACCCTAGTTCATAGAAAGAGAAGCATATTAGACAGTGGGCATGGCAAGTACCTCTCCGCAGGTGTGTACGGAATCAGAATTCAACTTTTAGAAGATTTCTGCTCTGAAAACAAATTATTTTTTAAAGTAAGCTTTTACTTATTTTGGGGGGTATGGTGAGTACTTGGGAACGTGAGAGAGTGTTTCCTACTTTTCTCATGGTGAGAGTTGACAAGATGTGAGGTTTGGAGCCTGTGTTGTAGAATTCAAGGTCATCAAAAAAGGCAGGTCTTGTGGCTCTGCTTGAGGCATGAGTTAAAACTTTTCTTATCATCCTGATCAAATACAGTTGTAGGAGTTGTCGCAGGGAGATTAGCACCCTTTCTCCAGTTCATCTTGGACAGGTGGTTTTTATTATTCTTGTATTTGGTTTTTATCCTCTTTCTTTCAGAGCTAAGGGAGACTCATCAGAATGGATGGTTTCTGAAATAGGAATCTATTCAAGATTTAGGAATATAGAATTTTTATTTTTTAAAACACATTACATTTCATTACACTGTCCAATGATATAACAGAACCACAGACTTTTCTGGTTGTGTCCTGCTCTTTATTTTTACCTGGATCCAAGCTTTCTTCAATGATTCTCTCTCTCTCTCTTTTTCTTTTTCTTTCTTTTTTTTTTTTTCTTTTTTGAGTTGGAGTCTTGCTCTGTCACCCAGGCTGGAGTACAGTGGTGTGATCTTGGCTCACTGCAACCTCCGCCTCCTGGGTTCAAGTGATTCTCGTGCCTCAGCCTCCTGAGTAGCTAGGATTACAGGTGTATGCTACAATGCCTGATAAACTTTTGTATTTTTTGGTAGAGACTGGATTTCACCATGTTGCCCAGGCTGGTCTCAAACTTCTGGCTTCAAACTATCTGCCTGCCTCAGCCTCCCAAAGTGCTGGGATTACAGGCGTGAGCACCGTGCCCTGCCTCTCTTCAAGGACTCTCTTTGCTACATCGGCATCACCTGGGAACGTGGTAGGGCTACAGAATCTTGGGCCCCACCTTGGACCTACCTAATCGTCATCTTATTCATTGGTGTTCCCTTCGCCAGGTGAGTTTTGCACTGACTAAAACACACAGATCTATCAGGTGAGTCGAAATGGCAATACTCATTTACCTTAGTTCTGCCTTTATTTTACTTTCAGTGTTTTATCCTTGTCCATGGAGTCACTCTCATTCATGCAGTTCCACAAATATTTTTTAAGGCCCACTCTGTGGCAGACATAATACAAAGGGCTGAGAATAAAGATGAAAAAAATCATTTACTCAAAGTATGTAGTATGTCATCCAATGATAAGTTATGGAGGAAAAGGCAGGCTAAGGGGGCCGGGAGTGTGGGAAAAGGGTGCAGTGGTATACAGAGTGATCAGCGAAGCCTTCTCCCAGGAAGGGGCCTCTGAGCAGAGAAGGGGAGGACAGAAGGAAAAGTCACGTGGAGGGCTCAGGGAACTACCTCCTCTGCCCTCCAAAGCCACTAGCGAATCGCTGTGTGCGAGGGTTGCCACATTTAGCAAAAATACAAGATACCTAGTTGCATTTGAATTTCAGATCAACCTTGAATATGTGTTGGGTATAACATACTAACTTTTTTTCTTTTTCTTTTTCCTTTTTTTTTTTGTTTTGAGACAGAATCTCACTCTGTTGCCCAGGCTGGAGTGCCGTGGTGCGATCTCGGCTCACTGCATCCTCCGCCTCCCTGGTTCAAGAGATTCTCTTGCCTCAGCCTCCTGAGTAGCTGGGATTACAGGCACCTGCCACCATACCCAGCTAATTTTTGTATTTTTAGTAGAGACAGGGTTTCGCCATGTTGGCCAGGCTGGTCTTGAACTCCTGACCTCAGGTGATCCGGCCGCCTCGGCCTCCCAAAATGCTGGGATTACAGGCGTGAGCACCGTGCCTGGCCTAACTTTTAATATTAAAATACACATATATAAAATTTAGTACATATACTAGTACATAGTACATGTACTAAATTATATTGTAATGTTTTTAGTATGTCCCATACAATATTTACGACATATTTATTTATACTAAACAAATTCATTGTTTATCAGAAATTAAAATTTAACTGGGCATCCCATATCTGTGTGACCCTCTGTGTGACCGATGGCTTGTGGACCAGACCATGAGCTTGGGGAATGTCCTTCTCAGCAGGACCACCATTTCCCTTCTCAGTCAACCCTCACCTTGTTCCCTAGGCTCTGGGCAGGGTCACCTTGAAGGCGGCCATCTGTGGCCTTGTGTTAACTCCACAGGTGACACCTGGATTCTGTAGTCAGATAAGAATGTGCGCCTGTCTTCTATAGCCAGCTAAGCATTTCCTAAACTAAACACTCCTAAAAAGTCTTCTCTAGTGAACAAAACACATCTTAGAATCCTCCAGGAATATACTCCATTGTGAATGGATCACAGTGGGGAAAAAAAGTGAATTGTTCCTTTGTCCATCTAATGTTTGGGAGAAACTCATGATTTATTTTGCAGCCAAACGCACACGCAATCCAGTTTGCAGTTTTCCAAAGGCTATTTCTGATGTGGGATGTGTGGCTCCTCCCACCTCTTCCTGGTATAATCTATAGCGTAACATCTGTGTGTCTATGCTAAGAGTCAAGCCATTAACCTCTGAATTTATTTATTTATTCGAGATGGAGTTTTGCTCTAGTCGCCCAGGCTAGAGTGGAATGGTGCCATTTCTGGTCACTGCAACCTCCGCCTCCCGGGTTCAAATGATTTTCCTGCCTCAGCTTCCCAAGTAGCTGGGATTACAGGCATGCACCACCATGCCTGGCTAATTTTGTGTTTTTAGCAGAGATGGGGTTTCACCTTGTTGGCCAGGCTGGTCTTGAACTCCTGACCTCAAGTGATTCACCTGCCTTGGCCTCCCGAAGTGCTGGCATTACGGGTGTGAGCCACCACACCTGGCCTAACCTCCGAAATTTAAACAAGGGGAGAGTCTCCTCTCCATTTATTATTTTCGTAAACCATAACTACTTGCAGGTTTGTACCTACTGTAATAACAACAAAGCTATGTCAACTTTTAGTAATTGGCCTCTTGTAATGCCCAAGCTTGAAGGGAAGGTCCTGGAACTCAAAGCTTTTGTGTTTTCCAATCAGGGAAATGATGACTGTAAACAAACTACCAGACTTAGCCAAGGTAGCCCAATGGGCTGATTCGCCACCTGCTCTTATAATTCCAAACATCTTCCATCACAAGTTAAAAATTAGTGACGCCCAACACAGCAAACTTTAGTTATGTCTTCTTCTTCTTCTTCTTCCTCTTCCTCCTCTTCCTCTTCCTCTTCCTCTTCTCCTTCTCCTTCTCCTTCTTCTTCTTTTTGAGACAGAGTCTGGCTCTGTCACCCAGGCTGGAGTGCAATGGCATGATCTTGGCTCACTTCAATCTCAGCCTCCTGGGTTCATGCAATTCTTGTGCCTCAGCCTCCCGAGTAGCTGAGATTACAGGCACCTGCCACCACGCCCAGCTAATTTTTGTAATTTTAGTAGAGACGGAGTTTCAACATGTTGGTCAGGCTGGTCTTGAACTCCTGGCCTCAGGTGATCCACTCGCATTGGCCTCCTAAAGTGCTGGAATTACAGGCGTTGAGCCACCATGCCAGGCCTTAGTTATGTTTCATAATAACAAGAAGACAGTCTTATGGAAGGTTACAGCTGACCTTAGGGATAGAGTGTCCCCTTTGATGACTTGGGACCTCCCCTCATGGCAGCAGAGACAACCGGCTGGTTGCAATGAGTCTGTAGGTCCTGAACTGAAAGTGTGACAGGTTTCTAGGGCAGGCCTGGAGTGAACCAAATGATAGGATAAATATTGCAGAAATATTTTGTGCAAGTAAAATCAACACTGTGGACTCAGCTTTGAAACTGTTTAAAAATATTTTTGCACGCTAAATTTAAAAAATTTATTTGTGTTGCCCCCTGCTTTATTGAGGTATAATTGACAAGTAAAATTGAATATATTTAAGGTGTAGAATGTAATGACTTGAAATACCTAAACATTGTAAGATGCTTACCACAATCAAATTAATGAATGTATTTATAATTACCTTTTTGTGTATGTGTGTGTATGGTGAGAATAATTACGATCTACTCTTTTGGCAAATTTCAAGTGTACTATACATTGTAATTAACTATAGTCACCATGCTATACATTAAGTCTCCAGACAAAACAGTTTTAAACACATTATTCTAAAGTATCCCTGGAGCTAATAATTTTTCCTAAGTAATTGGAATACACTTTGTCTTTGTTTCTTATGCTCTATTTTCAGTAAGAAAGTGTGAAGGCCTATTTGAAAATACATTAAGTTGCTGTTTAAATTAATTTGCGGCTCTATTAGAGGTATAAAAGAAGATTTTCAACTTGTTTTCTGCTGTTCTCTAAGCTAGTGGAAGCATATTTGTTGAAGTAGCTGGAATTCAATTTTTAAAACTATTTTTGAAATTTGGAATAATAAAATAAATTGTAGTGTGCGTGTGTGTTACATTTGTATTTTTCACATTTTATAGACTTTTCTACCTATTAGTTATGATTTGGATTTGTAAAACTTGTGCCCTGTGTTAGAAACCTCAGATGATAATAATAAAGTAAAATGCTCATAAAAGTGAAGAATAAGAAAACTTACTGTTAAAATGTGAAGAAAACCAACCAACCAAACAACCAAGCAACCAACCAACCAATGAACCAGCCAACCAACCAAGCAACCAACCAACCAAGCAATCAACGAACCAACCAACCAACCAACCAACCAACCAACCAACCAACCAACGAACCAACGAACCAAGCAAGCAACAAAGCAAGCAAGCAACCAACCAACCAACCAAGCAACCAACCAACCAACCAACCAAGCAACCAAACAACCAACCAACCAACCAACCAAGCAACCAAGCAACCAATCAAGCAACCAACCAACCAACCAACCAAGCAACCAACCAAGCAACCAACCAAGCAAGCAACGAAGCAAGCAACCAAGCAACCAATGAAGCAAGCAACCAAGCAACCAATGAAGCAAGCAACCAAGCAAGCAAGCAACCAACCAACCAAGCAACCAACCAACCAACCAGCCAAGCAAGCAAGCAAGCAAGCAAGCAAGCAAGCAAGCAAGCAACCAACCAACCAACCAAGCAACCAAGCAAACAACCAAGCAACCAGCCAACCAAGCAACCAAGCAACCAACCAAGCAACCAACGAACCAACCAACCAAGCAACCAGTCAACCAATAAGTAAATTAAAAAAAAAAACAGTTGCATTTTGACTACTCACTGAGATTTATCAGAATGAACTTGAAATAATGTAACATAAAAGTAAATTCTTTAAACATAAAATTTAAGTATTAATATTGATAGTGATATTAATTTTTTGTTTATATAATTTTCACATTAAAAGAACTTGGAAGTGAAATTATATATAATTCCACATGAAGTATAGAAGTTGTGTTACATATTTATAGCAGTTTTTTTAAAAAATATAATTGTTTTCCTGTTACCAAGGTCATCCCTACACATTGTAGGAAATTTAGGACATAGAGATTAGTGAAAAGAAGAAAATACAAATCACAGGTAACCAGAAAGGCAGAGAGAATCTCTGTGAATTTTTGTGTACACCTTTCCAGTCCTTTTATCTGTGTATATATATTTTTTAAAAATGGTATTGCCCTGATTCTTTCAAAACTGACATTTAATTTGTGTGTAATATGAGGAAGGGATGAAACTGGAATGGAGAGGAAGATGAGATTCTGCAATGACTCTGATAATAACAGACGAAACAAAGAACTTCTAGTCTCATGGAAAGCAAGTGACATTGTTCTCTGCTGCTTTTATGTGTGCCAGACCAATAGCCCATGACTCCCTGAAATTTTCAGCGTCAGAGTCATATATGTTTGTGTGACTTAAAGGCACATTTCCACATGATCAGCTTTTGTTTTTTAGCTGTGATTAGTTTCAGAAACAGCTGAATTTCCATATTTGACATATTTGAACTTTATAAGTTAATCACGTGGATTTAGTAGTTAAGACTCTAGCACATTTTCCTCTCTGATTTTAGCAGACGAAAGCACTTGTCAGGAAACGTCTAGCTTCAAATCTTCTGTGTCGGAGGTGTGTACGATGAAGCAGAAACAGAAGTCAACTGCAGTAATTTTACTCCCAAGCCGGAGGCCAGCGTGAGAACCAACTAGGTTAAAATCCAGATAAAACTAATTGTGCAGCAAAAAAAAAACTTAAAAAGAAACAAACCTCATTTGTGCAATCCCTGAAAATAAACAGTTAGAAAACAGTGAGAACATGAGACTCCAGATAACAAATGTACTTATGCTTCATTATCAGAAAGATTCACAGTGGGGCACAGGCAGGAGCCAGCATTAAAATAATAAGAACAAAAATAGCTGTGCGTCTCAGCAGGTTGTGTTACCATATTGTACTCAACATGAAGATATTAATTTCACAGTTTTCATAGATAAGTTTAAACACAGGAACCTGTCACAAATAAGCAGTAATCTCAGTGAGGATACATCAGCTGGGATTTCACAGTCTGCAATTTTTAAATTCAGCTGGATCCCAAAAGGCCAATCAATATTGGTGGCAATTATTCTTAGTATACAGTCTAAATGAAATGGGTGTGTTTTTTTCTTTTTTATCAAGGTGGGAGATTGTGATATAGAAGTAAGCAAATTCCCTTGTGGTTGGCAATTGGGCTGCCTAACAGCTGCAGCAAGTCTGCTGTAGATCTCTTTTTCCCGTTTCTCGGGAATAGTACAATAATGACCACATTATTTTAACCCTTAAACGTGAGCAATGTTTGATAGCTAGCTGGGAAAAACCTAGCATGTGTTAAACAAAGCGGGTATGAAAAAAAAAATAAACAAACCAGGAGAGGCTCCCAAAGCAGCTGCCTGGGAACATCACTTTCTACACAGGTTTTATTTACATTCTTTGGTTTCTAAGCCACAACCTCTTGAGGGCCAATGCTTGGGACACAGGTATGTTCTCATGAGGCAGAGTCAGTTTATATTCCAGAGGGAGAGGCAATGAAAACCTTTTTTTCTGTTGTTAAAAAAAATTTCTGAAAGCCAGATACTAAATTATGCAAATCCCTCAATTTTATTCTTTGAAAAGCCTGGTTTTCTTTTTCTAAATTTTTGTCTGTTTGCGGGGTGGTTGGGGATTGGGAGGTATATTGAAGGTTGACAATGAGGAATAGAAAATCAGAGGAGAATCGAAACTCAAAATGATAGTTCAAGTTCCTTTTCCTGGTGGGGCTCAAGTTTAAGTTAGATTGAGCTAACCTTGGGGGATTTGGCTAGTAACACTAGCAAACCCAAGTCATCCATGGAGAGAAGGGACTGAAAAATGCACTGATACAACAAATTAGGATTGATGTGTGTTCCAGTTTCTTAATCTTTGATGTGGGGCTTCTTTTGTCTTCAGCCTGATGCTAAATTGGGCTTTTCATCCAATTTTACTTTTACCTAATTAATTATTTAAAATGCCAGTGTGCCCGAAATATAAAATTTCCATGTCATTTTATGTTCACTAATAACAAAACAAATCAAAACTATGTGCTCTGTGTCTACTAGTGTTTTCAAACCACCAGTTCTCCTAAGTAAATGCTACAAGAAATGAAAAAATTCTGGAAAAGAGCCAAAGATGTGAGCAGAAAAGCCCCATTATAAAAATAGCCTATTGGCCAGGTGTGGTGGTGGCTCACGCCTGTAATCCCAGCACTTTGGAAGGCTGAGGTGAACGGATTGCTTGAGCCTAGGAGTTTGAAACCAGCCTGGGCAACATGGTGAGACCCTATCTCTAGAAAAAAATACAAAATTTAGCCGGGTGTGGTGGCACAAGCCTGCAGTCCCAGCTACTTGGGGGGCTGAGGTGGGAGGATCATCTGAGCCTGGGGAGGTGGAGGCTGCAGTGAGCCGAGATCACGCCACTTCACTCCAGCCTGGGTGACAGAGCGAGACCCTGTCTCAAAAAAAAAAAAAAGCCTATAGTTTTACACATACAGCAGCCCATTGGCTACCTTGGAAATATGGACTTTTCCTCATGGAATTTGGTTATTTTTCTCTTATTTTGATGAAAACTAGAATGAATCAAACGGTAATTTTAGGAGAGTTTTGAGGTCATAAAAATCTATTTGCACTTTGAAAGTTCCAGGTACATGTAGATCATTACCTATAAATTGCAGGGAGCTCCAGGAGACAGGTGGGGAAGAATGTATGAACAGAACTGACTGCTTTGAATTTAAGATGGTATTATGTTGGTGCAAAAGTAACTGTAGTTTTTGCCATTACATTAAAAAAAAAAAAGACAAAAACTGCAATTAGTTTTGCACCAACCTAATATTTAATCATTTCCTGCCTAAAAATGGGGACATAAATGAAATATTCATTGACTTTTAATTCTGTACTGCCTTTTTGTTAATCACAGTTCTTTCTATTGCTTTGAGAGAGTGGATCAAAGTTGACTGGAATTAGTGTTTGGAAGTCAATATTCTAAAGCTGAAAAATACCTTGTCTTCTTCCCCTCCTCCCTCACTTTAAAAATGGTTTAGAATAAAGGCTCCTGATTGCAATAGCGATTTGTGGTTAATATCATTAGACTTCTGGTTTGGAATAATGCTGCTAATTAGTTTCTGTCCTAGACTTTTTCTAATTAAAGCCTAGAGAGGCCTTGGTCCTAAACACCTGGGCAGATTACCTAATTAGATGAAAGAAACATACATAGTCGTTCACAGGTAATTATTCTAACTTTCACTGCTTGTGGAATACTAAACATGTGACAAAAATGGTGTTCTTTCTACCCTGTGAACTGCAAAATATCATCTCCCTGGCACAGAAATTGGTACTGGCACTGTCTTCTAAATAGACAGCTTTGAATCCTTTTTTAATGTGAATACATGCAGAAAGTGACAGATTTAGTTTTTTCCTCCTAGACGTAGGAGAAAACACACACACTAGTTGCTCCTCTGCCGTCTCCCACATGTTCTTTTGAGGAGGATGTTCCCTTTGATAAGCCAAGCAGAACTTGGACTCTCTTTGGTGCGCCATGCTCTTGGGCATTCATTTATATACTCATATATACATTTATATATATTCACATATATATAAATATATACATTTATATATATTCACATATATATAAATATATACATTTATATATATTCACATATATATAAATATATACATTTATATATATTCACATATATATAATATATATTCACATATATATAATATATATAAATATATATATTTATATAACATGAATATATTCAGTCAATGAATATTTCATTTATGTCCCCATTTTTAGGCAGGAAATAATTAAATATTAGGTTGGTGCAAAACTAATTGCAGTTTTTGTCATTTAAAAAAAATGTAATGGCAAAAACTACAGTTACTTTTGCACCAACATAATACCATCTTAAATTCAATAGCAGTCAGTTCTGTTCACACATTCTTCCCCACCTGTCTCCTGGAGCTCCCTGCAATTGTTTGTCCCAGTGCTAGACGTTGTCAGGGTGGCCTCCTGAAGATGGGGCATCTTCTCTTCTTTAGAATTTAGAATTGAAAGCCCAACCTCTGTGTCTGTGTTCTTACAAAAGGAAAAGGATGAAAATCTCTGGGATCCTTTCAGCCATAAGCCTGGCTGCATGGATCATTCTCAGCTCACCCAGCACGGGAAGAGTCAGGCCCAGGTGGAGCTGAACAGGAGGTGCTTGCACTGAATCCACCTGGGACCTGGAGAATATTTTACCCTTTGGGGGACACACTGGAAGGTTGTGACAATGGTCTTAGCCAGTCTGTGTAACCTCAATTGCTGTAGACCAGCCCAAGGGCACCACTGGCCCTTCCCTAAGCATGTCCTGTCCTTCCCTACTTTGGTCTTGGCTCTTACTAATTCTCTCTCAGTCCCATCTTCTGTTACATCTTCATCTCTTGAAGTCCTGTCTCTCCTTTGAGGCCCAACCCCTGTGGCATCCCTTCTCCAAAGCCTTTTCTAGAATTCCCCATTGGTTTCATTTCTTTCCCTTTCCTTGAAGCCTGTTAGCTTTGTGCACCTCTCTCACAAGCCTTATGGTGTCTATTTTGTATTAGCGTTATTTGAGGTCCTATCTTAGCTCTCTGGTGATATTATCAGCCACTTCATTCATTTGCTCAGCAAACATTCACTGAGCGTGTGATATGTGCTTGACACATCTAGCCTGATATATCAGCGCCTACTCTTCTAGGTGCTGAAGATTCAGTGACAGGAAAACATACTTCCTTCCTGCATCGAGCTTACAACCCAACAGGAAGGAGAGCAGACCAAAAACAAGAGAGCACATCAATACATGCGATAAGGTCATGTAGTGATAACAGCTGCTAGAAGGAAATCACGTACTAGATAGGAAGTGATGGGGGGCCCGAGGTAGAGAATAATGCATACTCATTAGCCCAGCACTGTTCTCATCATCTGTATCTATTAATTTGTCTAATTCTCACAACCACTCCATGCATATGGTACCCCTACTGATCCCACTTCAGAAAGAAGTAGTTGAGTCCCAGAGTGGTTAGGACACTTGCCCAAGCTCACACAGCTGGTCAATAGCAGAGCTGTGCCCTCCTCTGAGCCCCTGCTTGCAGCCAGCACACGCACTCTGAGATTGCCTGGTCACCCTTTGTTCTTCTCATCATGGCCACAACAGTGGCAACACAGCAGAAGTTCTAGCACTGACTGTGGGGTCTGGCAACCATGGGATGAACTGTAAGGGCCTCAGAGCAACCCTGGGTCCCTGGCTGCAGAGCTCCTGTGGCACAATTTAGGTGGTGCTCGTGGCTGCAGAGTTGCTGTTCTGGTTATCTATTACCATGTAAGCAATCACCCCAAAACTTAGGAGCTCAAACCAGGATCAACATTCGTTTTGCTTTTGAAAGTATAATTTGTGCAGGGTTTGGCAGGGACAATCATTTCTGCTCCACTCACCATTGGTTGAGTGGCTTGAAGGCTGGGGGCTAGGATCATCTGAGGCCTGCTTGCTCATGTGGCTGGTGGTTGATGCTGGCTCTTGGCTGTGACCTTAGCTGGGGCCATGGCCAGACACCTCGATGTGGTTTTCCCATGGGGCTGCCTGGCTTCCTCACAACATGGAGGCGAGGTCCCAAGGGAGAACATTGAGAGAGGGAAGGAAGGAAAGAGAGAGAGAGAGACAGAGAGACAGAGAAGAGAGAGACAGAGAGACACATGCAGAGAGAGGGAGACAGAGAGACAGAGAGATATACAGACACAGAGAGAAGGAGAGAGAAAAAGAGAGAAAGAGAGAGTCAGGCAGAAGTTGTATCACCTGGAAATGATAGAGCATCTCTACCGCCATGTGCTATTCATTAAGAGAGAGTCACTAAGGCTAGCCCATATTCAAGGAGGGGTGGCGATTAGACTCCTCCTTCCATGAGGGGACTGTCTAAGAAGTTTTGCTTATGTTTTAGAACCAGTACAGTGGCACACTCAGTTCCTCACCTTTCCCAGAGCTTCTATGAGCTGACTAATACTTAAAAAAAATAAATTCCTCTTAGGTTTCAGATATCTGGAGTCTGAAGTGGTTTCTATTACCTTTTTTTTTTGAGACTAGTCTCACTCTGTCACCCAGGCTGGAGTGCAGTGGCATGATCTTGGCTCACTGCAACCTCCGCCTCTTGGGTTCAAGTGATTCTCATGCCTCAGCCACCCGAATAGCTGAGACTACAAGTGTGCACTACATGCCTGGCTAATTTATTTTTATTTTTATTTTTAGTAGAGATGGGGTTTCGCCATGTTGGCCAAGCTGGTCTCGATCTCCGGGCCTCAAGAGATCCACCCACCTTGGCCTTCCAAAGTGCTGGGATTACTCTGTTGTCTTACATGAAGAAGTAAGGGTGGGGTCAGGCTGCCCACTCACGTCCGTCTGATTCCAAAATCTGTTCTCCAAATCCTACCTTACTCATCTCCTGGAGGGCACAAGAATAGAGCTCTCATGGCTGATGCATTCATTCATGCAACCAACAAAAACTCAAATGTGTAGCGAGCATTTCCCATTTGTTGGGGCCTGAGGATGCAACAGCAGACACACTTCTCTGCGTGACTTTTACAGCCTGGTGAGAGGTACCACAGGCAGCAAGGCCGTTACCATGCAGGGTGATGAGAACTGAAATAAGGACATGTCGGGAGCACGGGAAGTGCACGTAACCCACGGGAGTCAGGAGATTGGGAAGGTGTCCCAGGGAAGTGACATCAACTCTGGGGCTTGAAGAGTGGGTTTGAATGAATTAGGCCAGTGGTGGTGGTGGAAGAATGTTCCAGCCGAGAGAGCAGGATGTGCAAAGGCCCTGAGCCTGCTCCATTACAGGAGTGAGTGAGTTGTGTCTGGCTGGGACACTGTGGGTGGAGCAAGAGGGAGACAGAGACACGAGGCTGAAGAGGTGCGTTAGGGGCAGGTCGCGTAGGGCCTTTGGTAGCCTTGTCACCTAATTAAGGACAACCACAATATTGGACATTAGACCTACTTGAGGGTAGAGGTGGAATAATTTGGTAAAGGCAGGGACTCACATTTAAACTCTGAGCATCCAAATAATTACATCAGAATATCATTCAGAAACTGCCTTTGCTGATACCCATTTGTTCATTTCACAAGTATTTATCGAGTGCCAACTGCATGCCAGGCAAATCCTAGCAGAATCTGATGAAAAGGACAGATAGCATGGTAGTATTTATTTTTCTGTGACCTGTAAGGAGAATGTTGCTGGCTTCACAGTCATGCTGTGGTCAGGAGAAGATGCCAAATTAATGCCAGCAGTGCAGTGAAAAGTGCTAGCTGACCTGAGACACAGACGTGGTGCCCTCCAGCTAGTCAGGGAACTTAACCTTGGTTATGAATGGGCAAAACCAACTGGCTGCCTTCCTGTCATGGAAGCACAAAAGCAACAGGCATTTCTTTTTACCAGAGGGGAGCAACAAACAAGTGTCCCATTAGCTTTTTGGATTGATAGTCTGGCAGAAGCAGACGGAGATGAAATCTCTGCTTGATTGAAGCCATGTGAGAAATGGAGAGGGGCTAACGATGCATGTGGACCTGTAGCCAGACCACCTCTGATGGTGGTTTCCAGACTCCATCCATTCAGTGTTAGGGACGTCTATAAGTTACCGCACGCAGGGAGCTGTAGGGGAGAACTGGGCCACTCAACCCTGGTTTGCACAGTTGTGTGCATTGATTCTGCATCAACAATTTCAGAAATAAGTTAAAATTTAAAACTCATGCTCTAAAGTTTCATTGATCTAGATCAACATGGCAAGTGACTCTGTTCCAATGCTTGAGGACAAGGCAAGTGGGTGGGAGAGTGAGAGGCTGAGAAACTTGGGCATCTCCACCACACAGGAGATGATGTCCTTGTGTCTCAACTTGTGGCCCACCTGAGACTCCACTGTGATCACCTCCAGTGAATACAAAGTAGATCATTAACCTGTGACCCGAATGACACAGTGTAAAGACGTCATCAAAATAGACAATGGATGTGAAATAAGATTGATGGCCTACATAAAGGTCAGTGCTGTTATGATCTCTTTTCATATTTGGCCAATCATCAGAGGATTTGAAGGGATAAGGTGGAATGCAGGAGTACATAGATTCGCTTTACTGGTTTCAAGAGACTGGATATATTTCATGATTAAGACTTATGATCTTTGGTGAAGAAGGTTTGACTTCAGAGATTGTAAATGAGATAGCCAAGAAGCAAACTGACATTTAAAGATTACAAGATTTTGGTTGGGTGCAGTGGCTCATGCCTATAATCCCATCACTTTGGGAGGCCGAGATGGAAGGATTGCTTGAGCCCAGGAGTTCAAGACCAGCCTGGGCAACATAGGGAGACCTCATCTCTACAAAAAAAAAAAAAAAAAAAAAAAAAAAAATTAACCAGGTCTGGTGGTGTGCACCTGTGATCCTAGCTACTTGGGAGGCTGAGGTGGGAGGATTGCTTAAGCTGGGGAGGTCGTGGCTGCAGTGAGCTGTGATGGTGCCACTGCACTTAAGCCTGGATGACAGAGCAAGACCCTATCTCAAAACAAAACAAAACAAAACAAAACAAGATTTCACATACAGTTAGAGATTTGTAACTTCTTTTGAAAGATTGCAAGATCTAGCTCAGTTACAGCATGGGACAACAGCTAGAGCAGCAGCCACCCACTCCTGGTAAGCCTCAGCCCCACCTGCCTTGGATGGGGCTCCCTGAGAAGTTGGCTGTGAGATGGGATTTACAGTCAGGAGTTTCTTGGGGACTGGTCTCAGGATCAACACAGGTAATGTGAATGAAGAAAGAAGGATTGGATGGAGAAGCTGAACTGCAGTGCAGTGGATCTGTCACAACCAAGGGTTTAGCCCATCCCACAGGAGCTAGGATGGTCTTTTGAAGTTGTCCTGCCTCAAGGAAGGAGCCATATCAATCATCATTGGATGTGGGTTGCCCCCAGGAGGGGGAAGTTGTTGGGCAAGGTGGCTATTTCCAGAGGAGGGCGATTCCCAGGGAACGTCCCCAGCGAGAGCTGTCAGCAACCACACTCCCAGCAGCAGAGGGAAGGATGTCCCCGTCCTGCCAGGGGAGGTGGGCAGCATCACCGCATCCACTACACTGCCACTCCCACTGCCTCCCTGAGCCTGAAGCCAAGTGTCACTTGTCATTTGTAGCTGCCCTTGCGCGGTTATCTTCTTTTTTTCTCTTTTCTTTTTAAAAATTTTTTTAAAAATTCAAAACTTTTGCTTATTATTATTTTTTTTAAATTTCTGAGATTTTTTTTTGATTTCTGAGATTTTGGTGCACCCATTACCAGAGCAGTGTACACTGTACCCAATGTATAGTCTTTTCTTCCTCAACCCCGTGCTACCATTTCCCCTGAGTCCCCAAAGTCCACTGTATCATTCTTATGCCTTCGCATCCTCATAGCTTAGCTCCCACTTATGAGTGAGAACATACAATGTTTGGTTTTCCATTCCTGAGTTACTTCGTTTAGAATAATAGTCTCAAATTCCATCCAGGTTGCTGTGAATGCCACTATTTTGTTCCTTTTTGTGGCTGAGTAGTATTCCACAGTGTGTGTGTGTGTATACACCATGGAATATAAATATAAATATAAACATAAATATTATATATAAAAAATATATAATGTGGTATATATATTTATACATATATATGTATAAATATGTATACACCACATTTTCTTTATCCACTCATTGATTGTTGGGCATTTGGGCTGGTTCCATATTTTCCATATCTTAACAATTGCAAATTATGTCTTCTGGTAGAAATAATTTCTCTTTTACTTATGAGTCTAGCAAAAGTGAGAGTAAAACACCCAGGGAGGGCTGCCTGTCTCAACAAAAATGGGAAAGACACATTTCCTTTGGGATGTGAAGAATATTCATTCCTATGTGATTGCTTTGCAGACATTTCTGCTCTCTTCACTCATTTATATGTATGTACCAGGCCCAATGGCTCCTGGTCCCGCTCAATCCTACCCCAGGGTCACACACCGGAATCATGGCTCCTGGTCCTGCTCAATCCGTCCCCAGGGTCACACACCAAATTATGGTTCCTGGTCCTGCTCAATCCTTCCCCAGGGTCACACACCGGAATTATCACTCCTGGTCCTGCTCACTCCTGGTCCTGCTCAATCCCTTCCCAGCGTCACACACTGGAATTGTGGCTCCTGGTCCTGCTCAATCCCTTCCCAGTGTCACATACGGGAATCATGGCTCCTGGTCCTGCTCAATCCCTCCCCAGGGTCACACACCAAATTATGGCTCCTGGTCCTGCTCAGTCCTTCCCCAGGGTCACACACTGGAATCATGGCTCCTGGTCCTGCTCAATCCCTCCCCAGGACCACACAGCAGAATTCTTACAGGGGCCGTCTTTGTTGGGGTGTATAACAGAGTACCATAGACCGGATAGTTATAAAGAACAGAAACATATTTCTCACAGTTCTGGATGGTGGAAGTCTGAGAGCAGGATGCCAGCGTTGCTGGGGGCTGGTGAGGCCCTCTTCTGAGTTGTACACTTGTCTTCTCATGGTAGGAAGAGGGTGAGAGACTTTCTGGAGTCCCCTTTTCAAGGGCACTAATCCCATTCCTGAGGGCTCCCCCCTCATCACCTAATCACCTTCCAAAGGCACCACCTCCTAATAGCATCACATTGGGGGCTAGGATTTCACCATATGCATTTTGTAGGGGACACAGAGCCTGCAGCAGCAATTCACCGCCTTCAAAGGGTCTGTGGTTTCTTTTGGTTTTCCTGGTATGATCCTGTGTTAGTTCTTGGAGTAAAATTTGACGATGTGGGTCTTCATGCACTGCTCTGTCCATCCGAGTGGGAGCTGCAAGTTAGTCCTGCCTCCTATCTGCCATTTTCCTCTATCATAATAAGCATTTTTAATCAACACTGTTGAGCTGTTTAGTTGCATCCATCCTATCAATGAGAAATCAAGTTTATGTCCTATTATGGTTTGAATGTTTTCGTCTCCTCTAAAATTCATGTTGAAATTTAATCCCCAATGTAAGAATTGGGAGGTCTGGGCTTTGGATGGTGATTCTGTGTGGACCTATGTTCTCATTTCTCTTGAATATATTTCTAGGAGTAGAATTGCTGGCAACTCTATGTTTAATTGTTTGAGGAATTGCCAAACTATTTTACAGAAGTGCTTTCAGCAAGAGAGTGACATGACCTGATTTTCCTTTTAATTCTGACTGCTCTGTGCAGAATGGGTGGGGTTGGGGCAAGAAAGGAAGACAAATTGGGATGCTGTTGACATATGCAGGTGAGAGGGGATCCTCGCTTGGGTTAGTAGGAGGATAAGCATAGATGGGTGGGTGGGAGATTTATTTTGGGAGGGAATTGACAGGACTTGGTTCTGACTGGATGGCTATTGGTGGTCTTTGAGAGTAGGAGAGGTTCAGATGTCCCTTGATTTCTGGGGTGAGCAAGTGGGTGGATCAAGTTACTTTCTGGCCTTTCTCTCCTTTATCCTCCATTTTTGCCAGGGAAAGGAAGTTCTAGAGGTTGGAATAGATTCAGCTATTTTAACAAAGTATTTTCTTTCCTTTTTTTTTTTTTTTGAGACAGAATCTTGCTCTGTCGCCCAGGCTGGAGTGTAGTGGTGTGATCTTGGCTCACTGCAACCTTTGCCTCCCAGGTTCAAGCGATTCTCCTGCCTCAGCATCCCGAGTAGCTGGGATTGCAGGCACCTGCCACCATGCCTGGCTAATTTTTCTATTTTTAGTAGAGACAAGGTTTCACCATGTTGGCCACGCTGGTCACGAACTTCTGACGTCAGGTGATCCACCTGCCTTGGCCTCCCAAAGTGCTGGGATTACAGGCATGAGCCATTGCACCCGACCAGCAAAATATTTTCTAGGCCATCCTGTGTGTTTCATGCTGGATCTCGTCGTCATGTCCTTAATAAATCACTTACACATGAATCCTTGTCTCAGGGTGGCTTCTGGGAATTCTCCCTGAGACACTTCTCTTTCAAGTTTCAGAATCAGTTATCCATCTGTCCACTTGTCATGCACACTAGGTCCTACAGTCATCACATGCCCCCAGAAAAATTCCAGATCGTATTTGCCAGGTCTGCTCCAAGTTATGCACAATAGTAAGAAAATAATACAGTGAATCCTCACACACTCATTTCTAGATCCAAGAATTATAGAAATCTCAGCATACATGAGGGAGCTTTGTAGGGTGAAGGAAATATCCTATATCTTGGCTGTGGTTTTGGTCATATAACTGTATGCATTTGTCAAAACTAATCAAACTTTAAATGGGTGAACTTTATTGTATGTAAACCTCAATAGGCCTGATTTAAAAACAAATCTTGTTACATGTTTTATTTATCTCTTTTCTTGTTTTGTTTGCTTGTTTGTTTGTTTGTGTTTTTGAGTTAGGGTCTAACTCTGTAGCCCAGGCTGGAATGCAGTGGTGTGATCATGGCTCACTGCAGCCTCGACAGCCCTGGGCTCAGGTGATCCTCCCACCTCGGAATACCCCCTCTTTTACCCCCCAGTAGCTGAAACTACAGACATGTGCAACCATGCCAGGTCATTTTTTTTTTTTCCTGCTTCGGCCTCCGAAAGTACTGGGGTTACAGGTGTGAGCCACCATGCCTGGCCCATTTATCCCTTTTCAATATGCTGAAGTACCTTAAAGTAAGTCCCCAAAATCATGTCATTAAATCTCTACACATTTCAGTACATATTAATAGCTCTAAAAATGGTTACTATTTTCTTATGTAACCATAATACAGTTATTATGCCTCTCAAAGTGCACACTATTTCTTTGGTAATATACTAGATGTAATATTCAGTCCATAATAAAATTTACTTACTTGACTCCAAAGTGTCTCTTTATTGTTGGTTGGCACAAATCAGGATTTGAGCAGGTTCTCCCCATGGCATTTTGTTGTTATATCTTGTAAGTGTTATTAAATCTACCGCAGTCTCCATTATTTTCTCTTTTAATCCCCCTTCCCTTGGTTTGTTGCAGAGACCAGGTCGATTGTCTTGGAGAATGTCCCACATTCAGCATTTGTCTGCATGCTTCCTTATGGTGCCATGCTCTTGTCCCTCTATTCCAAGTGAGTGGAAGTTAGCTGGAGAAGTTTGACTAAATTCAGGATCAAGTTTTTGTGACAAGAATATTTCCTAGCTGGTGCTATGTGCATTTGCATGGCATCAGGAGGCAGATGATATCTAGTTGGAAACAAGACTTTGGATTTTACAAGCTATGCTTTTGTAAGGAAAGGAACACATTTAAAGGTAAGAAGGTGATAAGTGTTATGGGGTAAAATGCTGCAGGGTAGGGGGCTGGGAGTGCTGGGCAGAAGATGTTACAATTTTGAATAGGGAAGTTGAGGCAGATCTCACTGAGAAGGTGTAATAGGCCACTCTTGTACTGCTATGAAGAAACACCTGAGACTGGGTAATTTATAAAGAAAAGAGGTTTAATTGGCTCACTGTTCCGCAGGCTGTGCAAGAAGCATAGCGATTTCTGTTTCTGGGGAGGCCTCAGGAAACTTACAATCATGGTGGGAAGAGAAGGGGAAGCAGGCACATCTTACAGCTGGAGCAGGAGGAAGAGAGAGGGAAGGAGGGACTATACACCTTTTATTTATTTTTTTTTTTTTTTGAGACGGAGTCTCGCTCTTTCGCCCAGACCAGAGTGCAGTGGCGCTATCTCGGCTCACTGCAAGCTCCACCTCCTGGGTTCACGCCATTCTCCTGCCTCAGCCTCCCGAGTGTCTGGGACTACAGGCGCCCGCCACCGCGCCCGGCTAATTTTTTGTATTTTTAGTAGACACGGGGTTTCACCGTGTTAGCCAGGATGGTCTCGATCTCCTGACCTCGTGATCGGCCCGCCTCGGCCTCCCAAAGTGCTGGGATTACAGGCGTGAGCCACCGCGCCTGGCCGGATGTACTATACACTTTTAAACAACCAGATCTCACAAGAGCTCACTCACCATCAACACAGTACCAAGTGGGGAAATCCACCCCCATGATCTAATTACCTCCCACCAGGCCCCACCTTCCCTACACTGGGAATTACAAATTGACATGAGATTTGGGCAGGAACACAGATCCAAATCATGTCCAAAGGTGATGTCTGAGCAAAGACATGGGGGAGCTGAGGGAGTGAGCCAGGAGGATATCTGGGGATTCAGGAGGATATCTGGGGATTCAGGAGGATATCTGGGGATATCTGGGGAGGACAGAGTTAGTGCAAAGGCCCTGCATATTTGAGGAACACAGAATGGGGAGTGGGGCTGGCATGCATGGAATGGAGCAGCTAGAGGGGAAGTTGAGCTGAAGGTCCCAGAAGGATGGACAGGGGTAGATGGTGTAGGGCCTCGGAGCATTGTAGACTTTGACTTCGACTCTGAATGTTATAGAGGAGCCCCTGGAGGGTTCAGGGTTCAGAGCAGGGAGCTGACTTGATCTGACTTGGGTTTTTAAGGAGCTTTTTGACTGCTGTGCAAAGAAGAGACTGTGTAGGGCTGGGAGACAGAGCGAGGCGACTGTGAGAATCCAGGCGGCACACAATGGGGGCCCTGCCGGAGGTGCTGGCAACGGAGGTGTGAGAAGCAGTCATATTCTGGATATATTTAGAAGTTTAGGATTTGCCGACAGATTGGATGTGAGGTAAAAGGGAGAGAGAGTGGAGTTAAAGATGCCTCCAAGGTTTTAGCCTGAGCCACAGCTGCCAATCAGTGAGGTGGGAAAGACTACAGTGACATTTTAGGTACCATCTGCTAGTCCTGCAATGTCACGACCTGCTTGGTTGTCCGCAGGTGGGTTTATTGCTTTTCATTTCTACCAAAAAGTCCTGTCCATTCCAGCCTTTCGCAGAACTTCTCACTGAGAGCCCTGGCTCTAATCCTACTGAAAAATCAGCTACTTTTTTTTTCCTTCCAGCTTTACTGAGGTGTAATTGACAAATAAAAATTGTATATATTTAAGATGTACAACATGATGTTTTGATATATGTATATATCATGAAATGATTACCACAATCCAGCTAATTAGCATATCCGTCACTCATATGGTTACTTTTTGTGTGTGTGGTGAGAACACTTAAGATCTTAAGTGTTCTACTGTCTTAGCAATTTCAGGTATATAACACGTTATTGTTAATTATAGTCACCATGCTGTATGTTAGGTCTGCGGAACTTGTTCATCTTATACCTGCAAGGCTGTACTCTTCGACCAACATCTCCCCATTTCCCCCGAGTCCTGGGAATCACCATTCTATTCTGCTTCTATGTATTTGACTGTTTTGGATTCCATATATAAATAATATCATGCAGTATTTTTCTTTCCGTGTCTGGCTTATGTCATTTAGCACCAGGTCCTCCAGGTTCATCCAAGTTGTCACAAATGGCAGGATCTCCTTTTTGAAGGCTGAATGATATTCCATTGTAATTTATGGAAAACAGTATGGACGTTCCTCAAAAAATTAAAGAAAGAACTACCACATGGTCCCGCAGTCTCTCTTCTGGTATATATACCTAAAGGACATGAAATCAGTGCCTCAAAGAGATATCTGCACTCATATTCATTGCAGTATAACTCACAGTTGCCCAGATATGGAGATAATCAGCTGCTTTCCAGAAGGTTAATGTTTGGTTTGTCCATGGAGATCTCCCTCAGGGGTCATTCGTTTTGAGTGCTTGTTTAGGAGATGGAGAAAGTGTTTTTAGAAAAGGGTGGAAGATGAAAAACATTCTGAAATATACGACTAGATAGAGATTCTTTCAGAATGAATGCTGGGTAAACCACTATTTATATTCATAAGCTTTCAGTACAGTCGATGGCTGGTAATTGGGAGATGGGAGGGATTTCTCAATGGATGGATGACCTTGGTTACATCACGTGACCTTCCCAGGCATCAGTTTTTATCACCTTAAAGTGGAAATCATACAGTAGTTATCTGGGTGAGCAGAGATGAGGATTACATGAGATAACCCATATTTGTACTCAATAAATGGTTATTATAATTGGCAAAATAAGGATATTATTTTGTGTGACTTTTCCCACCTTTCACCATAAAAATGGCTGCTCCCATATATGTATATGAGTATATCCATACATGTATACATACACACACACACACATATATATATATACACACACATATACATGTAACCTTGAGGTAGGTTCTGGCTCTGTTGCCCAGGCTGGGGTGTAGTGGCATGATCTCAGCTCACTGAAGTCTCTGCGTCCTGGGCTTAAGTGATCTTCCCACCTTAGCCTCCTGAGTAGCTGGGACTACAGGTGCACACCACCACGCCTGGCTAATTTTTGTATTATTTTAGGAAGAGATGGGTTCTTGCCACGTTGCCCAGGCTGGTCTCGAATTCCTGGGCTCGAGTGATCCTCCCACCTCCACCTCCCAAAGAGCTGAGATTACAGGTGTGAGCCACCTCGCCCAGCCTAGACATATGTATTTTTTAATGTGTATTTTTTAAATACATATGTATTTTTAAACTACTTTTAATTTTAGGTCCATCCTTTAGAGTTGCGCTCTCTCTTCTTAAATCGCTTCTGTTTCAGCGATAATATGTATGCTATTTTTGCCTTAATTCCAGCATGTCCCACTCCAAACATATTATACTAATTGCATTGCATTTCCAAGGTCATTTTGGAATGCCTCTGGAAATACAGCCTCAGCATTTGCAGAATGGTTTTGCTTGCTTGCTCAAAGGCCAGGCTAAAGATGGGTTATGTGACATTGCAGTGCATTTCCTGAAAATCCACGGATGATCTCTGACAGGACAGCTTGATCTTTCCGATAGCATTTGGAAGCCCATTAAAATGTTCAAGCATGCTGGTTTATTTTACCGTTCAGATGAAATGGCATTTATTTGAATATTACTTAGTAAATATTTAGAGACTTAGTTGTGTTTTGAAATTAGAATTGAAGTTTAAATTTCTAGGTACATTAAATTGCTTTTACAACAGAATTTCTAAATGGCACAGGAAAGACAGAATAAAAATCTTAACAAGTGGCTAAAACTGAAAGCATCCTACAAACCCAAACATGGAAGATGCTTTTTTTTTTTTTTTTTTTTTTGAGACGAAGTCTTGCTCTGTCACTAGGCTGGAGTGCAGTGGCGCGATCTCAGCTCACTGCAACCTCTGCCTCCCGGTTTCAAGTGATTCCCCTGCCTCAGTCTCTGGAGTAGCTGGGACTACAGGCGCGCGCCACCATGCCTGGCTAATTTTTTTCTATTTTAGTAGAGACGGGGTTTCACCATGTTGGCCAGGATGGTCTCGATCGCCTGACCTCGTGATCCGCCTGCCTCGGCCTCTCAAAGTGCTGGGATTACAGGCGTGAGCCACCTTGCCCGGCCAGAAGATGTTTTTTTTAACAAGAAAACAGCATCATCAAAAGTAAGGGCATATACATTTACCCCCTCTGCCTCACATTTTGTGCAAGACTACTTGAAGTAATGGAATTTTGCTAGAAATTTCTTGTTAATGTCTTCCCTTACATTCTGCAAAATGTTCCCAAGAACTGCTGAAATACTGTTAGGATTGTTGACTACTTTTTTTTCTTTGTAATCAGTTTCTATTGAAGAAGAGTCATTGAATTAGCGGGGTAATTTACTATCACTCATTTTTGGCAGCCTTGAGCGTGTATTTGCAGAACCACGAGATAACGGCAAAGAAAGTCCTTGGACACAGGCTCTGTGAGCATCACATCTCTCCAACTGGACCCGTGGGCGCTGCAGTGAGCATATATGTCCTAAAGGGATATGGCACCAACCTTGTGAATTGTTTGCTTGTGTTTTTCTAACATTTCTACTACTTAGTTTCAATTACATTTTTCCTAGCATGGAGTAATAAAAACCTTTTATAAAGGACAATTTCAAGCATATTTTTGAAAATTAATTTCAAAAGTAGACAGTATAGTTTTATGAATTTCTATGTCCCCACTAGCCAGTTCCAACAATTATTCCCACACAGCTGGTCTTGTCTCATCTATAATCCCAGTCTGCTAAGGTATTTTGAAGCAAATCCAGACTTTATATTATTCTATCCATAAGTATCTTAGAAGATAAAAGAAAATGACTTTTAAAAAACAATAACAATGTAGAACAAAGGACATTTATTTTGGATCCTGGCTTGTGGATGGGAGATAATTCCAGAATTATTTTGTCACTATTTACTTGCTACCTGGGCTGTGCTTGCCCCATTCAACAAAAGAGTGTACATTAGCTATTCTGTTTCTATGCTCTGGTCCTGTATTTTGAAAAGAGGGTTTATGTATTCAACAGATATTTGCTAATTCCTACTACAAGCCAGGACTGTGCTATGCACTGGGGATTCAGAGATAAAACACCCAAACTGGGAGAGAATCAGAAAAATCAGCCTCAATACAAACATAAATATAAATACAGCCTGATCCACTTTATGGCAGTGTTAAGTACAGGTTGTTTTGTGTCTGAGATGTATTTCTTTCTCTTGCCCACAATTTAAAAAGCCACCTTGATTGTGATTACATTTCAAGTGTTAATTAGGAATCAATTTAGGCCATATAATATGTAGCCTATTTTAGGTATCTAAGGTTTATCAGAAATTAACTCATTAACTAACGAAGATGCCTTTATCAGCGCCTGCAACTCCAGTGAAACAGTTTGAATTGTTTCCCTTCAATTTCCTCCCCAACTCTGCACTCACTGCTCTGATTTGGTAGCGGAAACACATCAAATGAGTTCTGTTCTTGCAAGTGAGGAAGGGACAAGAGAGGGGACACAAGATGAAAGGCAGGGAGGAGGAGAGTCTCCCAATCTCAACCTCTGGGAGTTTCACGCTTATCATCTGGGGTCCAGTTGGCATGCGGCCAGTGGGCGGTGGCAGCGGCCTCCTTGGGGCAGGAGTTCCTCACTCTTTTTCCTCCATTTGTCTCCTTGGGTCCCTGGCACCTGCTGAGTGAGAAGCCCAGATCTGTATTAGAAGCTGCTGCTCTCTGGCCCAAGAAGGGCAGCGGCCTCTGGATTAGGGAATGGAGGGATGGCTGTTCCCGGGATCACCCCTCTCCCTCTGCCTGTGTGCAGCCTTGTGTGCTCAACCCTGCACCCCAGGGGCCCTCAGACTACTATCATGAGGCCCAGGCCTTGAGCTGCAGAGCTGGTTAATTAGCGCTGGAGCCCAGGAAGCCCCATCTGTTCCCAGCACTTGTGTTGCTCTGATCTCTCCATTTCCCTGACTCCCAGGCCAGGGAGAGTTCTTGTCCTCCTACCCTGCAATCCCTGGAGATGCGCTCCCCCCAACCGCAGCCCAAAGTGCCTTTTCATGGGGCTGTAAGGCAGCTGTCACGAGGTAAATCCCACTCTTTACCCCGCCAGCAGGACAGGTAGGGACAGGTGGGAGGAATACGGGAGGAAACAGCTCCCACTGGTGACTGCCGGACCCTCTCCTCGCTGGCCGCAGACCCTGGAGCCACTTCCCTACCGTATCCAGAGCAGGCCCAGCCCCCGACAAAGGGACCTTTATATGGTGGTCCTGGAATTTTAGTTGGGTTCCCGTAAATGCAGACCCTGACAAGGTCTTGGGCACAGGAGGTTTATCTGAGGGGACTCCAGGAAGCAGGAGTCAGGGAGAAGGAAGCAGGAAACAGAAGTAGACGTCATTACTGAGATTGCTGCTGGAGGCAACAGGGGTCTTGAAGGTAAGAAACATGTCCTTACGGGAGAAGCTGCCTTGGTGGGTTTGGAAAGTGTGAAGAGTTCGCAGGCGTGCTCATCATCAACTAAGTGGACAGGTGAAAGCTGGAGGGGCTCTGCAGAAGCCCTGAGTTGCACTAAAATCTGTACTAATCCAAATAGTGGGTCTAGATTCCCTCTCCTACTCAAAATGACTTTAACTCCTCCAATTTAGCAAATATTGGTTGAACATCTCCTACTGTATTTAATGGAATGTAAGAGATCATTGACTATAAGGCACGCCATTATTTTAAGAGGCTCTAAGAAAAGAGCTTCCAACTCAGCTATGACACTCTATGAAAAGTAAGACTTTCCTAGGTCAGAAGCACAGAAGTGTAAAAAGAATGTTGGTCTCGGGATGGGTACCATGTGCACTGTAGCTTAATGGGCATAGTGGGGCATTGTGACATAGAAACTGCCCTTGCTCCCAGCAGAGGAGAAAAAGCGTGTAAAGCAATGTCAGTGATAACAAGCAAAAATAGGACAGGGGAGAAAGCCAAGAGTCTTCAGACCACAAGAGAAGGAGAGATTAATTCTGGTAGGGAGGTATCAAGGAGGCCTTCCTGGATGAGGGGGTGGCATCTGAGCTGGGCTCAGGAAAAGGTGGGGCTTGAACTATTGGGGATGAAGGGAAAGGCATTCCCGGCAAGTGGGAACAGCACAGGCAAAGGCTCTGAGAGGTCCTAGAAATAAAGTTATTGCACTTCAAGGGGGTTGTAAGATTTATGGGTGAGGATAAGGAAAAAGTAGAGAATTAGAAAAGCAGTGAACTTACCCCTTTACCCAGAAATCCCCCTCCTAAGTGCATGGCCAAGAGAAATTTGCCCTCAAGTGCACCTTTTCCCTTTAGGAAAATCCACCTGGATGGACAGCAGCAGAGGGAGGAGGAGGCAGGACAGACCAGAAGAGAGACAATGAGGTTCTGAACCTAGATGTTGGCCAAGGGAGCAGAGGAGGGCAGGTGAATGGCGCTATAGGGGATACTGTAGCAGGAGGGTTGACTGGACTCAGCAACTGGGGAGGGAGTAGGCAAAAAGAGAGCCTGGGAACTTAGGACAAGAAGCAGGGTATTTTTTTTTTTTCAAGGGAGAGGTAAGCAACAATGATTTACTTGTTCTTACACATGGAACTCTCCAGGGCACTACACCTGCATTTAAATCACTTGGCTCCTGGCACATGGCTCTCCTCCCATTTCTCTTTCTGTCCACTCCCTCTTCATTTGTCCTCTGCCCTCTTCGTATGACTGTTCCTTGGGGCCCTGTCTCCAGGTCAGGAGGCCCTCGCCCTGCAATCACCCTTCCTGGGAGCCTTCACTTCACCTGTGATCTCAAGACCTCTCCCTACTGCCTGACTCGCGCCGAGCTTATGGAACATCTTCCCTTGAGGGTCGCAGTCCATTCGATGAGGTATTTTCCCCATGAAATCCCTTATCTTTGGGAACCTCTTCTTTTCCTTGTGCGTCCTATGTGGGTGGATGGAGAACCACTCTCCACGTGGTTACTCGGTCCAGAAGGGCGGCTGTCTGTACAAATGCGCCTCTTCCTTTCACTTCCTCTATCCAACCAGCTTCTTCTGCCCACCTCCCTTTCATGCTCCTTTCACGCTCCTTTCACATGCTCTTGGCTCACCGTTTTTTTCTTTAAGTTTTTAGAGACAGGGTCTCGCTCTATCACTCAGGCTAGGGTGTGCTGGCACGACCATGGCTCACTGCAGCCTTGACCTCCTGGGCTCAAGCTATCCTCCTGCCTCAGCCTCCTGAGTAGCTGGGACCACAGGCACGCACCACCATGCCTGGCTAATTTTTTATGTTTTGTAGAGACAGGGGTCTCTTTCTTGCCCAAGCTGGTCTTGAACTCCTGGCCTCAAACAATCCTCCTGCCTTGGCTTCCCAAATTGCTGGGATTGCAGGAGTTTGCCACTGCGCCTGACCTGGCTCGCCTTTTTTGCTCCTGGGCGTTGCTCTGACAACCGCAACAAGCTGTCACCTGACAGCTGTGGCAGTGGGTATCTGCTGTGGCAGGCTTTCTGTCCAAGCCTGCGGGGACTTGCTTAGCTATACTGGCTTGTGTGTAAACTTGGAAGCTCAAGGGAGGTGGCTTTCCTTGGGGGAAAACTTTGACCAATAGGGGCAGGAGCTGATGAGCTCATCTGTCTTCCATCCATGTCTTGGGTGGACAATTCTGAGGCATCTTTCACACGCTTCCTCAGGGGGTCTCCAGGGGATCCAGTCCCAGCAGCCCATGGAGGTAACCAGGCCAATAACACCACACTGGGATGCTTCTTTCTCCTCCCACTATTTTTAAAATTTTTAATTTTTAAAACTTTTTGTTGAGATGCGGTCTCCCTGTGTTGCCCAGGCTGGTCTTGGCCTCCTGGCCTCAGGCGATTCTCCTGCCTTAGCCTCTCAAAGTGCTGGGATTACAGGTGTGAGCCACCACACCAAGCCCACCTCCCTCTTTCACTCCTCCCAGCCCCCATTGCTGTTACTTGGCATCAATTCCTAAACAGCCTGCACATCAGCCCTTGTCACAGGTCCTGCTTCTGTGGGGAGCTCAAGCGCGGACACCCTTGGAACACTCCCCAAGTCTCTTCCTTCCCATCCAGCACCACTTCCCTAAGTCACAGCTGCACCACCTCTCATCTGGACTGCTCACAGCAGGTACCTAGTTGATTTGCCTCTAATCTTGTTCTGTTGTAATCCATTGACACATTTTAGCCAGGATGGTCTGTATTAAATGAAAATCTATCTATGCCACTTTTCTGCTTTAAGTCCTAGAGAAGAAGCATCTCATTGCCTACAGAATAAATTCCAAGCTCTATAGCATGGAACACGAAACATCTCATCAGCTGGCCTCTCCCACCCTCTCTTTCCTGCCTCATATTTCATTTCTTCCTCCTGTTCAATAGCGTGTTGGCTCCAAGCTGCTTTCAGTTTGTGTGCACGTGCCACACTGTTTCATGTCTGGGTGCTTTTGGTCATGCTCTTGCCTGGATGCCACCACCTTCTTTGGCCTGGCTGATGTCCACATGTTCTTTAAGCCTTGATGTGAGCATAATCTGTGGCCATTGCTGGTGCCCTGCTATGGTGCTCTGCTTATCCCCACTGTGGCCTGATTCCTCTGTGAAGCAATGCCCTGTTTATCTGAGTTCCTTCAGGAGAGAAACTACATCTAGTTAACTCTAAATCTCCAAATATGTAGATATAGATATAGATATATCTCCAAATATATCTATATATGTATTTGGAGATTTAGAGGTAACTAGATATGAGACAGAGTCAGGCTCTGTTGCCCAGGCTGGAGTGCAATGGCACCATCTCAGCTCACTGCAACCTCCACCTCCCGGGTTCAAGCGATTCTCCTGCCTCAGCCTCCCAAGTAGCTGGTATTACAGGTAGGCACCACCACGCCTGGCTACTTTTTGTATTTTTAGTAGAGATGGGGTTTTGTCCTGTTGCCCAGGCTGGTTTTGAACTCCTGACCTCAAGTGGTCTGCCCACCTTAGCCTCCCAAAGTGCTGGGACTACAGGTGTGAGCCACCATGCCTGGCCAAGAAATACATTTTTGCACTAAATTCTAAATTAAATTCCTATTAATAAAAGCTTTCTGTTGGCCACATTTGTCACGGTCGGTGGTCCCATGGAATTGCAGGCTGCTGAGAAGCACTGGGGAGGAAGGCACGTGGAATTTGTCTTCAGCTGCCCCGGGCAAGAGGGGATGAGACCTTGCCTGTGGGTTGCTTTGCCTTAGCACTAGCCTCCTGGACCAGTGTCTAGGTGGCTCCTCTCTTTTTCATCCCAAACAGACACTCCACTTTCCAGCACGAAAATCTGCATTCATTTCTTAGGGCTGCCATAACAAAGTACCCCAAACTGGGTGATTTAGAACAACAGATATTCACTGTCTCACATTTCTGGAGGCAAGAAGTCCAAAATCAAGGTGTCAGCAGGGCCATGCACCCTCCACAGCCTCCATCCTTCCCAGCCTCTTCCAGCTTCTGGAGGGAGGGAGGCACAGTCTCTATCCTTCCTGGCCTCTTCCAGCTTCTGAAGTTGGGGGAGCCACAGCCTTCATCCTTTCTGGCCTCTTCCAGCTTCTGGAGGGAGGGAGGCACAGCCTCTATCCTTCCCAGCCTCTCCTGGCAGCTGGTGGCCAGCAATCCCTGCCATTCCTTGGCCTGTGCTTCCATCACTCCACCTCCTGACTCTGTCGTCACATGGCCCTCTTCCCTCTGTGTGTCTCCAAATTTCCTTTTCCTTACAAGGATACGCATCATTAGATTTAGAGCCCACACTAATCCACAATGACTTCATCTTAACTTGATGACATCTACCAGAACCCTATTTCCAAAGAAGGTCACATTGGCAGGGGCAGGAGATTAGTACTTCACTGGATCATTTTTGGAGGGGACACAATTCAACCCTAAGAACTATGATTCACTGAACACCTTCTTTGAGTCAGGCACTATGGTAGGTAGGTTGCACACAGAATCATATTTAATTTTCTTCACAATCCCACCAGGTAGCGGGTATTATCACCCTGATTATACATGTGAGGGTACCCAAGTTCAGAGAGGCCATACAGCTCGTTGAGAAGGAAAACCGGGCTGGGGGCAGTGGCTCACGCCTGTAATCCCAGCACTTTGGGAGGCCAAGGCGGGCGGATCACCTGAGGTCAGGAGTTCGAGACCAGCCTGACCAATATGATGAAACCCTGTCTCTACTAAAAATACAAAAATTAGCCGGGTGTGGTGGTGCATGCCTGTAATCCCATCTACTCGGGGGCCTGAGGCAGGAGAATCACTTGAACCCGGGGAGGCGGAGGTTGCAGTAAGCCAAGATCATGCCATTGCACTCCAGCCTTCCAGCCTGGGCAACGAGAGCAAAATTCGATCAAAAAAAAAAAAAAAAAAAAGAAAAAAAAAAAAAGAAAAGAAAAGAAAAGAAAAAAGAGAAAGAAAACCCACCGGGCACAGTGGCTCATGCCTGGAATCCCACTACTTTGGGAGGCTGAGTTAGGCACAGCACTTGAACCCAGGAGATTGAGACCAGTCTGGCCAACATGGCGAAAACCCGTCTCTACAAAAATACAAAAATTAGCTGGGACATGGTGGCGTGCACCTGTGGTCCCAGCTACTCAGGAGGCTGAGGTGGGAGGATTGCCTGAGCCCAGTAGGAGAAGGTTGTAGATCACGCACTGCACTCCAGCCTGGACAACAGTGTCAGACCCTGTCTGAGAAAGAAAAGTAATAATAGAATAAATAAAAATAAAATCACTCTGTGGTGTGGTCATGCACTAGCATGACCCTGGGCTCTGTGAACAAGGTGGTTTTGGGGGATACAAGAAGGAGGCCAGGTCCTTACCTTCAGCAAGCTTAAATCTTTTTATCATCATTTTATTATCTCTCACAGGTGGAGTCAGGATCAAAATAGCCAAAGAAAAAGTAAGAATCCGTATACAGGAAACAAATATGTGATGATGACCGGAGCAGCTCAGAATCAGAACTTGAGCAAGACCTGGGCTGCTTTGATTTTCTGAAGGTCTCAAAATATTAGGGGCAAAAAAGAAAATAAAAAAAGAAAAAAAAGAAGGAATACCAAAAGCAAGTTACATAAAGTATGAGATATATTACATGTTTCCAGTGAACAAGTGAACAGTTTGGCACGTCAAAGACACAACGTCAGAGCATTTAGCCTCAATTGGCGATAACCTGAAAAGCCTGAAAAGCAAAGCCTTCTGGGAATGTGAGCTCCAGTTCTGGGATGAACCCTGAAAAGGACAGAGTGAGCCACACGTGGTGGCCGGACCATGGGTAAGGGGTGAGCACTGCTGGGCTCCATTCTGCTGGAAGGACGGACAATCTCCTTCTGCACAATAACTGGTGTGAGGGGGCCGGACGCTGTGAGGGTCAGGAAGGGGAGGGTCCACCCAAAGTAGGCTAATGGAGCAGTTGGTGACCCCATTTCCCCAGCTTTCAGCCAGAGATATCCCAGATGTCATGGGAGAGCCATTGGATGCTCTCAGCTCTGAATTTTCATGCCTCTGCCACGGTTAGCATCAGAGCAGTGATTTCCATCCAACATAGCAAAAAACTTTTCATGGGAGACCAAAAGCTTGTGGCTTCAGAATGAATCCAGAAAAAAAAAAAAATCCCTGTCATGAGGGTGAAAGGAGCTGCCAGCCTCAACAGGGCTCCTTGGAGAAGACATTTGAGACTTACATTCCAGGCAAAGTGGCACTTCACATTCTGGGTTCTGACCTTCTTGGAATAAATGTCTCCACCTGCGGGCAGAACTACCTGGCTCTCCTCCATACCTGCTATATCAGAATCTGGGTAGAGTTAGGGAGGGGTAGAGGTATCCTAGGTAATTTTTTTTAGGCACTAAGGCTGAGGTCCGTCGTTCTAAGCTTTGGGGTGGAGGTAGATGGGGAAGATGATAGTAAGTTGCCATTTCATGGGTGCTGATTCTTGAGGGCAGAGGAGTCCATTTAAGTGACTGGGAAGGAGGAGGCTCACATGCTGGCTTGGATGGAGGGTGTGCCATTTTGCTAAATGTGAAGCATAGAGAGAAGAAGCTTCTGGTGGTTGGTTGAGAAGACTGAGCCAGGCAGTATCCCTGGAGGCTCAAACTAGTAACCGTTCCTGGGCCTTGTATCAACCTGTTGCCTTGCCATTTATTCCAGTTACATTTTGCTGTGCAACAAACCACCCCAAAATGTAGTGGTTTAAACAACAATCATTTTATTATCTTTCACACTTACTGTGGGTCATGAATTCAGGAAAGGTTCAGCTGAGCAGTTCTGTCTTGGGGTCCATCATGTAGCTGTAGTCAGAAGGTAACTAGAACTAGAAATCAGAGGTCCAGAGTAGCCGGGGGCTGGTTGTACATCTCTCCCTGTCTGTGTATTCTCACAAGCCTCTCCAGGAGGGCTTTCTGGGTCAGATTGTTTGAGCTTCCTCACAGCATGGCCGCATCTTGGGCCCCTTCATGGCATGGTGTCTCAGGGAAGCCACATCACCTTTAAGGACTCAGTGTTAAAGGTCATGCAGCATCGCTTCCATCATTGACGACTGGCTGCAAACAAGTTATAAGGCTGCCTAGATTCAAGGGGAGTGGGCATAGACCTCTCCTCTCGGTAGAAGGAGCATCAAAGTTCCATTATAGAAGATCAGGTGAGATGGGAGATACTCTTGCCACCATTTCTGGAATGTTCACACACACACACACACACACACACGTATATAAAATTTGGATATTTTATATATATGTATATCACACATACATTACATATATGTTATATATTACATATGATATATAACATGTATTACACATGTGTATATTATATCCAAATCATATATAAATATGGTATTTGGATATTACATATATAATATGCTGCACCCTACATCAAAACATTTTAAAAACAGAAAGTTTCTCTGCTGATCAATCAGTTCATCAGTGGTGGGGGAAGCTGTCTTTCTTTGGACAGTTCTCAAGGAGTTGGAGGCTTTCCTTTTGAAACTGAGGACCTGGCAAGTTTCTCTTTTCTGAAGACATGTCAAGTGATTTTTGATGCCTAAGCCATAAATAGCATTCCTTCAGACATCACTTTAAAATGTTTTTTAGCTTGCTTATGTGTGTGGTTGGGTACATGACAAACAATTCTTCCCATTTCATTGATGAGGAAACTGAGGTTCAGAGAAGAGGCCCATGGCCCAGCGTAATAATAGAATGAGGACTAACTAGGAGTAAGTATTTCTGGTTTCCATACTAAAGCCTCCACCAGGCTATCCTCAGGGGTGTGGGGAGACCATTCGTGGCTTTCGGGAGCTGTTTTGCAATGTCTGGGAGCTGATGATGCTTCAGAACTCATATAAAACTGAGAGCAGTTTGCTCCCTTGCTCAGAGACCACCAGTGGCTCCTCAGCACCATCAGGATCAGATCTAAATCTCTCTGAGGGATGTTCAGGGCCCTCCATGGTGGGATGTGCATACATATCTTTATACAAACACATATATCATTCCTCAAAGTTAATTCATACCTGTCGGAGGCTGATAGGCATTTGATAAAGATCACAGTTTCTGGAAAGATCACTGTCTCTCTGCTTTCCATACCCCCAACACCCACCCTCTCTTCCTTGAAGAGCTCTTGCTGGTTTTAATAAAGGAGAGAGACCCACTGTGAAACTTCCTTTGTTCCATCGGAGGCCTGAAGCTGAAAGAGAGTAGGCTCCGCCGTCTGGGCTGACAAGAGGAGGGCTGGGAGTGGGGGCAGCAGGCGGCTGAGGAGGCCAGAGGAATCTTGGGGAGGTTTCCATATGCTGGGGAGTTTCCAAAAGAACTTGAAGCCAACTGCGCTCTTTTGGACAGGGCTTGTTCCGTGCCGATCCACTATGTCTCAAGTGGCCCATAAAATTTTTACTACATTTTGTCCACCCGTGGATATTGTGACCTAACGTGACCCAGTCAGAAATCTGTTTTGGCAATGTTTTCAGAGGGGATTGGAATGGCCCGGGCCGCGGCCAAATTGACAGTGCTTGCTTTAATCAGGAATGATGGCTTCTGGTGGGATTCGGAGGCAGGGGGTGCAGGGAGCCGTGAACTTTGTCACAGAGCAACGACTTCTGTAAAATTCACAGCAGTTCCTTCCAATTCTGTTGGAATGAGCTGGAGTTACTACAAATGTGTGCCTATGGGCTGCAAGTAATAATGGGAATGGAGTCTTATTTCAATTCTGAACTCACAGAGGAAAAGCTAACTGGGTGAAATCATTTTAATTCTTTCAAAGTATTTTATCCTATCCTTTTATTTTAATAACCCAGATTTAAATGAATGGAAATACATGCAAAATATGGACCCTATTTTTGAGTGTCTTGCAGTTAATCTATTTGGGAGATGTGTCTTCTCAATTGTCATTGAACCTGCCATGGTTGGTGTGTATTAGGCTGTTCTTGCATTGCTATAAAGAAATACCTGAGACTGGATAATTTATAAAGAAAAGAGGCTTAATTGGCTCATGGTGCTGCGGGCTGTACAGGAAGCGTAAGGCCAGCATCCGCTTCTGGCGAGGCCTCAGGGAGCTTTTATTCATGGAGGAAGGCAAAAGGGGAGCAGGCATCTCACATGGTGGGAGCAGGAGAGAGAGAGAGACAGAGAGAGAGAGAGAGAGAGAGAGACAGAGAGACAGAGATCAGCAGGGCGCGGTGGCACTCGCCTGTAATCCCAGCACTTGCCTGTAATCCCAGGCTGATGAGGGCAGATTGCTTGAGGCCAGAAGTTCGAGACAAGCCTGGCCAGCATGACAAAAACCCCATCTCTACTAAAATTACACCAATTAGCCAGGCATGTAATTCCAGGTACTTGAGAGGCTGAGGCATGAGAATCGCGCCTTGAACGCGGGAGGTGGAGGTTGCAGTGAGCCGAGATTGCACCACTGCACTCCAGCCTGGGTGACAGAGTGAGACCCTGTTTCAAAAAAAAAAAAAAGAGAGCAGAGAGCAGGGGGACATGGGGGAAGGTGCCACAGACTTTTAAACAACTGTATCTCCTGTGGACTTGGAGAGAGAGCTCACTTATCACCAAGGGTATGGCCCAAGCCATTCATGAAGGATCCACTCCCATGACCCAAATACCACCCACCAGGCCCCACCTCTAACACTGGAGATTACATTTCAACATGAGATTTGGGCAGGGACACAGATCCAAACTATATTAATTGGTTAAGTTGCCTTCAAGGAATACAGCATACATGCAAAAATGCCTAGTTTCCAAAATGATTAACTCTGAAGCCCCCCAAAACTTAGACATTTTTCTCAGGGTTTCTAAGTGTGGGATGGTATCAACAAGTTCATCTGTATTTTTATTCATCTCATTCAACTCTGGGAGGCCTTTGAGTCAGCATTTGATGATCTGTTTTTATGACTGTTCTGGTATTGTGTAGTTAAACTCTTTAAAGTCCAGGCTTCTTATATTTTGTCAATTTCTTGTTAACCTTTCCGGGGGGTGGGGGCCAGGAATTGTAGCCACATTATGAAGACCATGTTCGGCAACAGTAACACCATCTTGGTGAGTTCCACCTAATGTTAGATGGGTCTATGTGACCTTCATAGAAATGGAAGCAAATCAAAAATTTCGTGATTTTGATGAAACTATATTAGATTTAAAAAAAATCCTCAAAGTGGCAAAAGCACTTTGCAGATGTCAGGGTATTTGAAGCAATGAGAGAGTCGCCTCCATGACCACCACCACCATCATGGGAACCCTGTGAGTCGCGGCCATGTGGAAATATTGATCTTACTATACGAGCAAGGCCACTAAAGCAACCCTGGCCACTGAGTGGTGCCTTTTGGTTACTCCTGGTTCTGCCACTTTTTCACACACATGGTTTTAGCAAGTATGGCTCTTCAAAGACCTTCTTCTTGCTTTATTACATTTTCTTCTATGCTACAGGCAAAATAGGACTGGTGAGTGAATCAAAATTTACAAAAATCCAAGGCAAACGGCCACCAGAAATTTCAAATGCAGTTCGATTTGGTCAGACTTTTGGTATTTAAGTGAGTAACCAAAACAGATTTTGTTTTCTCCTGAAGCAGTGGTTCTTGCCATCATGGAGTTGTGACCCTCACTTCTTGATGTTTTGTTTCGTGACATTTCCCCCATTTCTAAAAGTGCTATAAAATATGTATTTATAAAAGGCGCGTGTATATATGTGTGTGTGTGTTTCAATGTAAGAGATATTGATTAAATTGTCTTTTGAAAATATGTTCTTGATTTTGCTATGCTGTTTAAGGAATTTGGAGGTGTTTTAAGCCAAGGTTTAAGAACAGCCTTTCCAGATGGATCAGCTGCACTACTTAGGCACTTGTGCAATAACTTTCCTCCAATTTTAGAACGTGGGAAACAACAGGAGACACTTGATGACTTTCGCTTGGCTGTGGTGGGTGAGAAACTATGCTTTGTAGGATAAGGGTTGAGCTGTATGTAACACCACCTGGACATTTAATCTTCCTGGCCACCTGGACAGAGGTGGTTGGTTGCCTCGCTTAAAAAGCCTTTCTTCACCCCTTAGAACTCCTGACTCTTGGCAGGTGTGTGACTTCCTGGAAGTAAGACTACATTTTCCAGCCTGTTTTGCTGTTAGGTGTGGTCATGTGACTAATTGTTGGCCCATTGGTCAGGTCCAACTCTTGTAAGCAAGAATTATAGCTCCTAAGGACCTTCTCTAAGAGGTTACTGGCTGAGATCCCTCATGCATTTTCCTCCTTCCTCCCACCTGCTGCTTGCAATGTGTACACATGATTGGAGCTCCATTTTGGACCATGAGGATGAAGGCTATACTCCAGAAATGGCATAATTGAAAACTGGAAATAGCATAGATCCTAGGGGATGATAGAGAAGCCATTCCCCTACTGGAATGTCTGAATTCAGAGTCCCACATGATGGAAATAAACATATCTTTTGTAAGTGATTTATTTTGGGTTTCTTACTGGGAACCAAATCTGATTTTAATTTGTAAATTCCCCTTTTTCCTTAAAAATTTATTTACCTGCTTGTAGTAACTCCTCCACACCAGAGCCATTCTTCCTACCAGGTAGTGGTTTTCTAGTACGTTCACTTAATCCAGTGTATTCAGTGGTTGTTTTGTGCTTCTGTTTTCAAGTAATATGGCTACCTTTTAGCAGAAACCTTGGCAATATTGCATCCCAAGCCAGTAGTTTAAAAACTTGTTTTCAAAAGAAATCCAGTCTCCTTCTCATTGCTTCTGAAAATTTCTGGTGTGTGTGTGAAGGTGTGGGAGTGGGGTGAGCTTGCATTCCACTGGTTAATGCCTGTCACCTCTTTCCCCACCCTAGCCCCTAGCTTTTCCCTCCATCACATCTGAGGGTTTCCTCATTGCTACACTGCCTGCCACCCTTTTCCTACTGCTCTGCCCCAACATGGACACAGTCCCTTTCCTTCATTTCTTAACCATTTCCAACATAAGGCTAATGAAGTTTTACTGTACAATGGATTTTTATTGAAGATTTGGGAATATCAGAGTGTAATTACAGCACAAATTAAAAACTTATGACAAGTTTTCTATTATCACTGTTGTAAATGTTCTTCACCTATACTCACTCAGTGTCAGCTAGGGTGTCTTGAATGCTGACATCCTAGGTGGGATCACATCCTCTGCAAGCTCACTCACTCACATGTTTGCACTCACAGTGTTGTGCTGATTCTTGGCTGAGCTCTCACCTGGGGCTGTCAGCAGCACACCTCCACGGGAACTCCTCATGTCACTTGGGCTTCCTCACAACATGGCCACCAAGTTTGAAAGGTAAACAACCTGAGAGAGAGTGAGTCAGGCAGAAACTGTATTGCTTTTGTTTACCTAGCCTCAGAAATCATGTAGCATCACTTCCACTGTGCATTCTGCTTGTCAAGGCAGTAAAAAGTCCTGCCCAAGTTCAAGGGGTTGATCCCTACTCTCCACCTATTGATGGAAAGTGACACCTTTTGGGAAGAGCTTGTAGGCATGGAGATATTGCTGTGGCCACTTTGAGAAAATGATCTCTTAAACTCATCATGGGGCATCCTTTACCAGCCATCACTGCCCTTGGCCCCAGCCTGCTCCTGGGTTCCGGGATTTTACTCTTCCTATGAAGTTCCTGTCCACCTCCAAAATTCTCAGGTTATTACTCTCAATGTAATGCCCATCTTTTGTGCCAACCCAAAGAAAACTGAAAGCGCCTACTTTTTAATTATTATTATGCAGAGCCATTTGTTTCTCTTGGTCTCACTCTTTCTATTCCCAGGTCTGCCCTTGACCTTACCTTTTCTAACTTATGTTACCTTTTTTAACAAGAGGCTCGTTAGCTAAAAGACCTATTATCTTCTAAAGCAAAATGGGCATAAACAACAAGTGGGGGCTGGGTGAAGGGGATACAAAAGTTTCATAAGTTGCTAACTTATAATAAATCCCTAAGGAGATGTTCTTTCAAAAACCTGCTTTCGAAAAAAATTATCAACAGGGGAAAGCTTCTCAGGAGGGAAATAAAAACACTTGTAGCATAAGGCTGATTTCCTAATATTAGTGAAAGACATAATGGAAGGAGTGGTCGGTAGAAAATAGTCCCCAGTTCCTGGAATCCAGGCAGATGCCATCGTCTCAATGGAGCTTGGCTCCATCATCTGTGAAATGAAGACCATGTGGTCTCAGCCACTCCCTGAGGTCCCAAACACCTGGACATTTGAGCCTTTTATTTTATACTATAAATACAAACATTCAGCAGGCATTTGCTTAGTATGGATTATATTTAAGATTTATGAATTAATTAAAATAAATTAAAATATTAATTAATATAATTACAATACATATAGATAATTAGATATAGATATACTTTTTTGCCTGAAAGTCATCACTGCAATTATGGTTGAGGCAGGGAATACTTTTCTTGGTGGGCTGGTTTTCGTGGTGATCTTTAAACCAAAGCTTTAATTTATAACAGGGTAGACTGTCTAGCAGTTTCCAAAAGCATGAGAGGTGTCCTTGGTGCTGAATTACAAGCTCGGGGTCTGATAGTCAACACCAAGGATAAACAGCTCTGCTTTTGGTGGGGTGGGGCGGAGGAGAGAGAGAGAGAGAGAAGAGAGAGGAAGGAAGGAGGAGGAGAAAGAGGGAGGAGGAGGAGAAAGAGGGAGGAGGAGGAGAAAGAGGGAGGAGGAGGAGGGAAGGGAAGCAGCAGCAGCAGTCACCACTGCCACATTCTTGAGTTGTCATTGTTTTGTCTTGTTTTTTGAAGGCAATAAGGGATGTCCTGATCAGAGAAAGCCTAGAAAGAACAAGATTCTTAAAAATCAAGCTGTGGCACTGCTGCCCAGGCCATGGGCACTCTCCAGAGTTTTTCAGGGCTTCCCTGTGTTGTCATGGGGATTAATTAGTTAATATTTATGGCGTATTTTGGAGTCACTTTAAGTTAAGCATGTGCAGGGAGCTGTGACTCAGATACGAAATTATTTTCAAAAGGGAAAGTGTGTGTTAGGGTTTGTGAGTGGTGGGGCTCTCACAGATGTCATTTCATACCTAGAAAGCACTATTTTAAACTATATGAATGACATCTTGCCAAAATATGTTCACCATTTTTTGCTAAAACATTTTAGGTTAAAACTAAATTTGCAAAGTGACATCTCAGAAGAAGAATATACTGGAAATCTAGGAAGAATGGAGTTAATAGGGTCTTTAACAGGCTTGTAACATCCTTAGACTCTTAGATTTACACTAGATGCATGCATATGTTTTATTAGCTCAAAGTAAAACTTTGTGGCCACCAGTGGTTTCTGGTCATTTATATGTAATACAAATTATGTCACCCTTGCCTTTAGTTCAATTTTGCTTTTTACTTGATTCCTTCCCAGGTGAAAAGATGATTCCTAGTTCTTGTTTTGCTCTGAAGAAGCAGGTTGGGTTGCTGGTCCAGGCTGGGCTGCCTCCCAGGTAACCACAGTGTATCTTCCAGTCGCCCACTGAAGATGCTGATGGTCTTCAAGAAACTTCTCAGATCTGAAGGAAGATGCAGGGGTTAAAAATAATATTTGTGTTGAGTATTTAAAATTACTATTATCAGCCGGGGATGGTGGCTCACACCTGTAATCCCAACATTGTAGGAGGCCAAGGTCGGTGGATCACCCGACATCAGGAGTTCAAGACCAGCCTGGCCAACATGGCAAGACCCTGTCTCTACTAAAAATACAAAAATTAGCTGGGTGTGGTGGTGCGCACCTATAATCCCAGCTCCTTGGGAGGCTGAGGCAGAAGAATTGCTTGAACCCAGGAGGCAGAAGTTGTAGTGATCATGCCACTGTACTCCAGACTGGGTGACAGAGCGAGACTCTGTCAAATAAATAAATAAATAAAATTACTGTTATCAATTAGCTGGATGTGGTGGTGCATGTCTGTAATCCCAGTTACTAAGGAGGCTGAGGCTGGAGGGTCGCTTGAATCTGGGAGGTGGAGTTTGCAGTGAGCCGAGACGGCACCAACTATACTCCAGCCCGGGTGATGGAGTAAGACTCTGTCTAAAAAATAAATAAATAAATAAAATAAAATTGCTATTATTATAGACAGGACCTTGTTTGCAAAACTACATAACATAAAGTTAATATAATTCTATAAATATAATAGACATAATGATATCATGTTGTCATATTATATTGGTTTGCATAAACTCAAATCTGCCAACCTCTTTAACTCACAAAGAGCATTCAGTAGGTGCTTTGCATGTACTCCACGCATGATAAATATTATTCAAATACTTGGATTAGCAACACGTTTTCCCTCTGGATCTCTTTTTTTGTTTCCTGTGGAATGCATGCTGGTCCCAGCGAACCCTGAAGGACTAAATGTGGCAAAGTGCATGTCTGTATTTGACATTCACATGTCAGTAACTGCCAAGTTATAAACGAGCTGCTTTTCAGAGCCTCATTTGCTAAATTGCCACATGGCATTCACAGCATATTCCTCAATAAAATACCATCACGCCCATAGTTTCCTGCGTATGTCAGAGTCTCCAGCACCTACTACCACGTCTGGCTTATGCTGTGTGCTCAGTAGTGGAAAGAATGATGGGTTTTCCTTCTTTCTACATGTTTTCTTCCATGCCTTCACCTCATGTGTGTGTGTTTTTTTTTTAAACTCTTCAAGATTCAGCTCAAATGTCACCCTTCTATGAAACTTTCCCTCACTGAGCCCAGGCGGAATTTATTTGCCCTTTTCTCAGCATCTTTTCCTTCCCTTCCTTCCTTCCTTCTTTCCTTCCTTCCCTCCCACCCTCCCTCCTTTCTTTCTCTTTCTTTCTTTCTTTTTTCTCTTTCTTTCTTTTTCTTTTTCTTTCTCTTCCTTTCTTTCCTTCTTTCTTCTTTCTCTCTCTTTCTCTCTCTTTCCCTCCTTCCCTCTATCTCTCTCCCTTCCTTCCTTCCTTCTTTCCCTCCCTCCCTCTTTCTTTCTTTTTCTTTCTTTTCTTCCCCTTCTTTCCTTCCTTCCTTCCTTCCTTCCTCCCTCCCTCCCTCCCTCCCTCCCTCCCTCCCTCCCTTCCAATGGAGTCTTATTCTCTTACCCAGGCTGGAGTGCAGTGGCATAATCATAGCTCACTGCAACCTCAGAATCCTGGGCTCAAGCAATCCTCTCACCTCAGCCTCCTGAGAAGCTGGGACTACAGGTGCACCAAAATTTTTGAATTTTTTGTAGAGATGGGGGATCTCAGTATGTTGACCAGGCTGGTCTTGAACTCCTGGCCTCAAGTGATCCTCCTGTCTCAGCCTCCTGAAGTGCTAGAAGAGCCACCTTGCCCAGCATTTTGTTTCTTTTATAAAAAAATTATTTTTATTTTGTTAAAAATTTTTTTTTGACATAGAGTCTTACCCTGTCACCCAGGCTGGAGTGCAGTGGTGAGATTTCAACTCACTGCAGCCTCCGCCTCCTGGGTTCAAGTGATTCTCCTGCCTGAGCCTCCTGAGTAGCTGGGATTACAGGTGCCCACCACCACGCACGGCTAATTTTTGCATTTTTAATAGAGATGGGGTTTCATCATGTTGGCCAGGCTGGTCTCGAACTCCTGACCTCAAGTGATCCACCCACCTTGGCCTCCCAAAGTGCTGGGATTATAGGCATAAGCCACTGTGCCTGGTCAAAAATTATTTTTAATATAATTTGTAGAGATATGGTCTCACTTTGTTGCCCAGGCTGGAGTGCAGTGGCACAATCATAGCTCACTGCAGGCTCGAATCTCTGGCCTCAAGTGATCTTCCTGCCTCAGCCTCCTAAAGTGCTGGGATTATAGGTGTGAGCCACTGCACCTGGCATCCCCATGGTAATTCTCAATGTGTACCACTTGCCACATTGTATTTTGATGAATTGGTGACAATCTTGCTGGTGTAGCTGTGAACTTCTTGAGGGCAGGGGCCCCCGATTCATTTACCAGCATATACCCCTAAGACCCAGCCCCACATGTTTGTTTGAATTCCAGGCCAGCCCAGAAAGAATTTAGCATAGCCTGTAGAACCTGTTACGGTGGGTCATATAATTTCTAGGCCAAAGTTCATTCTGAAGCTCAATTTTGGAAAGAGAAGTGTCCAGTGGCAGGAGCTGGGGGTGTGATGCGGGGAGCTTTGGGGGAGGGAAAGGTGAGGAGAGGAAGCGAATCCCAGATGCTTCCAAGAACAAGCACAGTGATGGAGAGGCAGTGCTCAGTACCCGTGATGAGGGCGTGAGTCCTCAGCAAGGATGGCCACTGGCATGTGAAGGACAGCCATCACCTTTGGCAATGAGAGAGCCTGTCGGTGGAAACTTCCCTTCTTCCCTTCTCTGGCCAAAGGTGTGGTGCTTTGGGAGCCAGAGAACGGGCAGCTGGGTCTGCTTTGAAGATGCTCCTCGGTGCTGCAGGGGAGACTGTGTATGGGGCAACCCTTGGCCCTTGGTCTGCTCTGCACCCAGACATGAATTCACTTGGCCTCTGGGGACTAACACACTTTCTTCTGTGTGCTCTACTCCCCTTGTCTGGGAGGGATGCCCACACATACCTTCTGCGCAAGTCCTGAGCTGCAGGGTCAGTGAAAGAAAAGAGAGTGGCAATCGTGCCCCAGATGTCTCTTAAGAGATAAACCCCAAATCCATTTTGAGGGCCTTTAAGAGATGGCAGTGAACTGCTGGCTTTAAACCTGTCACTCCTTCTCCCAGCCCTCAACTTCCAGCAAAATGGGTCAATTTTATAAAACTGAAAAGGTTAAATGCTGGCATCTCAACTTGGTTTTCCAATGTCCATATTCCCAGCACTCACAGACACATTTAAAGCAGGAAGATGGTGGAGAAACAGAATGGGGTGATGGTGATGTGCTGGCCTGATTTTTTTTTTTTTTTTGAGATTGAATCTCGCTCTGTCACCCAGGCTGGAGTGCAGTGGCATGATCTCGGCTCACTGCAACCTCTGTCTTCTGGGTTTAAGTGATTCTCTTGCCTCAGCCTCCCGAGTAGCTGAGGTTACAGGAGCGCACCACCACGCCTGGCTGATTTTTATACTTTTAGTAGAGACCGGGTTTCATCATGTTGGCCAGGCTAGTCTGTAACTCCGGACCTCAAGTGATCCGCCCACCTTGGCCTCCCAAAATGCTGGGCTTACAGGCTTGAGCCACCGCGCCGGGCCGGCCTGATCTTTGAACACTGTGTTGTTTCGAGGATGGCAGGAATCAAAGTCGCCCTGGTTAGTCTTTCTCCGCTTTGTTCTATTGGGTCAAACTTGAAAAAGAGGGATACCCCTTCTGGCCATTTGGGGAAGGGGGTGTGGAGACAAAAAGGGGTAGAGGAGAGAATATATTGAAAGACAAGACTGGGGAGACAGCTGAAGCCCAGTGACGGGCTCCCGGGCTCTGTCTTGCTGCCGACCGGCCGGCAGAAGGCTGGGAGGAGAGCGGCGTAAACAGAGGCATCTGGTCCCCCAGCATGGAGCGGCGGGTCCGTGAACCGTGGCAGATGCAGCCTCAGCTGTGATTGGGCACGAGGCCTCGGTGTCCAAGCCTGGGTCACGCGCAGGGCCCATTTTAACTGTGACAGTGCAGTGTCAAACTGCCATTCTTTCTTTCTCGTGTGTTTTTTTTTCCTCTGAAATCTGCCAGCTCTCGGAAGCAGCCTAGACTTAGGCCCCTCGGGTTCCCAGGCTGGAGGAGGCGAGCGGGGGGAAAGGCAGTGAGTGAGTGACGTCCAGGGAGGGACGCTGAGGAGGGGGAGCCCGAAAGCCAGTAGCAGGCAGGCAAGATGTGAAAAGAAGGGCTCTTTGGGTTTTGCATCGTGGGCAGAATTAAGCTGAGATGAGGCACAGGTGCTGGGGTTAGCAAATTATGCAGAAGGACATTTTAAGGCTTTGCGCATGAGGCGGAAGCGTGAGCTCTGGGAAGACATAAATTGTTCTTCGTCAAAACTTAGGAAGAAAGCCAGTGGCAGCTAGTTCCTCAAAAATCACTTGATATATTTGTGGAGGAAACCAAAAGAATGGAGGTGTCTTTGTAAGAGGTGCTGTGTTCCGGCAAAATGTGGCTTTGCTCTCTTGGCTCTCTGGGGTTTAATCAACACGACTACCCTCTCCTCGATGGTTGTCTTTGGGGAAGTCTGGAGGAACGGGCCCTTTTCTGAAGCTGGTGACTCGGGTGGGTAACAGTTCTGAAACCTCTTCTGGAAGCAATTCACAACACCCTGCCTTTTCCATTTCAGGGTATATCCCTCCCTCCCTCCCTCCCTCCCTCCCTCCCTTCCTTCCTTCCTCCCTCCCTCCCTCCCTCCCTCCTTTCCTTCCTTCTCTCTCTGTTAGAAAGGATGGCATTAATTTCAGAACTTGGTTTATTAAAAAACCCACACGGCCGGGTGCAGTGGCTCACGCCTGTAATCCCAGCACTTTGGGAGGCAGAGGCGGGCAGATCACTTGAGGTCAGGAGTTTGAAACCAGCCTGACCAACATGGTGAAACCTCATCTCTACTAAAAATACAAAATTAGCAGGGCGTGGTGGCGCATGCCTGTAATCCCAGCTACTTGGGAGGCTGAGGCAGGAGAATCCCTTGAACCTGGGAGGTGGAGGTTGCAGTGAGCCGAGATGGACCATTGCTCTCCAGCCTGGGCAACAAGAGTGAAACTCCATCTCAAAAAACAGAAAACAAAACCCCACAAAACAACAAAACACCCACACATGGCTGGGCACTGTAGTGTAGGCTGGGTATCATGGCTTACACATGTAATCCCAGCACTTTGGGAGGCCAAGGCAAGAGGATCTCTTGAGGTCAGGGGTTCAAGACCAGCCTGGGCAACATAGTGAGACTTTGTTTCTACAAAAAATGAAAAGATTAGCTGGGCATGGTGGTGTGCCTGTGGTCTCAACTACTCAGGAGGCTGAGGCAAGAGGATCACTTGAGCCCAGGAGGTTGAGGCTGCAGTGATCTATGATTGCATCATTGCACTCCAGCCTGGGCAACAGAGCGAGATCCTGTCTCTAAAAATCAAACAGACAAATAAACGAGCCTTCCAGGGCAGGCTTTGACTTTCCATTTGTTTTGGTTTCTTTCTGGAATCTTAGAGATGGGGGAGTGAGGAGACATTGCTGCAACCTGTCTCGGGGCATATTTTTATCCATTGGCTAAATCTGTGGCGACGAAGCCATATGTCTCACCCTTAATTCCACACTTGAGCCTTTTGGGTGTTGCGTTTCTCATTCTTGTTTCTTTTTCTCTGGTGCCACGTCCCTCCTAGGTTCATCCCAGGTTTTCCTTATTTCTTTCCATTCCTTCATCCAGCAGGAAAGGACTCATAAGCAGACATGACTTAGAAATCTCTAGGCAAAAAATACTTCCCAGTTTTAGGGGAAGAGACCGGACAAATACCCCAGTGATGGGGCATCCCGAGACCCTGGGGCTTCGACTCCCGGGGAGGTGGGCTGGGGTTATGATTGTAGTTTAAAAACCAAAACTAGGCCCGGCATGGTGGCTCATGCCTGTAATCCCAGCAGTTTGGGAGGCCGAGGTGGGCAGATCATGAGGTCAGGAGATCGAGACCATCCTGGCTAACACAGTGAAACCGTGTCTCTACTAAAAATACAAAAAATTAGCCGGATGTGGTGGTGGGCACCTGTAGTCCGAGCTACTCGGGAGGCTGAGGCAGGAGAGTGGCATGAACCCGGGAGGTGGAGCTTGCCGTGAACCCAGATCATGCCACTGCACTCCAGCCTGGGCGACAGAGTGAGACTCCTTCTCAAAAAACAAACAAACAAAAAACCCAAAACTAAAACCAAACTAATTGTATTACTTGCTGTAACCTAATTTCTATTAAGTCCAGATTGATTCCCTCCAGATGTGGTTCCTGAGCCCCTAAATCCTGTGACTTCCTATAATGACAGACTCTCCTTTCCCCTTTCTCACTGTCTCTCTCCTTAGTCCTCACAGCTTGTGTCTTGAATGTATTTCCATTTCCCTCAGATATGTATTCTGTACCTACGCCAAAGCCCCTTCCGACTCTTCCACTGGATGGTACATTTTCCCTCCGTCTCTTTTCCCTTCAGGTCTCTGAGTGTGTTTGACTTTCTCCTTCTGTGTCATCCTGTGTCTCCTCCCCGACTCCCCTCTCCAACCTCAAGGGGCTGATCAGCTTTTGGCACTCACCTCTGCACCTTTTTCTACTCAAACTCTTTCAAAACAGGGTGTGGGGGTACGCTCTGATATCCTAAACACATTCCGACTTCTCAATAGGAGAAGTTAAGCCAATGCGCCGGCTCCAGTTGTGCGTGGATAAGCCGCACCATTTCTGCGTGATGTGCAGTCTGCGACGCTGAGCCATTTGTTCTCCATTGAGTTGGTTTCTGTACAGATGAAGCCTTTTATTCATCCTAGCTATAAAGTGGCACCGGGGAGTATAATAAATGAGAAACTTTCACACTGATGTTGATGCAAAGTGCCTTTCTTTTCCAAACATCTGGCCCCTTGCTAAATCGTCACAGTGCCCGATGCTCCCTGAGCCTCAGCTCCCTGGACCGTCGTGGAGCCTGCACGGGCTGCTCGGGATCTGTTCTCAAGTTGTTGCGGGGATCCTGCCGTATGATGACAATTAGAAGCAGTTAGTGTGCAGATGAGGCCTGCGAGTGGCAGGTGGCAGGAACGGGCCTCAATTAACTAACAGGCACCAAATCCCTTCCTAATGAGGCTGGGCCACCCAGATGAGCCAGGAAGCATGTGTCACTGACAGCAGCAGAGGATATGAACTGGAGAGGGGGAAAGGGTGGTCAACAGGTACCTGGCTCAGCCACAGAGACAACCCTTTCGGTTTCATGGCTCGGAAAGGCAAATGGGTGTGGCCAGCAAAGGATGGCGTGAGGCAGAGAGCAGGGGCTTTGTCAGACTCAGTTTTGCACAGCATTTTATCTCTTTGGGTGGTTCCCTTTGGTCAGTTCACCTTCTTAACGTGTTTGGGTGAAGAGTTAGAATGCCTCCCAGGATAAGTGGTCAGTGAGAAATGGCCCAGCCAGCAGGCAAGGTATGAATGTCAGAAACTTAATAAAGGACCATTGTCTTGAGTGGAATTTGAATTCCAAATCAGACACGCTGCAAGTGTCGCATTGGGCTCTGTAGTTAAGGGCCGGTGGCCATTTCCATTGCAAATCTTCCGGAGCTTTGTGTGGATTCATCATCTGAATTTATATGGGATTGAAACTTGTCTGGCTCAGTGTGAACTTTTAAGAATTAAAAAAGAAAATAACTTTAAAAAACGCATAAAGTGTTAGCAGGGTGGTGTCGACGGGTGCATTCCCTGCTTCTTGTTCCCTCTAATCCTTCCGTCCTAAACAACTTGCTGGAAAAGTTTTGGACTTATAGAAGAAAGATCCATTGCCCTGGAGTGTGAATCTCTCCAGTTTTTCTTTTTTTTTTTCTTTCTTTCTTTCTTTTTTTTTTTTTTTGAGATGGAGCCTCAATCCCTCACCCAGGCTGGAGTGCAGTGGTGCAATCTCCGCTCACTGCAACCTCCGCCTCCTGGGTTCAAGCGATTCTCCTGCCTCAGCCTCCTGAATAGATGGGACTACAGGTGCACACCACCTTGCCAGGCCAATCTTTGTAATTTTTATTTTTAGTAGAGACAGGGTTTTGCCATGTTGGCCAGCCTGGTCTCAAACTCCTGACCTCGGGTGATCCGCCCGCCTTGGCCTCCCAAAGTGCTGGGATTATAGGCCTGAGCCACCACACCCAGCCTGAATCGCTCCAGTTTTTCTAGAAGTTGAGGCAAGTGGGGTGTCTCACCAGCTGTGCACTCATCGTTCTGCTGCGGTATGAACGGGGGTACCCATAACGTCTGCACTTTCCTGGGGCCACAGCTTTGTGCTGTGCAGTCCTCTCATTAGAAAGCCATATTTTGGCGTGTGAGTTAGGGGCATGTTTGAAACTGGTTATTTTCAATTCTTTTCCCATCCCCCTGCCCCTTCATTCTTCCCTTACAGCGCAAAAATAATGTTGAAAAAGCCCCAAAGCTTTAAAAATAAGGCACAGAGCCGGGACTGGGGATGTGGCTGTCCCTTTGGGCACATGCGTGTGATGCTGTTTGGATAATATTACGCACCGTATGTGTCAGGCTGCAGAGCTCAGAAACAATGAGGTAAACCAGGAACACACTTGGGACTGCCACACGTTTCTCTCCGTGGTTTTCTGATCCAAAGAGTATTTAATTGAACGTTTAGGTCCTTTCCCTAATTTGTTGATATGAGAACAAATGTTGACAAAGAGAATTCTCTTTTTTAAAGGGGGAAGTTTGCTAACATTTATATATCCTGTCAGTTTTATCTGTACATGTTTGTAGCTCTGTGACTTGGAAAATTAAAGACTCTATTTCAATTTTTCAGCATAAGTTATTTTAATTTTCTTGAGGATCATGTCGTTACACATTCTCCAAACCTTTTTTTTTTTTTTTCTGAAAGAGTCTTGCTCTGTCACCTATGCTGGAGTGCAGTGGTGTGATCTTGGCTCACTGCAACCTCTGCCTCCCGGGTTCAAGCCATTCTCCTGCCTCAGCCTCCTGAGTAACTGGGATTACAGGCTCCTGCCACTACACCTGGCTAATTTTTATATTTTTAGTAGAGATGGGGTTTCACCATGTTGGCCAGGCTGATCTTGAACTCCTGGCCTCAGGTGATCTGCCCGTCTCGGCCTTTCATAGTGCTGGGATTAGTGCATGAGCCACTGTGCCCAGCCTTCATTCTCCAAATCTTTTAAGGACAGTCCCCAAATGCCAGTGACTCTGTTGGGTTGTAAAATGAGAAAATCATACAAATTTCATTTTTCTATTTTCTTTCTTTCTTTCCTCCCTCCCTCCGTTCCTTCTTGTCTGCCTTCCTGCCTTTCTCTCATTCTCTCTATTTTGGGGTAAGATCCAGTTCCAAAACCACTTTAGGTCAAATATGTCTTTACCCTCTCAGAAGCTCTCCGGGGAATAAAGTCTGTCTTTCTCTGAGACATCTAACATCTTCCAAACCAGCATAAGATGTCCCCACCGTGGGTGCTGTGGCTTCTCCCAGGCCCTGTCGCACCTCTTGCCTCATGCCACCTTGCCTCCTCTCTGTGAGAGGGGTAAGGGACAGACAGTCTTATGGGAACCCACTTTATGGAAGAGGAAAGCAAGTTTCAGAGAAGTCCAGCAGTTTTCTGAAGCTTCCCAGCCCACTGTTAGACTCCCGCTGTTTTCATTTGGATTCCTCCAGAAGCCCACTCTGAGACAAAGATTCTAATGCAAATTATTTATTTGGGAGCTGATAGCAGGAAACATTGGTAGGGGAGTGGGGAAGGGGAGAGAGCCAGTAAAAAATGGGTTATCAAGCTAGTTACTGCTGTGGGAAATGAGCTCAGCTCTCTGGGGACTCTGGGGGACAGTGAAGAACAACCAGGGCTGGGCTCCTCAGTTCCCATCGTCACTGCCTGAAGCTGCTTCCAGGGGCGTGAACACTGTACCACCTCCATGGTTCACTGTGCACGCAGGCCAAATGTGGCCTCAAGGCCAGAAAAAGACCTCAGCGAAAGAAGCATCTTGAAGGGCTTTTTGCAGAGCAGGGGATATTGATGGGACATTGACAGCATCTGCTACACCTGACTTCCAGATTTCTCATCTGGTTTTGTTCTGCTTTCCCATACCCTCTGGTGTGCAATCCAGATGTTGGAGGTACCGTGCAGGAGAGAGGAGAGGTAGGGATGGTGGGTAGGGAGTGAGCTTTGGCAAATTTTCTTAATATCATACACAATGCTTAGGAAGAGAGATGCTGTATCACAGCAAGTCTCAAAAATAATTCGAATTTGACAAATGAATTGACGAATGAATAAATCCACCTCATTTTATGTTACCCATGCTTGTGGACAGGACCAGTGGTGTGGCTTGTGGGTTTCCTTCCATATTGCTAGTTAAATTTCTATGTACAGATATACATAGTTAAACTTATACGTGTTAGCATTAGAAGGGAACTCAAAAAATTGCCTGGTCCTGCAATAAAACAAGCCCTGTGGGCTAGAAAAGTGACCTGCTTAAGAACTCATTGCACATAAACGGCCTCAGCCTCTTATGTCCATATGTCCTCCCCTCCTGGGTTCTGGAGATAGACCCGACAGGAATTTCCAGCCAAATGCTCACTCTCTGTAGCTTTGCCTTCCTTCCTGCAGCTTCAGTTCTATGTCAGCTCCCTTCCTTTGCTTCTGAACCCTCACTTGATTGGCCTGGAGCTCATCAATTAAGGATTTCCAAGCTAAAAGTTCCTTCCAGCCAGTGGTGTGATATAAAAGTCTAACAACAGGCTCTCCTGAGGTGGAGATAAAAGAGAGCCCTGATTTTTGGCTTTTACTGATTTCCATGGTGTAAATACTCCCACCGTGGCTGATTTTGAGCCCCTGACAGAATGTCACTAAGCAGAGTTGAGATGTGTACATTTGGCACCTGGGCAAACCTGCTCCACTGTACCACCGCCCCCAGTCCTGCAAACCTCCAGAACTCCAAAGCTCATGGAGTTTAGGAGCTGAACTGCCCACCAAACTGAGACACCTCTTAGCAGCAAACACCTACAATTCCAGAACTTTCTATCACCCAGATCTCCTTCCTTGCAACTTCACCGTTCCCAATCCCTCTCCCCTCCAGCCCTTCCAGATGGGGGCTTGGTCCTTTCAACGCATCCACTGATGGCAGCTGCCCCTGGGGAGGGGAGAAGAGGCGAGGAGAGTTCTATCTCCCTCCTACCATGTGGCGATCAGTGGATCTGCCTGTCAGCTTTGTCTCCTCCAGCCCATTTGGTGTCTGCTGAGGCACCTAGACCCCACCCCCCAAAAATCTTCCTGCAAGGTATGTCTTTGTTCACTGGAACAGCACTGAGATGTGGTGGAGGCGATGCTGACCCTGCTCCTACTTTCTATTTAACTCTAGGGGCTCCTTGCGTTTACAGCCAGGCCCGGGCCCAGAACACCTCCTCAAGGAAGCCTTGTATGACTTCCCCAGGGTTTGCTGTTGCTGTCACAGACTCATGTTCTTTTCCACCAGAGCCTCTTCCTCATTCGTTAATGTAATAATTTAATTGACTGTTTCCTGCACTAAGCTCTGGGAGAGAAGAGTCTGTGTCCATTTGGGCTCACCGGGGTGTCACCAAGCCCTAGCACATATAGCCGTAGGCCTTGAATAATCTTTGTGTCATGAATAAAAGAACTGAACTGGGGTGTTATGGCTCTCAAGTAACCATTGTTCTCAAGCCTGCCTGAATGTTAGAATAGTCAGGGATCCTTTTTTTTTTTTTTTTTTTTTTTTTTTTTTTGAGACAGAGTCTCCCTCTGCGGCCCAGGCTGGAGTGCAGTGGTGCGGTCTCAGCTCACTGCAACCTCTGCCTCCTGGGTGCAAGCGATTCTCCTGTCTCAGCTTCCCGAGCAGCTGGGATTACAGGCGTGCACCACCATGCCTGGTTGATTTTTGTATTTTTAGTAGAGACAGAATTTTGCCATGTTGGCCAGGCTGGAGTGATCTGCCTCAAGTGATCTGCCCACCTTGGCCTCCCAAAGTGCTGGGATTACAGGTGTGAGCCACCATACCCAGCCGGAATGCTTAAAAAAAAAATAACATGCTGGTCTGGGGCAGGTCTCCAGCATGTGTAGTTTGTAAAAGCTCCCGAGGTGATTCTGATGCGCAGTTAGGGGTGAGATGACTGCTCTTGAGGAAGGGCTCTGGGAAATCTTTAGAGTGGTTTTCATACTTGACTTCCATGTCAGGACCACACCCTAGCTCAGAATCTTTGAGGTTGGACCCATGCATAGGTATTTAAAAAACATCTCTAGGTAGCTTTAATATGCAAAGTTGAGAACCACTGCAAAACATCTTATTTCTCTTAAGCTTTCCCTCTCTCTCTCTCACGCTGGGAAGATTAGATGACCGTTCAGAAATATTTGCCCCTTTCCCCTCCCCCATAGCTGCCCTGCCATTCGGCTTTGGGTGCGCCTATGGAATTTGGGTGACTTTGTGGCTTTGGCTAACGGGCTATTAGTGGACCCAACTCAGTCAAGGACCTTGGAAAGTACTTGTGGGGTCGGGCTCTCTCCCTTGTGCTTCTGCCAATGCCATGATAGGAACATATCCAGTCAGCCAGTGGGTCCAGGAGGATGAGAGACACCAGGATCAGAGGCGCCAAGTCCAGATCAGCCAAGACCAAGCCAGCCCTGTAAACATGCAAATACGTGGGTGATGATAAATGACTAGTGTTTTATGCCACTGAGGTTTTGGTTCATTACACAGCAATAGCAAATGGAAAAATCAACTTTTCCACAGTGGTTTAAATATTCACCTGGACTAATTAGGTGGTCAGTTCACTTTTGCAGAGCTTTTATAACATTAATTTCTTCACTATTTCTCCAAGAAAATAAAGATTACAAGAGGAGAGAATTTCAACTAGTTTATCTCCAAGTCACACTTTTGTGCATCCCATAAGTCATATTGGATAACGCTCTCCAGTTGAGTTCACTGGTTGGGGGGCTGTGTGACCTTGGGCAAAGAGGATCACAGGATTACAGAACTGGCACTATCTAAGCGAGATGTCATTGTTATCACACTGGTACCTTATTTATTTAATGATTGTTAAAATTATTATTATAACTTATTCATTTTTAATTGTTTTAGAAATAGGGTCTTGCTATGTTGCCCAGGCTGGCCTTGAACTCCTGGCCTGAAGCAATCCTCCTGCGTCAGCCTCCCATGTAGCTGGGATTGCAGGTACAGGTCGCAATGCCTAGCCACGCTGGTACTTTACATAGTCATAGCTCTACAGTGGCATCAATATGGCCCTAATGTGTTTAAACAGTAAGGCCCCTCTTCCTTGTATGAGCACCAATCACTCATATATTTGTATTTTACCCCCGTCCCAAATTAAAGGGCATGGTTAATCAGGACCTTCGTTAATTTTGCTGGAGTACGTTTATCTGGAGATTGTTGACAAAATGATTTAACTTTCACTTTATTGTGTCAGATACTATTGACAATTCCTTCTCCCCAAATATGAGTAGAATGAAATAAAGACTCCAAGTCACATACAGACACTTTTATCTTTTACCTCCCTGATGAACTCGATGTACAAAGTCCTTTCCACCCAGACTGAGGGAGGGTGTCTGATGGGGGCCTGGGTTGGGTCTTTGCAGCTGTCATTTGGCTTGATGTAGCATCTCCTGGACAAACTGGATAGCTGTATCTCAGCTCCCAAATGGGCTAATCACAACTTGGTGCCCAGACAGGGGTGCAAGGGTAGGCTCTGGGGTGGCGTCCTATGAACTCCCTGAGCTTGAAGGCAAAAACATGTGCATGAGTGTGCACTCACACATACATGTATGTGCTATTCTGGGAAGAAGGTTTGTAGTTTTCATTAGCGTCTCAAAGAGATCAGTGACCTCCTAACCACCACTCTTGTGGAAAGTGCAATGCAAAGGGGACGCCTACCCTCTAAGCAATACTACACTTCCCACTCCTGTAAGTCCAGAGGCTCTGAAGATGAGGCATAACATCAGTAGTGACATTTACTGAGCACTGACTGTGCTAGGCATGTGAGGTGATCTATGTGCATCACCTCTGTATGAATGCCATTTTATAGATGGACACTCTGATGTTTGGAAACCGGGACCATCTGACCCTCAGCTCAAGCTCTTAACCATTATGCATAGAGCCTCTTTATTAGTGTGTTTTCATGCTGTGGATAGAGACACACCCAGACTGGGTAATTTATAAAGAAAAAGAGGTTCAGTGGACTCACAGTTCCACATGGTTGGGGAGGCCTCACAGTCATAGCGGAAGGCTAAAGGCACTTCTTACATGGTGGCAGCAAGAGAGAAAATGGGAGCCAAGTGAAAGGGGAAACCCCTTCTAAAAACAACAGATCTTGTGAGACTTATTCACTACCATGAGAACAGTATGGGGGAAACCGCCCCCATGATTCAATTATCTCCCACTGGGTCCCTCCCACAACACACGGGAATTATGAGAGCAACACTTCGAGATGAGATTTGGGTGCGGGCACAGCCAAACCATATTAGCCTCCAACAGAAGAGCCCCAGAACACACAATACTGGCCCCCAAATAGATCATACACCAATTGAAATATGACGGCAGCTTGCAATCTAAATACCAGTCTGCCATATTCAATTGCATTCCCCCAAATTAAAGGGGGAGGAAACGTAACAAAAGGACATGACAGATCCAAAGTTGTCTGTTCTGAGGACACCAGTGCCAGGTCTATTTATGAACCTAGAGTTTGGGAGTAATATTTCCCATTGTGGAACTCATGTGTCAAAACCATGCTTGGGCTCAGCAATTAGGTGCAATATCTCTTTTTTGGTGCCAATAATTTTACAACTCCCTCACAGATGATTTTTAGAAACTGTGGTAAGGGCTGAGCGCCGTGGCTCACGCCTGTAATCCCAGCACTTTGGGAGGCCAAGGCGGGCAGATCACGAGGTCAGGAGATCGAGACCATTCAGGCTAACACGGTGAAACCTTGTCTCTACTAAAAATACAAAAAATTGCTGGGCATGGTGGCGGGCGCCTGTAATCCCAGCTATTCCGGAGGCTGAGGCAGGAGAATGGCGTGAAACCAGGAGGTGGAGCTTGCAGTGAGCCAAGATTGTGCCACTGCACTCCAGCCTGGGCGACAGAGCAAGACTCCATCTCAAATAAATAAATAAATAAATATAAAAATCGTGGTGAGCACGGGCTTCCTATGAATCCACTGCGTATCTAATGATAAGTTTAGGATGGGAGGAAAGAGACTTTGGTGATGCACTCAGACACTCCGCTGCAAAAGATCCTGCTCTGTAGGGAAATATCCACCACCATGCAGTCACCTCTTTTCCTGGAAGAGGCCATCTGAATTGCACCTGTCTGTTCTGGCAGGAAGTGAGTCTCAGGTTACCACCTGCCGGGTCCCACCCCAGGTTCCAGCCTCTTAATTGACTACCTCTTCCTTTCCTTTTTCTGCATCTCCAGTGATTTTTCTCTTTCTTTCTTGATGTACCCTTTCTGATTTCTCTCTTGGCTCGAGCCCAGCTTCCACTTGCTCTGATGAGTTGAGAACTCCATGCAGAACCCAGACCTTTGCCAAGCAAACCTCCTGCCCTGGAACTTCCGGTGGATTCTGTCCCCCTGTCTTATTTTGTACTCCTCTGACTGCGGCAGGCACTCATTTCAAAGTCATTTTTGGAAAGAAGTAAGTATCAATACATTCTGTAAATAAATAAAAGCAGCCCCCACAGGGGTCCAGGACTCCGGGCTCTGGGCTGTCCTTCTGCCTCTGTGGAGGCCTCTGCTCATGCTGTTGGTTTCCTTGGGTCTCGTCAGTCCCCAAGCCCTGCAGAAGGTTTCCCATTTTTCCCACTTCTAGCAACTAGAAAACACCTCTGAGAAAGTCTTTGGGGATCTGGAGTGTGGAGTGGGGTATAGAGCACTTTCTGAGAATGCCTCTTAAGCTATGACCTCAAGAAACCAAATTTGGTTTATTCACAAACTCATTCATTCAAAATTCTTAAATCATTGAATTCATAAATTCAATAATTCAACAAATATTAATTGAGCACCTACTATATGCCAAATCTATAGCAGGCACCAGAGTAAAGAGGTGTCCAAGGGGGCAATCTCTGCCTCAAAGTACTCCCAGTCTGGTTGTTTCGCTGGGGGGGTGCCAGCCTCCCTGAGGCTGACACCCCCTGAACTGGGTGAAAAGTGTGTGTCTTAGTGACACACAGAGCTGGCTCCATTGCTTGGCTCCGAGGCTTATTTGTTGAGTTAATTTGGGTGAGTCACTTCATCTCTCTGAACCCCAGCTTCTCATCTGTGAAGTGAGGGGCTTAGAACCTACCTCGGAGACAAATGGATCCCATGTGTGCAAGGCTTTTGCCCCACAGAGTGCGTGACTGAGGATCACCACGTCCCACGAACCTCTCCTCTCCCCAGGGTCCGTTTTCATAGCTTCCATGCCCACTGCCTTCACAAACCTCCCCTTCCTCCACCTCTCCTTTTCTTGACACAGCCATGGAGGGGCATTCTTTCCACACACCTGGCCTCGGAGGTACATTTGCATAGAACCTCAAGTGCCTTCCTACCCTTTTCTTTCTCTTTCAAACAACTTTGGTGTTCAGTGACTCAGTCCTAGGCTCTTGGGACACAAGGGGTCCCATCCTCCTCGGGGGTGGGCCGGGTGTGGTCTTGTGGCTTGTGCCCTCCCTGGCTGAAACGTTGGCTCCACACAACTCCACGGCAAAGCAGGCCACATACATTTGCTGCAGAGCAATGGGGATTCTCTTTGTTCCTCTCTGACCTGCCAGGAGGGCCTGTTTTTCTGAGCCTCCACAAAGTCAACTCCTCATGAGTCCTCAAAGTGCTCTTTTTCTGTGACAATGACCAATGCTTACTATAGAATGACTCTGCTTAAATCGAAGCCACTAATTTAGGTGCATGTGAACAACTGCTCCCACCCCTAAGATTAAAATACCCCACTAACTACCGTAGCCACTCTGCCTGGGTTTCAAGTATGTATTTTCAGCTTCCGTTACAACCCTAGTTCTTCCTCCCTCCCTCCTCGCCTCTCTCCTTATTCCCAGCCTCTCTCCAAATCCTCTCTGTTCCTTTTAGGCAGTGCCTTCCCACATGCTTTCCAGAGGCCAGGTTGAAGGCCGAGAGAAAGGCAGTTAATTAATTACAAAACCTAAATACCAACGCCTCTGCCGTCATGCGAGGGCACGCGGGGTTAGAACGCCGGCGCTGCCTGATGCTCCGTGGTTCTGGGAGCGTGCTGGGTGCGAAGCTCCGCACAGTGGCTGTGGTTTGCCGCGCTCTCTGCTGTTGCTTTCTTCTGCGGGTGTGCATCTTCCCAGCGCTGGCAACACATCCTGCATTTCTGCCAGTGCTTACATGTATAGTGGTGACTTCTACGCTTGTTCTCATTAGGAAAGGAAGCACTGCTCTCATGTAGACTAACTTAGGGGACAGGACAGTGCATTGATTGAACGAGCCTGAGTAGGGGAGACTGAGGAGTATCTGGGCTCAGCCTCCCCTTCCTCCCAAGAAGTCAGAGTGCACCTCAGATCTCAAAGTGCGAGGTCCCACCGAGGTCAGGGCTATGTCCTGCTTATGCTTAAAAGGTGCTTTGCTGTCTTCTGCAAGACACCCAAACGCACATGCACTCACAATTTCCATGTGGATTTCTGGCTCTGCCAGCCAGCAACTACTAAATAATATGGCAGCTACAGAGCCTCACTGTTAAATGTGGCAGCTCCAGAGCCGAAGCCCTGCCCCTGTTCCGTTTGGTGTGGTGAAGCCTCCGAACTACTCCTCAGAATAACATTTTTAAATGCATAAAATAAAATACTCATGAATAAAAGGAAACCAATTATATGGAAATATAATGCTGAAAATATTTTACAGATACAGATCTGTGATGCAGAATTATGCAGTTATTTGAAAGCACATTAAATAACAAGATTGAGTGGCAAGTCTAGCAGATAAAGTAAGAGTGCAAACAGTATTTCAGGAGGTCTCCAACAATTGTAACACAACTTGAAAATGTCAGCGATTTGGACTGGTGAGGAAGGTGTAGGAACTGCAAATACCATGGTGGTTTGTGCCCTACGTTCGTAATCAAATTCAAATGTTCAGTTAGTGGGTAATGCAAATGAGGATGTAATTTCTCCCCATGTAAGTTCAGGGACCCCATTTTCAGCAATGCTTGCTGAAGAGGGAGGCATTAGCCTACTGGGAGCCATGGTTTCAACGTCAGAGTCACAAAAGCTGGCTTTCTTCTTTTCCTTTTTTTTTTTTTTGAGACAGAGTTTCGCTCCTGTTGCCCAGGCTGGAGTGCAATGGCACAATCTCGGCTCACTGCAACCTCCACCTCCTGGGTTCAAGGGATTCTCCTGCCTCAGCCTCCTGAGTAGCTGGGATTACAGGCATGCACCACCATGCCTGGCTAATTTTTTGTATTTTTAGTAGAGACGGGATTTCACCATATTGGACAGGCTGCTCTCAAACTCCTGACCTCAGATGATCCACCCACCTCGGCCTCCCATAGTGCTGGGATTATAGGCGTGAGCCACCACGCCCAGCCAAGCTGGCTTTCTTTTATTTAATTTTATTTTTTGAGACAGGGTCTCACTGTGTCATCCAGGCTGGAGTGCAGTGGCACAAACACAGCTCACTGCAGCCTCTACCATCTGGGCTCAAGCCATTTCCCGCCTCAGCCTCCCGAGAAGCTGGGATGACAGGTGCACACAACCACACCTGGGTAATTATTATTATTATTATCTTTTGTAGAGACAGGGTTTCACTATGTTGCTTAGGCTGGTCCAGAACTCCTGGGTTTAAGCAATCCTCCCATCTCGGCCTCCCAATGTGTTGGGATTACATGCATGAGCCACTATGCCCAGCCTTAAAATACTAGTCTTAAATTCCATTCCCACCACTGGCTGCTACATGAGTCTGGGAAAGTAATAGCCTCTCTGGGTCTCAGTTTACCTGTTAGTAAAATGGAGACAGTAATAGCAACTACCTAATAGGGTTGCTGGGAGGCATGAATGTGTGGCAAAGCCCTCTGTAAGCAGTAGAACCTCTCTGTGAATGTTCTTTTAATTGCAAAGTAGAGTTTGAGCCTTTCATGTTGAGAAGGGCTAAAAATTGAATCAACACTTTTAAGTGCATTGCTCCCATATTTTCTGCCAAAGAGTTTTGAGCTCCGATGTTTTCTTTCCTTCCACCCCAAACCTATCATTTATGTACACAATGGATTCCTAGGAAGCCGGCCCTCACCACAATTTTTAAAAAACACCCATGAGGGAGTTGTAAAATTCTTGGCACCAAAAAAAAAACACATTGCCCTTAATTGCTGGGCTCAGGCATGGTTTTGACAGTTACAATACCTGGTTCAACATTGCTGCTAGCCAAAAGTCACCCGTTAAACATGTTTTCTTAAACAGTGACTGATAAGTTGTTATCTTCCAGCTTCTCCTGCTAATTAGACATCATGAGTCAAAGTTAATTTGGTGGAAAATGTTTCTTGACTTAATGACATTTATGGGCAATTAGGCACGTTGTGGAAGGGAACACACATTTACATTTCAGCCTATTTCCAGGCCTTAACAAGAATCTCCTCTTTCCCGGTTGGAGATTTCTCATTCTCTGAGGAATATGTTCGATACAGACACCACGGGCCTCCTTGTTATGCTAGAAACCAGCAATTGTTTGCACGAAACAAGCTACCACAGAGTAATGAGGTGCAGACGGAGATAAAATTAGGCTCAGTGAAGGCCTTTGTGTTGTTTAGACCTGTGTCTCCAGGCAAGAAGTCCTGGGCTGTGCGCACAGTAAAAATCACAGCCAGACTCACAGCATCGATAAATGTGCCAATCACATAGTTCTCAGACTGTTGTCAGAAATGGTTTCTATTTTCAAAGTCAAAAAACAGCTAACCGGCCGGGCACGGTGGCTCACGCCTGTAATCCCACCACTTTGGGAGGCCGAGGGGGGTGGATGACAAGGTCAGAAGATCGAGACCATCCTGGCTAACACGGTGAAACCCCGTCTCTACTAAAAATACAAAAAAATTAGCCGGGCGTGGTGGCGGACGTCTGTAGTCCCAGCTACTCGGGAGGCTGAGGCAGGAGAATGGCGTGAACTCGGGAGGCGGAGCTTGCAGTGAGCCGAGATCAGCCACTGCACTCCAGCCTGGGCGACAGAGCAAGACTCCGTCTCAAAACAAACAAACAAACAAAACAGCTAACCCTCTAAAAGACAGCATTCTTAACTTATAAGATAATGCATATCTGCTGTTGGGCATCTTTCGCAGGCCAGCAAAACCTTTTTGATATGTCATTTTGTCATAATGAATCGGCACGGCCCCTCGCCTGCACCACCACATGGAAATCCAGCTGGAGGTTCAGTGGAGCAGCAACGGACACGCTGCGTGCTTCAGCCCAGCTCAGCTTCTTGGAAACGAACCATCCACCTGCTCCTGATTTTAACCAGTCTCCCATTCTTCACAGTCACCTGACTTCTGTTTGCTCACTGTCCTTGAACTAAATGTGCATGATCTTCCCAGATATATTCTTTTGAAAGAGGAGAGTTTGTATTTATGTATTCTGTGTGGTGCCTCACACACAGAGATAATAAATGGTGGTGAATCGACCCTCTGCCTTGCTGCCAGGATGGTTTCTGGGCATAGAGAATTGAGGGTGAAGTAGAATGTTTTATTCCAGAAATTCCAAAGCAATTCAGTGGGCTAAGGTGCTGAATCAGGACTTCTTACAATGAGCCAAATGCCCACCTTGAACTTGGGTGCCAGGAATTCACGGTTTTGTAAAACCAGGGTGATAAGCCATGTCTGGATGTCTCCAGATTTGTGAAATTTTTATATACTGCCTAAATATTTTAAAAATTTATTTTTACACATTTGCATTACATGTAAAAAAATTTATCATTTTCTGTGTGGTTGAATGGTAGAAGAAAACTTCACATAACAAATAATAAGTTTGGAGAATATTCTATAATTTAAGTGTTATGAGCAAGTTTCCTAAGGAAAAACAAACAAAATGAAACTGTCTAAATATTTTAACAACCATTCGTTATATGTAAATATTATAAATAATATACACATATTGAAATAAGAGAAATGTAAACAATAAAATAATTGATGAGATAAAAGCTCCTAAAATCAGCAAAATAAATAATGCTTTTTTTTTTTTTAAGACAGGGTCTCGCTGTGTCGCCCAGGCTGGAGTGCAGTGGCACTATCTCAGCTCACTGCAACCCCCACCTCCCGAGTTCAAGCAAATCTCCTGCCTCAGTCTCCCAAGTAGCTGGGACTACACCTGTAGTCCCACCACCACACCTGGCTAATTTTTTGTATTGTTAGTAGAGACGGGGTTTCACTGTGTTAGCCAGGATGGTCTCAATCTCCTGACCTCGTGATCCTCTCGCCTCGGCCTCCCAAAATGCTGGGATTACAGGCGTGAGCCACCGTGCTTGGACATAATACTCCGTTTTAATAAAACTTCCCAGGAGACAAATATGATTTTTGTGATTGCTTGAATAGCAATGGAGAAGATTACAATGAAATTAGACCCCTGTCCCCCAAAACCAATGCAATGATGGATTGGCCCCATCTCAAAGGAAAAGTCCACCTAGAAGACCCAGAGCAGGCTGGGGACCTGTTCTCAGTGACCCTGGGGGCCGGGTGTTGGTGGGCAGCTGTGCCACTGAGGAGTGAGAAACGGTGGGCTTGGCCTTTAGCTGACCACTGGGGTGACCACTGTGGTAACTGCACGGGGCTGCCAGAAAAATGACGTTTTGAGTGGTGTCTCATCTAGACTGCAGGTGCTCACTTACACCTTGCTGGCTGTGTGGTTTGGGGCAAGTTACTAATCCTTTCTGTGTCCCCTCTGTCTCTGTATCTGTCAAATAAATATAATGATTGTACCTAGGTAGTATGTTATGAAGATCAAGTGAGCTTATATTTGTAAACTTCTTGCAGCAGTACCTGGCATATCTCAGGCAGCAGTCGCTGTGATAACAGTGACGGCTAGCCCTTCCAGCAGCATAGTCTGCAGATACCAGTTGTGCTACATACACCTAACAGGGAAACAAGAAGATCTGGCATTGAGTCCTGGCTCACCACTTGATGTTCAGCAAAAGCCTTTAGCTGCCTTGAGCCTCATCCTCCTGCCAGGAGAATGGAGCTAATGACACCTCCCTTACAAAGTTATTGTTAAGATTCAACCAGACCTGCATCCTGTGAGCTGTGGCGCACTCTCTGTGGGTGGCATTGGAGCAGGTGGGCAAGAGGGAAGCATGGCTTTGACTTGGGCTTTGCCTTTGACTGGGGAGCTGACTGCAGCCTCCATCTGGGTATGGCCTCTGGACCACATGCTGTTCTCTCGCCTTTCCCACCCCTCTCCCCCGCGACAATATGCTAACTGGTGTCCTTCTCTACAGGATCCCGCTTCCTGCCAGGTGACAGCAAGATAATCCAGCCACACACTCCTTGCTAATGGGGATTAGGGTGCTAATGGATTCTCCCTCTAGGTTAACATATGCACTTTTACAGAGGGGCCTTCTGGAGATGATGCTGATGCCAGAGAAATGACTCTAATGGGCCAAGTTTGGACGCAGTGGGAGGGACCCTTGCAATGGGCCGCCACGTGCTGTCAGTCAACCCCATTCGCCTCTACATAAAAAGCCTGCCAAACTCTTCCGATGAAGCCACCCCTTCACTCCATTCTCTGTCATATCAATGAAGAAAGTTTTCCTTGGAGGAGAAACAATATATCTCTTAGTCCATTAATCAGTTAATCTGTTATTTACTGACCACTTTGTAAAACCATAATGATAATCATCATTTATTAAGCACCTACTACACACCAAACTTTGTAGTGTTTTATGTATTTCACTTCATCTGGTTTTCACAACCATCACCTCCCCACCTTACAGATGAGCAGACAAGCTTTTTGATTTTTTAAAAATTATGACAAAATACATGTAACATAACATTTACCATCTTTCTTTATTTTTTATTTTTTTAATTTGAGACCAAGTCTCACTCTGTCACCCAGGCTGGAGTGGAGTGGCACAATCTCAGCTCACTGCAACCTCTGACTCCCTAGTTCAAGTGATTCTCCTGCCTCAGGGTCCCGAGTAGCTGGGATTACAGGTGCACACCACCATGCCCAGCTAATTTTTGTATTTTTAGTAGGGACGGGGTTTCACCATGTTGACCAGGATGGTCTCGATCTCCTGACCTTGTGATCCGCCAGCCTTGGCCTCCCAAAGTGCTGGGATTACAGGCGTAAGCCACCACGCCCAGCCAAAATTTACCATCTTAACCATTTTTTAAGTGTATAGTTCAGTGGCATTAAGAACATTCACAGCCAGGCGCAGTGGCTCATGCCTGTAATCCCAGCACTTTGGGAGGCTGAGGCGGGTGGATCACCTGAGGTCAGGATCTCGAGACCAGCCTGACCCACAGGGCGAAACCCCATCTCTACTGAAACAAAAATTAGCTGGGCGTGGTGGCACTTGCCTGTAATCCCAACTACTCGGGATGCTGAGGCAGGAGAATTGCTTGAACCAGGGAGGTGGAGGTTGCAGTGAGCCGAGATTGTGCCTCTGCACTCCAGCCTGGGCGACAGAGCGAGATTTGGTTTCAAAAAAAAACAAACAAATAAACAAAACGTTCACATTGCTGTGCAACCATCACCACCATCCAGCCATACAAAACTCCTCTGGTCTTGTAAAACTGAAACTGTGTACCCATTAAACAGTAACTCCCCACTGCCTGCTCCCTTCAAACCCTGGCAATCACCATTCTACTTTCTGTCTAGGAATTCGACTCATCTAGATACCTGATGTAAGTGGAATCATATAGTATTTGTCCTTTCGTGTCTGGCTTATTTCACTAAGCATAATGCCCACAAGGTTCATCCATGTTGTTGTATGTGTTGGAATTTTCTTCCTTTAAACGTATATCTATGCTACCTTTTTTTTTTTTTTTTTTTTTTTTGAGATGGAGTCTTACTCTATTGCCTAGGCTGGAGTGCAGTGGTACTGTCTCAGCTCACTGCAACTTCCACCTCCAAGGTTAAAACGATTCTTGTACCTCAGCCTCCCAAGTAGCTGGGGCTACAGGTGTAAGCCACCCCACCTGGCTAATTTTTGTATTTTTAGTAGAGACAGTGTTTCACCATGTTGACCAGGTGGTCTCAAACTCCTGACCTCAGGTGATCAGCACCTGGCCTACATTTTGTTTTGATGGACACTTGGGTTACTGCCACCTTTTGGCTATTGTGAATAGTGCTGCTCTGAACATGGGTGTGCAAATATCTCTTCAAATCCTTGCTTTCTATTCTTTTGGGTATTTACCCAGAAGTGGAATTGTTGAATTATATGGTATTTCCATTTTCAATTATTTGAGAAACGGCCATACTGCTTTCCCTAGCGGCTGTACCATTTTACATTCTCACCTATGGTGCCCAGCGGTTCCAGTTTCTCCCTATCCTCACCAACACTTGTCATTTTCTGGTTGTTTTGTTTTGTTTCTTATTGTAGCCCTTTTAATGAGTATGGAGGAGACGAGCTTCTGATTGGATGCTAAGGGGCTGTAGTCAAGCTTCTGATTGGATGCTAAGGGGCTGTAAAGTAGTCAAGCTTCTGATTGGATGCTAAGGGGCTGTAAAGTAGTCGTGTCCTCGCGCCCTTGTGAAATAGTTACAGAGCCTGCTACACTATTCCTTTGATACAGAGAACAGTAAGTCACAGCATATAAGCAAGGGTTAGATGGAGCATCCAGAGGACGATGGCAGGGAACAAAAGAGAAGTCCTGAGAAGGATCGTGGGACCAGACCAGGCTTTGTGGAAAGCATGGGGCTGAACTGTGCCCCAAGGGTGCAGAGAAGGTGGGGAGTGTGTTCCAGGAGAGGGGGCCACCGGAACAATGGTGTGCAGATGGAAACTGGTCCAGCTACTAAACTGAGAGGGACAAAAAGAACAATAGCGTTGACAGGGATACGTGGCAAGACAAGCCTATTTCACCTGGACTTTCCTGCTGAACTCCAGACCTTATGAAAGCTCTGATAACAGCTGGGACATCTGGTCGTGCAATCCGTGGTGAGGAAGGAGAATCCAGGCATTCTTTTAGCCCAGTAGTGAATTCGAGCGATGCCAGAGGGGAGTCATCTTGGCAGTGTGATACTCCCAGGGAGTAGGAGTAGGAGGATGTGGCGTGGCGGGGGCTGTGAGAGTGCCTGTGCAGGCTGCGAGGGGTGCCAGGGTGGCACTGTATACACACTGAAGGACAGGTCCAATAACCAATACGGGGTGTCTGTAGATTCTGAATGCATAGAAAACAACATTATGATTATTACTTTACAGACTGGAGATGGCTTTAATAATATTATATATATTTAACTGTTTCTGGACCTTATGAACATCATGTATGTTAAGGTCGATGAGGGAACCAGGTTTCTCATCAATGAAGAAGGGAGTTACACATGTGGAAGGGAAAAATCCTAGAATAAGCCCTTTGGTGTTGGACTGGAATTGGAAGTGTCAGTGTCAACTCGTATATAAATGTAGCCTAGTTCCGTTCACTGGGAGGGCCTGGGAACAGTGCCACCCGGGAGCAGACAATACATCAGTGCTCAGATCTTGGTTCCTAAAGTCCCCACTTAAAGGAACCCAAACTCCTTGGAGAAATGGTCAATTCCAAGGCTGGATGAGGAGTCAGGGAAAGTACAAGATGAAGCTAGAACGTCTTGTGCCAGGAAGTAAAGAAGGGCTCAAAGAATTATAGGCACATGTCCGGAGAACCCAGAAGCCAGAGTGAAGGAGCTCCTACCGGCCAGAACTGGGATAATTGAGGCATAAAAATGAATAACGATAGGAGCAGAGTATCACCTGATAAGTAAAATAAGTACGCTTGAGTTCCTACCGATATAAACAAACAGATGAATGTATAAGTGGAAAAAGCAGAATTCTAACTAATATGGCGGGGCACAGTGGCTCACAACTGAATCCCAACACTTTGGGAGGCTGAGGTGGGAGGGTTGCTTGAGCCTAGGAGTTTGAGACCAGGCTGGGCAACATAGTGAGACCCTATCTCTACACAAAAATTACTAATTCCAACTAATAAATATTAGGAAAGTGATGGAATTAGAAAATCATTTATTGGCAACCATCATAATCATCCAACGAAGAAACACTGGTGGATATTAAAAACAGTGAGTGAAGTCTGATGAGGAATGGGATATTTGCAAAGGCTCACGTACCTCCCCACAAGATCCTTGTATGTTACAAAGGGGGAAAAAAGTAACTTTACAGCGGAGGCACATGGACAACATCACCTTCATTATTTCGTTTACATGTAAGTCACCAGGACTGGGGTAAATTAAAATTGTGTGCCACTTGGCCAGATACAAGATGAACCCAGCATCACTTCTATGATGATGTTTCTGCCAAAGACATCCCTGACCCTCATAATAAGGCATCACCTGAAAAACCTACACTAAGGAACATCTACGGAATAATTGGCCTATTATTGTCAAAAGTGTCAAGGTCATGAGAGATAGAAACTGTTCTAGATTGAAGGAGACTAAAGAGATGGGACAACTCTGTGTGATGAGCAATCCTGGATTGGGTCCCTTGCCTATAAAAGTTTAGTGAGATTGAAACAACTAGAGAAGTGTGGATGGCATTTGAGAATGAGATGATAGTATGTACCGATGTTAATTTCTTCATTTTGGTGGTTGTATTTAGATCATGAAAGTGGGTGACTTTCACAATCATAGGAGATACACATTAAAGTATTTTAGGGTGATGGGCATCATGTCAGCAACTTATTACTCAAGTGAATTAGGAAAAACAGGTCTTTGCATTATTCTTGCAACATTTCTAAAATTTTAAAATTATTTAGAAATCAAAAGGGAGGCCGGGCACGGTGGCTTACACTTGTAATCCCAGCACTTTGGGAGGCTGAGGCGGGCGGATCATGAGGTCAAGAGATCGAGATGAGCCTGGCCAACATGGTGAAACCCCGTCTCTACTAAAAATACAAAAATTAGCTGGGCGTGGTGGGATGTGCCTGTAGTCCCAGCTACTCAGGAGGCTAAGGCAGGAGAATCTCTTGAACCCGGGAGGCAGAGGTTGCAGTGAGCCGAGATCACACCACTGCACTCCAGCCCGGGCGACAGAGTGAGACTCCATCTCAAAAATAATAATAATAATAATAATAATAATAATAATAAAATAAATAAGAAAAATAAAAAAGAAAAAGGGAAATTATTTTGTAAAAATCTACAAGTTAACATGTAACATCAGAATCTGGGCCCAATAATGAATGGGTCAAGCAAAGGCATATCCCCTGGGGAATGTGATGACCCTGAGTGCTCCAGGCTGGCACTGAAGGGCAGTCCTCCCTTGCTTTATTTCCAAGTGTCAGGCATGTTTTTATAACAGGGTAGAGTTGTCTCTTCTTTTCACATGGATGACCAGATGGTGCTCCCCGAGAGTCGAGAGCTGAGGTTATGTCCATACCTACTGGGGTAGCGGGAACAAGTTGCCTAGAAAAGCCACTGAGAGATCTCTATCTACCTGCAGACTCTGTGTATAGTGAAGACTCGGTATGTCCCCCAAAGTTGAAGAAAAGGCAATGGGTATATTCTGTGGGGTGCAATGTGTCTTACTGGGCAATAGCAACATGGATTATGAACAATAGCTCCCACCTCACCCAGGACACTCGACTCACTGCCATGGGGATTCTACATTTGTTTGGAGAAGTAGAGGTGCAGCTGGAAGAAGAGGAAGTGGGAGCATTATAAAGAGGGTTATAAAAGGTTTTTTGAGCAAGGCAGAGGAAATGAGACTTGATGGAGCAGGCACGGAAAGTCATTGCTGATTCCTGAATAGGGTTCAATATATTGACAATGGCATTGAAAGGGATTAAGAAGCCTGACCCTGAGCAGTCTGCTAGGCTAACCCTTATTTTCCAAGGGAGAGGGGGTGGGCATTGTCAAATTCTCTTGATTAAACAAGTTGATTCAGAATGAATGAATTAACGCATTTTGGTTGTTGTGAGAATTAAATGAATGAACACATGGAAAATCAGCACAGTGCTGAGAACAATACATGTTAGACACAAAAACACATGGGAAGCCCCCAAACTAGAGCTGGGCATATAAGAAGCCACTTCCCAAACGTGCCGAAAAACTCTACCCAACCCAAAACCCAAGCATCTAAAGATACGGCATTGGCCACTTTCTCCACCATCACTAGTGCTGTGGCCTCTTTATTTGCAATGGTGCTTTCTCTCCAAGGAATTCCAAGGTTCTTACAAACTTTAAATTACCCAGGGGAAATGAATCCTCACAAGCAAGAAAGCAAAATAAAGTGCCTCAACCAAAATAAACTCCCTCCACCTCTCTGTCTCCCTCTGCGCCCACCTCCTCACCTAAAATAACCCAGGTCAACTCTGCTCGCCTGCTCTGTCGTCGCCCGTGCCAGCCTTGGCTTCACTCCTGTCATCAGCTGACCCAAGATGATTGCTAATGAACCCTGTGCCCTCTCATCAGCAGGGTTTCTTTGGAGAAGTCCAGAAAGGTGCTTGAAAAAGGCCAGTGCCTCTTTGTTATTTTAATGACCGCTCTGTGACTTCAACCACTTAGAATCCAAATCCATCCTGTTTGCAGGGAACAGGATTCTCCTGTCGCAATGTCTGATCTTGATGAAGGCTTCTCGAAGCTTTGGATCTGCTAAGATCACACACAGTATTGGTGGTTATTGGTTTCTTGGGAGAAGCAGCTCCCCTGATGATAAAACTCCCACAGAGAGACCTGACTTCGCCAAGACCAAGTTCAAGACAGAGGGATGGCCGTGAGACTTGAGCTGGGATTGCAACAGCTGCTCTCGATAGTGTGTTCAAAATTCTATAACTGGAGATGGATGATACAGATATGTCCATTTCCAGGTTGCCAGCGGTTATCTGAGACACCCCAGTACCCTCTGGGTTTGCAACCCTCTGGCCAGTAAGGGGCGCTGTTGATTGAGGGACTGTGGCTGGAAGCTACGAGGGGGAAAAGAAGTGACCAGCAGATGTGGTCTGTGTTCCTGGTTCCTTAGAGACTTCCCTCTTTGGAGGACGATCTGATTAGAGCTGGAAAACTCAAACAAGCGGCTTCAACCCCAGCAGCCTCACTCTGCTATGTACTCTCGGAACAGAAACCGATCCCCACGGCAGTCTTTTCTCCGGACTGTGCAGAGGGCTCCAGGCCACCACAAGAGGCATCACTGTGATTGGTCCAGGCTGCAAACTGCTGCGTGCTTGTCCCATTTTCCTTCACTATTTCGTGTTTATTTATCTCTGACAACGATCGTGGCTGCATCTGATCCTTTCTTGCGGCCACTGTCACTACTCCCCCATACTGAAATCTACCAGGCACTTGGTTTGATAGACTACTAAAATAGTTAACGAAAGTCCTCAAATTTTGTGTGTTGGGGAGGCAGGAGACAGAAAAAATAGAGAAAGAAAATAATCTGAAGATATTGCATTCCATATTTATCCTGCGTGTCATGGGACCTATATTTGTAATTGCGTAATGTATACATATATATATATATATATAAAACATATATCCAAAAAAAAAAAAAAACCAAAAAACAAAAAAAACCTCTCCCAGGCCCCATTTTGCTGGAGTTTTAAAGACAAAGTGCCTCTGTGCTGAGACAGGAGCTGGGAGGCACTGTGCCCAAAGGCAGGAGGTTCATTCCTGTGTCGAGCTCTTCCCCTGCAAGCGAGGCCTGTGTTCGTGGGAGGGCACTTAGAGACACCCTCAAGAAAGGGCTATAGAAGTGCAAATTATTAATAGACATTATTCCAGTGATGCTCACTTAAAACCTCATTGGCAGCAGATGAAACAGTGGAGGCCTCTTGCCATTTGCTCGGATTTCTCCTGCTGTTCTCCCTCGAACGAGGACTGCAGCAAACATGAGATGTTTGAAAACTCAGCATATCTGCATTTTTTCTGGTTTTATGGGTCAAGGGAGGGAACGCTGGTTTTGAGGGAAAGGTGCATTTTCTTGAGTTGGCGGTGAACAAGTTAAATGAATACTGTCCCCCCTTCTTTTTTTGAGGTTATATTTAAAGATAAAAGTGTCCCTATTAACATGCAGATTTGGATATCCATTTGCAAAGAACAGAGTTATTTCAGATGCTGTATGGGAATCCTTTTTGTGCTTGTATCTTTGGGGGCGGAAAGTCCAGCTGCCTCTTCTAAGATTGCCCATAACTCTTCAGATGTCAACAAATCATTGAAAGGTGTCAGAATGGGGGAAATGAAAGATAATTATTCCAGCCGTGGAGAGCTACTTTGAAAGTGAATAGAATCTGTCAGATCGTCTTTTGAAAACGGCAGTTGGCTGCTTGTCTTGGCCATATTAAATGGATATATCTGGAGCCCAGTGAGGTTGTTTGAGATGGCAGTAATCAGCTTAAGTTGGTTTTGGTGGAGAAAAAAAAAAAGCACTAGAAACGGGGCAATTACTGAGTTGGCGTGGAACAGACGCCCTGATATGGTGATGCCGGGGATTTCTATTCAGTTCTTAAAAAAATGGAATCTTACATTCTTTGTGAATGAATAAAGAGCAAAGTCCATAAGGACTTGGTAATTTCCAGATGGGGTGGGTGTGGGGCAGCAGGGGAGCCTTCAAGGGGATCCTGTGGCCTGGATGAGTGCATGGGCCACACTTGGAAGAGAGGATAATTCAGTTTCTTCCCAGGGACTGAACTGGGAACCGGAGGACAGACAGACCTTGGCTGAATGAGATGGATGTGGGGTGTTGATGCCAAAATGAAGCCTCATCTGACTTGGTTCATGTCCCCAAGTGGCACAGCAACAAGGAAGCAATTTTGGACAAATGTCCAGCTTTATATAAAAGTAGAGTTGTTCCTGCTTCCCCTTATCCAAAGCCAGATTCTGGGGAACCTGAACTTCCCAGTTTGTGGAAGAAACATCAGATCCAACGTAGAGAGGGTCAGGAGAGGGATTGCCTGGGCCTTACTTCCCCCAGACCTCAGACCTAGACTTTAGGTGCTCTCCCGGAGTGCAGCTGCGCATAAGGTCTCTAGAAACATAGTCCATTGCTTGCACTGGGCTCACACGCCAGGTCACGCTGACATGCATGATGAAAGAGGGTTTTTTTTGTAAGCCCTGTAGTTGTTCTGTGGATAATATAGCTGGATTTTCATTGTGTTTCTATGTTAGAAGTAAATCTTTAAAATAGATGACAATTTGCCTATTCCTGTTAAAGCATTTCTTCATTTGCTAACATAATGCAAGCCCCCTGTGGTCTGCGCTGCTGGCTCTGGGGGAACAGGGCAAAACAAGCTCTTCCGGTCACAGGAGCTTGGGCCAGATGGCTGGGTGGCTTCGCAGTCCGTGGCACGAGTCTCCATGGCTCCTGACCACAGACACTTGCCTGCCACCAAAACAAGGAAGAGCTTTCCTGCCCCACCTCTCTTTTCATATTTGGGGCCAGTTGGGTGGGGAGAAACCTTACCACATGCGGCCTGTGTACTGCAGTCTGGTGGGGTAGCAAGGTCCTGCTGTGCACAGGTCAGGCCCCAGGTGTCCTCCTGCCCTCCACCCGGCCACTGACATTTTAATATTTAGAAAACCTGCCCCAAACAGGCAGCTCTTCCAGCGGGGGACCCTGCTTGCTACCAGGAAGGAGGGTGCATTTGGGGTACCTGACCCTCTGCTGCGTTTCTGCAGAAACATGCCACCCCCTTCGGAGTTTTGGCCAGGGATTGTCAACCTCTTGCCGTACCAGTGACCGCTATCACAGGAGAAGCACCTTCTCAGAATTCCAGGGGCTTGGCAAGCGATATAGCCTGTTTTCTCTGCTTTGCCAATAGATTCTTCATTGTCCTGTCCTCCTTTGCTAAAGGGAGGTAGGGCAGTACAAAATTTTTCTGATTCAACATGTGTGGATTCCACATTAATTCTTTTTTTTTTTTTTTTTTGAAACAGAGTCTCACTCTGTTGCCTAGGCTGGAGTGCAGTGGCACAATCTCAGCTTACTGCAGCAACCTCTGCCTCCCAGGTTCAAGCAATTCTCCTGCCTCAGCCTCCCAAGTAGCTGGGATTAATTAATAGGCCTGCACCACCACACCTGGCTAATTTTTGTATTTTTAGTAGAGATGGGGTTTCCCCCATGTAGGGCAGGGGGGTCTTGAACTCCTGGCTTCAAGTGATCTGCCCACTTCGGCCTCCCAAAGTGCTGGGATTACAGGCCTGAGCCACCAAGCCCAGCATGATTCCACATTAATTCTTACCCACACATTTTTGAGCCCATGGCCAGCCCTGACACACTGGCTTTATCCCATCGGATGTAAGATGTGATTGGTCGGCTCACTGACCTGTTTATATTTGTTTATATATTTTTTACTCATCGAGGGTCTCCCTGCAGGGGTCGGTCTTCAAAAGAAGATCCAATGAGGACTCAGAGTGTTGGTACCCAGGCTTGGAAAGGTAAGGCCCCTCTGACAGTTTCTCTACCTCAGCTTTTGTTTTCATTGGTCAATGCCGACATCATTTGGGATGAGTCACTCCTTTGATGGCAGCTTCCTCAGGGTACTGGGCTCTGCACCCAGTGCCCAGGGACCCTGGTTCTGGTTGGCTGGCCTCTGTCAGCAGTTTCCTGATTGCCCTTGGGTGAGTTGTTTGCCTTGAATGGCTTCTGGGTGATTTTGTATAAGAAAAAATCTCTTTCCCCTTTAAGGCATATAAGAACTTTGGTCACAGGGCAAAACAAAGGAAAGCTCTATTTGTCAGTGGCTGGGTGGAGGGCAGGAGGACACCCGGGGCCTGACCTGTGCACAGCAGGACCTTGCTATCCCACCAGACCGGAGTACACAGGCTGCATGTGGTAAGAAGTTTTCTCCCCACCCGACTGGCCCCAAATATGAGAAGAGAGGTGGGGCAGGAAAGCTCTTCCTTGTTTTAGTGTGAACTTTGTTCACAGGGCCAGGGTCACCTGGGAGCTGGCTCTGGGCATGGCGGGGACCCCATGACCCCGTTCTCCTCATTCTCTGGCAAACTGCCACACAGTGATAAGTTTCAGAACCATAAAAATGTGGCCAGAAGCAAGGATGTGGGCCCAGAGTGTCCCCAGAGCCACCACATTCAAGATGCAGGAGGGTTTTTACCTAGTTCTGATACCCCAGAGGAGGACAGAGTCCAAAGCCAGCTTATCCTTTTGGGTCACTCATCTCTTCTCAGAGGCCAGAGAGGACAGACACAGCCGTCTGCATTGCACAGAGGCTGGGGAGGGGTGAGAGGCTCTGTCTATGGGGCACCAACTCTGCGTGCGGTTAGACATTCAGCACGAGGCATAAAGCCTGTGTCTATGACCCCCTCTGCTGTAATGATGGGGCATTCCTTCAACAGTGAGAATTTATGTGGGACACTTTTACTTCTTGCCAGGCCCATCTTATAAGTTATTGTTTCATCAGTGTATTCATATTATCTGTCCTGAATCTTTTCCTATTTATTAAGAAATTTTACTTCTGCACTTGTGGAAAGTTTATTTTTTAAAAAACTTTATCTACTATCTTGACCCTTAAACTGTAAAGATTTCCAAAATGGAAAACATGAGAGAGAGGGGAAAGTGAGATCTCATTTATTCGGGAAATATTTTTCTGAATACTCCATAAAACGTTCAAAAACATGTAAGGAGGGCTGACTTAAGAGTCCAAAAAATTGGGTTCTAATCCCGGTCTCACTTTTCTAGCTGTGTGACCTTGGGCAAATTACTCAACCTCTCTGAGCTTCATTTCTTTCTCTATGGAAAGGAGAGAATAAGATACGCTTCATTTCGTATATTATCCAAATTAGCATGTGTGAAAGAATTTGTCAAAGGTAAGAGACTGTATGTAGGTAAAGCACTGGTATTAGTAATAAAAACAAGATAAACGTACAAAAATGACTTGGGTCATGGTTGCTATGACTTACAGCTGATAATAAAGTAGCTATGGGAAAAAAAGTCATGTACTTTCTAGATCACAGACAAATACAATTATATTTTAGTCGCAGAAAATAGAGCCAAACATTCCACTGGCCCCAGGGTCCCTCTCCACCTGCGAGGTGGGAGGACAGCGTCTGGTCAGCTCAGGGCCTTTAAGAGCAGTGCTGACCAATTGGAAGGCAGAAGAGTCTCTTTCCTCAATCTCATTGGTTGCTAGAGGTGTCAGTCATGGCCTGCCCACCCACCGCCCCATAATAGGCTTAAATGGCTGCTGTCTATACCACCTGCTGATAATTTTTGACTGGTTTTCCTAACTTGAAAAGATGAGTGGGACCCTCTAAATTCTTCTTGTGGGGATTGGAATTGGAAGAGTGAGAGAATCAGTCAAGTGAAGGCAGGTGATACTGCAAAAGGACATGTAGGGTGCAGGGTACGGTGGCCCATGAGGGCCATGTGCGAATTGCAGGAGTGGAGCCAAGAGGATGGAAGAGGAACCCAGAAAGAAATGGAAACACTATCCGGTGAAAGCAGTGGGGGAGGGAGGGGTGTCTCAACACTGAAACCAGCTCCAGCTTTGCCACAAACTGCCCCGGGGAGGGGAGCCCTGTGTCCTTGGCAGGAGACGCCATCCCATGGGCCAGGGTCACCTGGGAGCTGGCTCTGGGCATGGCGGGGATTTTTTTTGTAGATTTAATGCCGTCTTGTTTAAATAACTGCCTGTTCCTGCCTCAGCATTTACAAGCGAACCTGCCTTTGTTCCATGGCCATAGATCCTACCCCAGTCTGCCGTGTTGAAAATGCAGATCGGGGTGTGGGCCGAGAGTGTGGCTGCTGAAGCACAAACCCTCCTGTTGCGGGGGTAACTCAAAACCCGAGCCTACCTGGGTGGGTCCCTGAATCCTCAGAAATACAGACTACACCATGCTGTCCCTTCTGCGTGAAGGGCAGTGGATAAATAAATTAGTTGTATAATAATAATATAAATATTATTATAGCAACAATAACAAAACAATAGCTAGATTCGTTGTGCCTAGTATGCAGTAGACACCAGGCTCTGTGTTGTTTTACATCAGCCCTGTGAGGTAGATAATCCAAGAATTTTACAGAGAAGGAAACTGAAGCCCAGAGATACTAAGTGGCAAAGTTCCCCAGCCAGTAAGTGTAGAGCTGGCCATAGTCGAACCCCAGAGCTCAGCTCTTGAGCACTACATTAGATGGCTTGTATTGTTGCAGAACCAACAAATCATAAACAATTAAAACCCCACAGATCGGGTAAGTCAAATCACTCAGCACTTCCACATTATATTTATTTTAGCCACAGACTTCTTATGCCATGGTAAGTCCCTTAAGGGAAGGAATTAGTTTTTCTCTTTGGCTGTAACTCCCTCAGCCTTTGGCGTCAACACCTTCTCACAGTGGGCATCCAGGAAGTTTTGCTGGCCAGCTCTTCTTTCCTGCTCCCTTGTAAAGTTCATGTCCCCTATGCCAAGGAATATCAGCAGCCTGACAATGAACAGTGACCAGGAAATGTATTTTTTAACTTGTGGTACCCATGGTACTTTAAAGTCCAAAAGGATTATGACTTTTTGGTTTTAAAAAACACAAATGCCACCAAAGGGAATTCTATAAAAACGAAATCCTCCTCTTTTCATCTTCTGGATGGCATGGCATGCATTCTTCTAGATAATTCTATTTTTATTTTTACTTTTTTGACACAGGTTCTCACTCCATTGTCCAGGCTAGACTGCAGTGGCACAATCATGGTTCACTGCAGCCTCGACCTCCTGGGCTCAGGTGATCCTCCCACCTCAGCCTCCCAAGTAGCTGGGACTACAGGCATGCTCCACCGTGCCTGGCTAATTTTTGTATTTTTTGTAGAGATGGGGTTTTACCACGTTGCCCAGGCTGGTCTGGAACTCCTGGGCTCCAATGATCTGACCACTTTGGCCTCCCAAAGTGCTGTGATTATAGGTGTGAGCCACTGTGCCCAGCCTCTTCTAGACAATTTTATATAGAAACATACAGATATAGATGTAGTTATAGGGCATGTTATACATATGGCTCCCATCATTCTTTTTAACCGATGCACTGTAAGTTATTCAAACAGTGCTCTATTGATGGAAACTTAGGTTATCATGTTTCATTTTTGGGAATAATATAATCAACCCCCTTGTACATATGTTCTTGCACACTTTGAAGGAATAGCTCAGTAGCATATGGTCCCAGAAGTAGAATTCCTGGATCAGAGGGTGTAAACATTTTACATGTTGGTAGAGACTATCAAATTACTCTCTACAAAGGTTATTTTAACTTGCTTTGCCACCAACAATATATGAGAGGATTTGACCTTGCCCTCACATCCAAAATGTGTATTTCTAAGTTTAATTGGATTCGCATATGTCCTTAGCTGGACTTCTTATAGGTCCCAGATTCCCAGGGCTGCATTTGTTTGCATGGTTGACTGTCACCCTGGGAGCAGTTTTCCTGCTGAAATTAACCAGGATTGATGGAAATAATACAATATCTGCAACAGCTTCCACATTTAAGCATTAAGGCAAAACCAAAATGAAACAAGCTAACAAAACAGAGGTGGAGATTTGTGAGTAAACAGTGAGTGTTTTGCATTGTTCCAAAAATATAAAGTCTAGAAGGTTTTCCATATGGAAATTTCCACTAGCTTTGATATCCTGGGAATACTTTAAATTTCTACTGAAAATGTCTGGAGGAGTTATATAGATGGTAACTGAAGCCATATCGTCATGTCCTGTTAAATTGATTTACATACCTATCACAAAGTTTGGACTGCCAAGGGCCCATAACTCAGTTTACAGTTGGTTAAATATGGCATTTGTGATTTTTTTTTTTTGAAGACAGAATCTCGTTTTGTCACCCACGCTGGAGTGCAGTGGCAGGATCTTGGCTCACTGCAACCTCCACCTCCTGGGTACAAGCGAGTCTCCTGCCTCAGCCTCCCGAGTAGCTTAGATTATAGGCACACATCACCACGTCCGGCTAATTTTTGTATTTTTAGTAGAGATGGGGTTTCACCATGTTGGCCAGGCTGGTCTCGGACTCCTGACCTCAAGTGATCTGCCTGCCTTGGTCTCCCAAAGTGCTGGGATTACAGGTGTGAGCCACCATGCCCAGCTGGCATTTGTGACAATTTTATAAAGAGTTGTTTCCTAGGCTCTGGGTCCAGTTTGTGTTCTCTCAACTAACTGGAAAAAATCAGCTTTCATAATTTCAACCAAACAGCTTCATTTCTAGAAACCCACCAGTGTAAGTGCAAAGATTACTCCTAAATTATTTGCAAGCAATTAAAATCTTGGGATTAATTGGAACTGAAGCAAAAGGAAAGAAATCATTTTAAGATATCAAGCCATCCCTATGACTTTATACTTAAGATACAGCAACTGTGCATTCTCATTTTTTAAAAACAAATGACTATGACTGCTACAGAAATAACAATAGACAATTTTGGCCATTTTCATGCCTCATGAAGAAAGCTCTACCTCAGAAATAGGAAGAGGATAAGCCCACTAGCAGTGCAGTTTCTGATCCAACTTTGCCAAATAATTTGGCAAGGGTGAATGCTAAATGGTAATAATGATAAAAATGTTACTTTTTTTTTTTTTTTTTGAGACAGAGACTTACTCTGTCACCCAGGCTGGAGTACAGTGGCTCAATGTCTGCTCACTGCAACCTCCGCCTCCTGGGTTCAAGCGATTCTCCTGCCTCAGTCTCCTGAGTAGCTGGGATTATAGGCATCTGCCACCAAACCTGGCTAATTTTTGTATTTTTAGTAGAGACAGGGTTTCACCATGTTGACCAGGCTGGTCTCGAACTCTTGACCTCAAGTGTTCCACCCGCCTCGGCCTCCCTAAGTGCTGGGATTACAGGCATAAGCCACTGTACCCGGCCAATAAATGTTACTATTATCAAGGGTCAATTTTTATTTAAATGAGTGACTGGTATTCTGGAAGCTGTTTTCCCACTGAAATTCCAGGAGTCATAGAAACAATGTTACCATTATCTGTTATCATTATGGTAAAAGCTTCCATTTATTAAACCCTCACTATATATAAGGCATTATGATAAGCATTTCTCATCTATTTTCCAAATTTAGTTTCTGTGAAGAAGGAAATGTTATCCCTTTTTTACACCTGAGGATGGGTGCTGAGCAGTTAAGTAGTTTGTGTGAGATGACAGGGCTGGCAAAGTTCACGTAGGAATTCACCCTCCCCTGTCCATCTCCAACAAGGTGCTGCGTGTGTCATATCTCAGGTGGCTCTGGCCGCAAAATGGTCCAATACCTGCTTGCACGGGGAAATCACTGAGGGATCGTATTTTATAAAGCATCCTGTGTGCAAAATGTTTTATGCATAGGGGTGGGTTAGGGTTTCTCGCTCTGAAAAACAAAACAAACAGGAATTGGAACAGGTGGAAGGCTTAAGCCGAGCCAGCTTTTTGGTCTGTTCTTCATCATGTCTCAATTTCTGTAATGAAATTTTCCCACCAAACAGCCACACAAATGCCTTGGTCGTGGAGACTGAATTGGGTCTTTTCCGGAGAATGACACTTCTTCCATTGAAATGGCCCCTTTCTTGGACAGGGTGCTGGAGTGTGTGTGTGTGTCTGTGTGTGTATGTCTGTGTGTGTGTGTGTATACTTGTTTGCCTCGTGAAGCGGGCATTCAGGTGGCGCAAGGCTGAGAGTGACTTGTTTGGCTATTTGTGAAGAAGCTGGCAAACTTGGGCCTTCTCCCTGGCAGGGAGGAGAAAGGGCCGCTTGTTTCTGAAATATCAGCAAAAAGGCTGGTGCAGGTGGGGCCCCCATCAGTGAAAAGTTGTTGGAAGCAAAGGCTGCAGGTGCTGCCTCGGGAACACGGACGTGTGCTTCCTGGGTAGGGCGCGGGAGAAAGAGGACTGCCAATCGCCAAATAGAACCACACTGTTGTCCCAGGGGTGAATGAAAAAGATGTTTCAGTGCTGTGGACGGATCTGGATGGTTTGCCACGGAGGACAAAAAGTCTCCTATAAAATTCCATTTACATAGTCCTATCTCACTTGGGCTTTTGGTGACCAGATTCAATTGTGCTGGTGTCCCCTGTGCAGTGTGATATCATAGCTTCAGAGGAAGGCTTTATTTAGAGGTCACACTAGTTTGTCCTGGGGATGTAGTCATTTTTTGTGTCACGGACAATGTTTTACTGTGGAGATATGAGCCAGATGGCTCAGCCACTTGCAGTCCGGAGCTAAACAGTGTCTGTATTGTTGGCGAATAAACAGAATCTATTGTTTGCTGCTCATGAAACTCTAGTGCCCACCACTGTTTAGAGATGAAGTATTTAATAAATTGTTAGGTCTCGCTTAAAGAATCTGTAAAACAACATCTCAGAAGGACACAGGCCTCCAAAAATATAAATCTCATGTGTTCTTAAAAACAGCAAGAACAACAACAACCTTTCTCTTTGGCTTTCTTCCTTCCCCGCCCCCTCCATCTCTTGAGGCCATTCACTCTTACAGTAGTGAAGGCTCTGATTTTGTTTCTTTCCCATGGCAATCCATATGCTAATATGAGCTGTAACCCTTGTGCGGGGTGGTGGGGGGACAACGTGACGCTTGTGCTCGGCCCCCTCCAATTTTCTCACCCCCTCCAAGCCATGGCTACCTATTTGCCAACACTGAACAGAACAGTGGAGCCTTATGGGGTAGCACGTGTGTCACGGAAATGCGGTTTGGGGATGAGCTTCCTCCCTGCTTCCTGAGATGATACTCTGAAGATAAAAGGTGTAGTGTCTGGCAAGCTCCTCTCACATGCTGAATTGGCCTCACTCAGTGGGGAAATCTGCTCACTCACCCCAAACAACAACAAAACAACAACAACAAATAACACCACAGCACAGCAACCTGGAAGGACTGAAAAATATTTGTTTCCTTTTGCAGAATGAGTGTAGAGTGTCACTTTCTGAGCATTTACCACTCTTGGCCTTCCCCATCTTTTTTTTTCCAGCATGCATCTTGTCTTTCTAAATAAAGCACACTTTTCCATTTAACTTCGCCCAGCTGTGGCTGGGTATATTGCAATGTCAGAAGTATTCGTTTCCTGCCTTAATTGCAGCCACAGCCAACCTTGACTGGCAAGGAGAAAGCCACTGACAGGTTTGGGCTGTGTCCAGACCTCCTCAGACTTTCTGTCAGCCAACTGTTTGACAGTATATGCAAATGCATGCAAATGCAGGGACACTGGCCGAACACCTGCAGAAAGTGACCATCTCCACTCAGGCTTGGCCTCCCCTGTAACTGGGGGTTTTGAAATGCTGCTTGGTCGCTTTCTGTCAGTTTATTATGCATTTGTCAGCAGAACGTTGGGCTGATAAAAACACTCCTCTTTGTCCTGAAGAGCCGCAGAGCTCCATGTGGAGCTGCAAGTGCCAGGGCTAGTGGGATGGCTCCTGGCCAGCCCTTGTGAATCCTCCCCTCTGTCTGCAGGACCCGAGCGGCAGCATCCGAACTCTTGTGGGCTTGCCCGCATGGAGGAAGGCCTTCTGTTTCCCTGGGTGTAAAGATGTAGGCTCGATGGTGGGGCAACAGAGCGAAAGGCTGGCTCTCTCTAGCAGCTGGAACTTGGCGACTTTGAGGAATAATATGTCCTGGATTTTCAAAAGCCAAAGGAAAATCTGCCCGGGCTGTCAGGGAATTGGAAAGGGGGAGAGGGCCCGCCACCTCAAGCAGGAATGGAACTGCCAGCCACACACACCCCCTCCAGACTGTGGGAAGACAGCCAGGTGGCACGACTCCGGCAGCCACTTGCCGCCCGGCCATCTCGGCTCCCATCTGCTTAGGCCTTCTCTCACTTCCCACAACTTCTCTCTTTAAGAGGTGCTAAGACCAGCCCGTCAGCTGCGATTTAAAAGTGTATGTGAGACTTGTGTGTAGTTTTGAGTTTGGCCTTTTTGAAAGTAAGGCAGGTGACCTAAGTATCGTGGCTCTAAGACCGTGAAGATCGGTGGACCGGACCCAGATTCTGGGGTCTTCCTCGAGCCATCAGTGAGGGAGAAGTAAGATAGGGACACTGCAGACTGGTGTCCTGTGTGGTCCTTAAACATCGACCACCAGAACCGGGGGAAGCATTTTGCATTTCTTTGTGCAGCCAGGCGTTGGTTCTTCAGAGTAATAAGTCATCTGGGAATGGTTGTGCAAAACAGGTCTTCGAAATCTCCCCATCCTCTCTACTTAGAGGTTGGAAGCGCCTTGAAATCTGGGCAACTTCTTGTGTATTTTTGGGAACCTGAATATACACAACCTAAATATAGGAGCTTGGTGTCTTGAGTATAAATCTATAATCAACTCTGGCAAAATCTGAGGAGTAAGCAGGTATTGCTTGTAATGAAAAACCGGGCTGGGCATGGTGGCCTGTAATCCCAGCACTTTGGAAGGCCGAGGTGGGAGGATCGATTGAGCCTAGGAGTCAAGACCAACCTGGGCAACCATTTAGCAAGACCACATCTCTATAAAAAGTAAAAAACTTTAGCCAGGTGTGGTGGTGAATGCCTGTAGTAGTCCCAGCTACTAAGGAGGCTGAGGTGGGAGGATGGCTTGAGTCCAGGAGATCGAGGCTGCAGTGAGCCATGATCATGCCGTTGCACTCCAGCCTGGGTGACATAGTGAGACTTTAAAAAACAAACAAACAGCTGATATCAGTGTAGACTGCTGATCCAAGTCATTTATACTCCAAAATGGATTGTTCTTTGGCCTGAGAATCATTTTGCCATTCATGCAACTAACATCAGTCAAATAATTGCCTACTGTTTCTTGTATATTAAGAGAAGTGAAAAATCATGGTGAAGTCTCTTGAAATGTTTGACCCTGCAGTCTTTTCTCTCTCTAGAAGGAAGAGGCTGATCTTTGGGCTTTCCAAAAGCTGCAGTTCTGGGACCTGGGGGAAAATTGGAGTGCCTGGCTTCCAAACAGGCATAATGGCTCTCTGCAAGACCAAGTATGTACAAACATCCCTTGAGCAGCCCTGCAAGCCTGATGCTTCACCAATGGGCACCCGGGCTTCATAACTGCTGAAAATCATGGTGTTGATTATCAGCACAGTGACGGTGCCAGGTGCTGCGGAATCAGTGAGTTTTCTAATTATTGCTTTATTGCCAAGGGAGAAAGGGGCAGCTTAAACTCAGAAATGTATGTATTAGGTGCCTGTTAAGTACCCACAATGAGCATCTGCTGTTATGGATAAACTGAGGCACAGTGGCATCAATAGAAACAACTCAGGGCATACAGTAGACCAAGGCCATTCATTGTTAGCACTAGGATCCCAAAGCCCAGGTGCCAGTGCCTCCACCTGCCTCCGGTTAAATATATCACACAGTACGTGCAATGAGAAAAACTCTTGCTGGGACCAAATATCCACAGAAAATCGGGGGGATCTGCATATCAATGATAAAGGTGATTTGAATTAGAAATATAGGAGGCTTCAAAAAGGGACAGAGACGTGATGGAGGAGGCCTCCAATCAGGCCCTCAGTTCCTTTGAGAATCCATGAGACTGATACTGTGTGTGGTTGTCATAATATCACCAAGGAACGAAAGCGGGAATTTCATCAATGGAGATTTTAGACATTTTCCTAACCCCAATGTCTGGCATAAGGGTGATTAGATCCCACTCCTCTGTTCAGAAGGCCAGTGCAATTTCTATGGGTATGGTACCAGTTTTGTTTTACTGATTGGAAAGAGAGTTTGATCATACTAGCAGTAATTCATAATGTATGGGCATCTCTTATGCAAATGAGCCCACTCTTTGCCTTAAAAAAAAAAAAAAAGTCCGGAAAGAAATAAAATGCTACATAAATGGGACCGCTTCGTTTCTCTCCTGCTTGTTCTTTCCCTCTTTCTCTCTCTCTCTCTTTTAAAAAGTAAACCGAAGGTAGTTGTATTTAAGCAGCTTTAATGTCCTTTCAGGGCTGCGCACAGGGTTGTGGTCACTCAGGCAGCAGTAACTTTGAAAAAATGACCCGTCTACACCCAAACAATAACAGAATCCCCCTTTTTATGTTGGAAACGCCCACGGCTTTCTGTGCATCTCCAGACTCCCCACGTAGATGCAACTGTTTGACCAGCCTTCTACTGAACAACTTAATTAAGCAAAAGAAAACGTGTCAGTTTCTGCCAACCTCACAAAAACAGAGCTGTGGGGGTAAAAAGGGTCGGCGAATTAACCCACATTCCTGAACGGGTTCACTAAAGCGAGGCCTGGCTTTGCAGCAATGCCAAGGGGAACCGTGCGCTGGGTTGCCATTCAGATTTATCAAGACATATTGTTCTGTAGATCATACTGAACACAATTAAAGCTGCAGTACCTCGGGGGGCTACAGCTCGGGTGTGAGCTTAGCTTAACTTAAAAAAAAAAAATCTTGTCACGACACGGTGCCTACCATTGACATTCTGCACAGTTACAAAGACAAAACAGTTCTATCCGACCATATGAAAACAGCAAGTTGTTTTTAGTTTTTTCCCCTCTTTAGTGTCCCTGCCCTCCCTCTTCCCCCGTTTTCCCTCTCCATGAAAGCACATGCAATATGCAAAGCAACTGTATACTCTGCATGCAATTTGTACTAGCCAGACCCAACCCGAATTTAATCCTTTTTTTTTTTCTTTTTGTCCTGAGGGCGGGGAAGTGTCCCAGCCTAAATCCTTCTCTGGAAGCTGGGAAAGCAGAGGCCCCAGGAATCCTGTTTCCTAGCCAATTAAATTTAGTTTTCTTTTTTTCTTTTTTTTCAGGCTTGGATTTTGATTTTGCTTCCTTTATGTGAAGCCAGGAGAGAGCTTAGCGCCCAGTACTCCGTGCCCCACCCCCACCACATCGCAGCCTCCCACAGTCACCAGGAAAAGTGGGGGCTTTCAGCGGCAGCCAGAAGGAATTCAGAAACATCACATTTCATTTCGGGAAGAATTGGATCAGCACCAGTTTGGTGTTGAGGCCATGAGATTGTGGCATTTTTATCCCAAATTTATCCTCCCTTGGTCTCTCTCAGTGTGTGTGTCTGTAGGAAGTCATCGTGTAGCATTATGCTATGAAGAAAGCATCCCACACTTATTCAATTGCATCGTCCCACATTCTGGATCGGGAGACACAGACTCAAGTCAACCTGCAGCTGCCTAATTTTGCAGGGAAGCAGCCATCCTGATGTTTGCAGGTTGGAGGCCTCCAAGTGACACACATCAGGAAGAAATGGGCTCTCCAATCCCAGATGAGCTGAAACACAAACGTTTTCTGAGGGAACAGTCAGGAGTCCTATCTTTCTGAGCCCTTTTCGATGCAAGCAACCATTGATGAAGAAGCATTTATGCTTGATACCTATGGCAGGTGTTCTTCGGTGTGGAGATGTTGTCAATGAAAGATTCAAAAGTGGTTCAATTATCAGAAGACCCTATTTGTTTGCTTTTGCCCAGCTTTTGTTTGCTCTGTCACTCAGGGAGAATATAAACAACTTTGGCGAGGTAAGATGGAAAAACAGCCGGTACGGAAATGTTCGATGGACAAATGAGAGGACTTGGCAGAAGTTTGGCTTAGAAGATGAATGATAGAGCCCCGGACAGAATGCAATAGTGGCAATAGGCATGCATTCTTTGCAGATGTGCACCGAAGGCTACAGGCTACTGTGTCTTTTTCTTCTGGCTTCTCTCTTGAGCTTCTGACACTGCACAGAAAGTGGGTCGGTCCTCTGACAGGCTTGAAAAATGCAAAAGTTTACCACCAACTGGTGGGAATACATGCAACACATGCATAAAACAGAGCATCAGTGGTGAAATGCAGCCTGCAGTTTCTCTCCGACAGTTATCCAGATAGTTCATCTCAAAATAATGATTTTGCCATAAACATACAGATATTGCAGGCAAAAGCCATCACAATTCAAAAGCCGTAACAAGAATGGCTTATTCTTTTAAGGGTTCCTTGTTAACTACAGAAAATGATCCACATGTCCCATTGAGGTGCTCTAAGATCTGGGACTGGCTTCTACGTTTATCTTTTTTGCCGAACAATTCAGGCTCCAGAGGGGATTTTTCTTTTTGGTCTGAAGGGTGAAGCTTGTCTGGTCGGCAGCTTTTGCAAACTACAGCCGCTCAGTTGAGCTCATTCCTCTGAGGTCTCTGTGCTGCCCCAAAATGGCTCTTCTGGGCCTGATGGAAAACCTGAGCCAAGCGCTTTAAGTAGACACAATGCCCCAGAGAGACATCCGATCCTCAGGCGGGTGCACCAGCCACCTGGGCCCCTTACTCTGCCTGTGGTCCCACTCCTGGCCTTTGCTCTGGGATTCCTGCTCTCTGGGATGCCTGGACTTGTCTCCCTCTGTCCCCGGGATAGGAAGCGTCGTCTTTGCCGAGGGCCCAGGGCTGCTCTTTGTGTTTTCAGGGGTTCGAGTCTCCTCTCTACTGCTTCCCTGTAGTATGATCTTAGGCAAATTATTTAACCCCCCGTACCTCAGTTTACCCACCTGTAAAAATGGGCTAATAGTATCCAACCTCAGGGAGCTGTTGGGAGGCTTAAGTGGGTTAATTTATGCAAAGGACTTAGAACCCTGCCTGGTGCATAGTAACAATTATTATCTCCCCTGTTAGTCTTTAAACTCCTTCAAGCCTCCAGCATTGCTTTATTTATTGCAGCAAAAGTTCCAGGGGTAAATAATCCCCAGACTGTCTCCCCTCTGTTGGGCACGGCAGAGGGCAGGTGTAGACTTGGCTTGCAAACCTTCCTTCTATTGATGTGGGCTCAATACCCTTGGCTTTCCAACCAAGTCAGAGTGCCAGTCCCTGGAAAGATTTCCCATGACAAATGGCAGCAGGACAAAGGCTGAATTCGATAAGACCCTTCTTTCACCTTGTTAGTACTGCAGGGAGAGGGAGGAGGGGCAAAGACCAGAGGCCGTTAGAGCCCAGGGGGACTTAGAGCTGCCTCACGCCCACCGACCCTCCAATTCCCTCACTCCGCGGCGGGAAATGGGGCTCAGAGACATACAGTGACTCACTCAGGGTCACACAGCAAGGGCTGGGTCTAGAACTCTGTCTTTAACCTCTTGCCTGTTTGTTTCTTCTGGGAACCACCATCACATTCAGATGGCAAGGTCATAAGGAACGCGGCATTCAACACAGCCTTAACTTACTCAAATGTTTCCTTTCATGAACTTCAGGCTTAAAATAACCCAGACGGGGTTTAACGTACCGCTGCAATGTAAAGAGACACTGACTACCCCCTTCTCCCAAATGTGCGTGGGTGTGTGTCTTATACACACAAGGACCGTTTGGACACATCTAAGGGTTGTGATACAGCCGGGCAATACCAGAGGGGCAGAGCGACAGCCACGCGCGCAAGGCACTGAACACCTGGACCCCAACAACCCTCTGCACCCGCAGCCCCAGGCCCTCATCCTTGCTCCCTGGCTGCCCCGTAGCCCACCCGCCCTGGAGCTGCCTAACCCTCGATTAGCGACTGGGAGGTTTCCTAACAAGCCCAAGCTTGATGGGAGCCTCTTGTTGGGTGAAATTTATGACCTGGCACTTCCTCCGAGAGACTTCCCACGTTGAATTGTTGAACGCTTCTGACCTTACCGCCCCAAACAAGGGAAGGGTGGTGAGGGGAGGCGGGGCCGGCGGAGGCTGCGGGGAGAGGGAGGCGCGGCTCAGCCAGATGTCCCGGAGCGGGAGGTGCAGAAGCCGGGAGCGAGGACCTGCGGGCGCCGGAGCGCAGGGACCGGGTCGCCGAGGGCGCACGGCTGTCTGCTGCGGAGGGCGCCACCCAAGTCACCACTGGCGGCAGATGGACCCAAGCCTGGAGTTGGGGTGGTGGGGTGAGAATCCGCCCGGGCCCAGCTTGTCCTATCAGAAACGCCCTCCGAGGAAGGAAAGAATTGCTGAACCTGAGAGAGATGGGATGGGTCTGTTGGTTTCTAGGTCCCTCGTGTGTTTTGTAGACGCTCCTTCGTCTGCAGATGGTATTTGGACAGGCTCCTCTTCCACTATCTACTCTCATCTTAAGCTAAAAGAAAGTCCCGAATCCGTTTCATGGATGGTCACTGCTACTCATTCCTTCCTCCTGCCTGGGGGAAGGAGAGACGCGAGGTGAAGAGACTCTTGGTTCACAGCTTCCCAAACTTGGCTGCACACTGGAATTACCTAAGGAGTTTAAGAAATATAGTGATCCTGGCTGGGCGCGGTGGCTCACGCCTGTAATCCCAGCACTTTGGGAGGGTGAGGCAGGTGGATCACGTGAGGTCAGGAGTTCGAGACCAGCCTGACCAACATGGAGAAAACCCGTCTCTACTAAAAATGCAAAATTAGCAGGGCGTGGTGGCACATGCCTGTAATCCCAGCTACTCGGGAGGCTGAGGCAGGAGAATCACTTGAACCCGGGAGGCGGAGTTTGCAGTGAGCCGAGGTTGTGCCACTGCCTCCAGCCCGGGAAGCAAGAGCGAAACTCCGTCTCAAAAAGAAAAGAAAAGAAAAGAAAAGAAATATATTGATGCCGGGTCCCACTCCCCCAGGAGTGTGATTTAATTGATCTAGGTTGAGGTCTGGGCATCCGAGTTTTAGAAGCCCTCCTGGTATCCTAATGAACCAGCTCTCCACAGCCAGCCTGGCATGACATTTAGGGTGTCACTCGACATTAAACATCTGAGAAGCAGGTTTAACTTTAGGCTTACACTTACAGATTAATAAAATGGAATTTTTTGACTAGTGGCTCATCTAAGCAGGGCAGCCATTTACTAAAATAACCTTGTGCTAGCTAGAATGTTCTTTATGGGGGAGGGGAGCAAGTTGCTGTTCCCATGACCAGTGTAGTCGGATGCATCAACTCATTGTGGGCCCCTAGGTATTGGGATAGAGGCACATCCTTAACTAGGTCCTGCACCCTGTGGCCTGGACTCCCTCACCAGCTTCTTCTAGAACTCCATGGGGTTCTAGCCACACCATGGGATGCATACACGCTTCATCTAACTGATAACATGCTCATTGTTTAGCATTTATGTTAGACAATGGTTCCCCCCCATGGCAGCAGCTCCAGACCTCCCAGACCACGTCAAATCTTCCTGTTATGTGCTCATCATTCTAGTCCTACTCCTACACAGCCATGATTGCATAGAAATCCAGTGAAACATGCCTTCTTTACTCATTGCTACAGCTCTTGGGCCATAGTAGGACCAAAATAAATATTGGTCAAACTATGAAGACGCGCCACTCTTATTGCCAAAACCAAAAACCATTTTTGGGATCTAGTGTTGCATTCACCTGGATTTTGTTGGCTCAGGCTTAGGGCTGGTGCATAGATATTCTGGCAAAGGAATTTGGCTCACTGGATTGCTTTGCTGCATGGTGGCTGTTCTGTTGTTAATGGTACTTTATGGGTTATTTTGTGCCTCGGTGAACTCAACTATAAAGCCAGCAGGGATTACAGAAAACCCATGGGACTTCAAGGAAGAGGAGTGTTACTGTTGTGAAATGCCGTGAACATGCAAAAGTTTCATACACATGATAGAAGTTTTCACGATTCTTTCATGATGGGCATTTCCTAGCAAAGTGTCAATAACATACTTAAAATGTTTAAGTACACTGTACCCAGAAAGCTGGGTGCAGTGGTGTATGCCTGCAATCCCTCAGGAGGCTGAGGTGGGAAGATCTCTTGAGCCCAGGAGTTCAAGACCAGCCTAGGCAACAGAATGAAACCCATCTCATTAAAAAAAAAGAGAAAAAAAAGTTTACAAAAAGGGTAATCATTAAAGTTCAAATACTATAATCAAAGTAAAATAAAAGGAAACTAAGGTTTCTTGAATATTGACACTATGTCGAGTACTTTTTGTATATGATGCCCTGTAATCCTAACAATATACCTATAATATAGGTTGATTATTACCATTTTACAGACACAAAACTGAAAATTCAGAGAGATTCAGTAACTTGCCCAACACATGGCTAGTAAGGGGTGAAAATGAAATTTGAAAACAATTATCCCAAACTTCCTACTCCATACCACTTCCCTTTTAAAAAGAAAGAATCTTGAGGTGATGGAACTCTAGATTGCCATTTGGGGTTGATACTTGCATGTTGGCTATTTCTGTGTTGTAGAGAGAAAATAATCCTGAAAAAATTCCAAGAGAGACACCAATGCTTGTAAAACAAAACAAAACAAAACAAAACACAAAACCTTGGCATAACACCCAAATCTTATTTTCTTTGAAATTCTTTTTTTTTTTTTTTTTTTTGAGACGGAGTCTCGCTCTGTCGCCCAGGCTGGAGTGCAGTGGCGCGATCTCAGCTCACTGCAACCTCCGCCTCCCGGGTTCAAGCCATTCTCCTGCCTCAGCCTCTCCAGTAGCTGGGACTATAGGCGCCTGCCACCACGCCCGGCTAATTTTTTGTATTTTTAGTACAGACGAGGTTTTACCGTGTTAGCCAGGATGGTCTCGATCTCCTGACCTCGTGATCCGCCCGCCTCGGCCTCCCAAAGTGCTGGGATTACAGGCCTGAGCCACCACGCCCGGCCTCCTTGAAATTCTTTGATCAACAGACTAAGGAACTCAGCACTTGCATCCAGATAGAACAGAGAGTGATCACAGTCTTTAGGCCAGAGCCACTTGAGATCAATAGACCCAATAAAGAACAACCTAGCACAGAATTGGACTATTACCATTATTTGGAAAAAGTAGACCAATATTTCTTTACTATGTGTAATGCATGAGACACAAAATTAGAAGTGTAAATTTTATTTTATTATCCCATTTAGAATTAAGCCAACATATACATTATTCTGTATCTATCTATAATCAGGCCTGATCATATCTTTTTCTTGCTCTTCTCTCTGGTGACACCTTTTCAGATAGATTTTTTTAAAAACCTATGACAATAACGCCAACATTTTCAGATCTATTTAAATCACAATTTTGAAATTGTATTCTTCCTTAGGAATTCAATTTCATGTATCTCTTTGTCATTTTCTCACCCCCCAAAACTCCTTTTTAAAATTTTGTAACCATTATGTGGTTTTATTTACAGCGGTTGTAAGTCAGTTGGTTATACCGTGAAAGGATGGCAGGCATTCTGAGTCTGACAGTGATTTAAGGGTTTTCCATGAATTATCTTTTCTTGTGAAATCAAGATCCAAGAAATATCATAAATCCTGGAGTTTCCAGCCACCAGGTAAATCAAGATAGATCGTTGGATAATGGCCCTAAAAGAATCCTAATCACAGAAATGGGAAACATTTTATTAAAAATTCAGACTCCATTCTCTACTGGATTTCTTAAGCCTCAAGATACCCATAGCATCATTTCTACTCTTCAAAACAAAGAAAAACAGAATGAGGCTTTCCTGCAATGGCAACATCATTTTGAATCTGATCCAATGGGAGTGAGAGGGAGATTGTGGCGATGACTTTCCTGGCTGGCTAGATGGGTGGTAGTTTGGTCCACAGAAACAGGGGAAGATGGAAAGGGCCCAGGTTTGTGGGATAAATGATCTTGAACTTTGTTTTGGATATTTTGAGTATAAGCTGCCTTTAAAACATCCAGCAGGTGTGGGCTAGGTTGTTGAATACCTGATCTCTGAAGGTGGAGATTAGCATTTGCAAGTGGTGGTCACATACACTGCAGTTTGAGCCCCAGCAGGGAGACTGCCCAGAAAGAACTAGAGTGAAAAAGGAGGGATCCTGAGCTCTAATATTTACATGCCCTGTGGAGAATCAACTTATGAACAAAAGCCTGAGAAGATGTAGCCAAAGAAGTAGGAAGAAAACCAGGAGAACGTGGAGTCACAGAATTCAAGACCATACAATATTACAGTTAGGCAGGGCGGGTTATTAATGGCCAGTTCTGCTGGGGAAGATGAAGGCTGGAAAGACCCTTGGATTTTGCGGCTTGGAAGCACGTGGGCCACTTAGGTGGAGGGGACTGTGTGGACAGGGAGGAAATGGAGGCAGGAAGTGCAGATAATACAAGGAGAAGCTCGCCTGGGAAGGATGGAAGCTGCTTGCTGGAAGTGGAAGTGAGGTGAAGGGAGAGCATTTGCTTTTTTATTTTTTTATTTTTTTTTCCGATTTTAAGGTGGAAGAAAATGCCTGTGTTTCAATGATGGGGGAGGGTTCCACAAAAGCAGGAGATGTTGAAGCCAGAGAAGACAGCTAGGATGATTTGCAGGTGACTCAGGAAATGGGAGGGCTGAGGACTCAACCAGGTGGCATCATTTGACCTGGGCTGGAGGAGAAAATTCCATTCTTATGGAAATGGAGGGACCCAGGAGAGGCTAGGGCAGAGGCAGGAAAGTACTGGGGGCTGGGGATGGGAAAATGAGGCCGTTGAGGCTGTTTTTCTCTGAAGCCTTCTATTTTCTCTACTAAGCAGCAGAAAGGTCATTTGCTGAGAGTGACAGGGAGGTAAGGGGCAGTGGTTTACAGAGAGCAGAGAAGGTCATGAAAGGTACCGCACAGAGTGAGAGTGCTCGCTAAGCAGTGAACCATTTTAGGGTTGCTGGCAGAGTTGAGGGGTGGGCAGATAATTGTAAATCAGAATCCCGATCAGATTCATGCTCAGCAGAGTGTACCTTCTTGGGAATAAACCCAGACAACTTGGTGCCTGGTTTTCGAACACTCCTTGTCCCCAGGCTATAATGGGTGAAATGGTGGCTTCCAGAAAGACATGTCCCTGTCTCAACCTCTGGAACCTGTGAATGCGCCCTCATTTGGAAAAAATAATGCAGAGATAAGCAAGTTAAACATCTCAAGATGAGATCCTCCCGGATCATCCAGTTGGGCTCTAAGTCCAGTGATAATTGTCTTCATAAGATATACACAGAAGAGAGACACAGGGAGAAGAGAAGAAAGCCCTGTGAAGGTGGAGGCAGAGATTGGAGTGATGTGGCCACAAGCCAAGGAATGCCAGGATCCACTTCCAGAAGCTGGAAGAGAAAAGGAAGCATCCTCCCCTAGAGCCTTCGGAGGGAAAGAGGCCCTGCCTTCTGCAATTTGCGCTTCTAGAACTGTGAGAGAATACATTTGTGTTGTGTAAGCTACCAAATTTATGGTACTTTGTTATGGCAGTCAAAGGAAACGGATACACAGCCCTTTCCATGGCACCCTCTCCTATAGCTTGTGGGGCAGCACCCTTCCTGCTCCCCACTTCCCTGCTTTTGGGGTGGTTCTTCAACCCTAAGCCATGCTTCCTTTGAGAGAGGCTGTGGCCTGTGGCCTGAAGTCCCTGCTGTCTCCTGGCTCCCGGTTTCCTAGCTATGTGACCTTGGGCAAATTCAGTTGCAACTGGAACAAAATAGCTACTGCCCGCTCCTGGAGATTTCCTGGAGGGATCAGTCAAAACTGCTCCCACATTGCTTCTCTGTAAAATTTGTTTGCGATTTCTGCTCTAAATTCCCAAGCTGCTCCTACCTCTTCATTGCCATTCTCCTTCATGGGGCGTCATTCATTTCAGAGGTGCTGAAAAGGCATTTCTTTGGACCACCCGGCTCTGGGTGCTCAGTGCAGCTTCCCGGGGACTCCATTATGTGTGCCTTTGGTGACAGCGTCCTTTTAGAAACCACAACACAGAGAATAGTACATTGCCAGGGTTTCCAAGGATGTTGCTTTGTCTTAAGAGCAAGGTTGATCTTCTATAGAAAGGACCAGGAATAGACTTGACTTCATTTCCTTTTTCTTTCCAACTCCAGTTCTCTCTCTCTCTCTCTCTTTTTTTTTTTTTTTTGAGAAGGGGATCTTGCTCTGTCTCCCAAACTGGTGTGCAGTGGCACAATCACAGCTCACTGCAGCCTCAACCTCCTGGGCTCAAGAGATCTTCCCACCTCAGCCTCCCAAGTACCTGGGACTAGAGGTGCACACCATCATGCCCTCCTAATTTTGATGTTTTTTTTTGTATAGAGAAGGTCTCATCATCTTGTCCAGGCTGGTCTCAAACTCCTGACCTCAAGTGATCCTCCTGCCTCAGCCTTCCAAAGTGTTGGTATTATAGGTGTGAGCCACCAGGCTGGCCTCCAACTCCAGTCCTCTTAAAACTCGTCCCTAGAGCACTGAGAGTGCTTCCTGCCTAGCTTTGTGGGTATGGTTTAAATCTTGGGCCGAAAAGCAAAAATTTTAGAGCTCCAGCTGGTGTGTCCCGGAGGGGTCACAGGTGTGCCTGAAAACCTGCTCCCTCAACTCCAGTGATCGACTTGCACTCAAAGTCCCACATCCAAGCCAACTGGGACAGTCAGTCACCCCGTCCTCAGCCTGAAGCCAGGTCTGTATGCTCTGCAAAAGTCATGTTTCTCTGTGTGCTAAGATGGGGGGAGAAAAAACCCCAACCTTCACCTCCACCTTTTTCTAGTTACAAAGAAGGCGAATTTCGGTTGGAGAGTGGCCCTTCCCTTTTGTGACTTCATCTCTCTGCTCTCTCTTCCCCCCGGGGTTGTGGAAGGCAGCATCAGGGCTGTTTTCTTTCTCTAAAAAAGTTCCATCTTTTCTCATTGTAATAATAATACATGATCATTGTAGATGCTTTAGGCAATAAAAAATGTAAAGAACTAAATTAAATTCACCAATAATTTCACCAGCCAGGGTGATGATAATGAGGATGAAGATGATGAAAATGATGATAATTAGCACTTATTGACTGTTTTATGTGGTGCTGTTCTAAGTTTTTATGGGTAGTAAAACACTTAATCTTCAAAAGAACCCCCTGCTTTTTTTTTTCTTTTTTCTTTTCTTTTCTTTTCTTTTTTTTTTTTTTGAGGTGGAGTCTCACTCTGTCGCCCAGGCTAGAGTGCAGTGGCATGATCTCGGCTCACTGCAACCTCCGCCTCCCGGGTTCCAGCATTCTCCTGCCTCAGCCTCCTGAGTAGCTGGGACTACAGGTGCATGTCACCACACCCAGCTAATTTTTCATATTTTTAGTAGAGACGGGACTTCACCGTGTTAGCCAGGATGGTCTTGATCTCCTGACCTCGTGATCTGCCCGCCTCGGCCTCCCAAAGTGCTGGGATTACAGGCTTGAGCTACCATGCCCAGCCAAGAACCCTTTTTTTACTGGTGGGAAACCAAGGCACTGAGAGTTTAAATAAATTGCCCAAGACCTCAAGATCGCTATTTGATTTTCAGACCCATATTTGAAACTGCACAGCATGCCTCAAGATAGCAGAGAACTGCGCTGGGGCTCTGTCTTCCGCAGTTCCTAAATTATGTCCTGCCAGAGCCCTGGCGTCCTTTGGGCCACACTCAAGTGTCCTAATGAAAAATGGATGGCTGTGGTCTTTGCCCCCAGCTCACTGAGACTGTTGAGGGCAAGGAAACAGCCCCCACCCCCCTGGCTTTTTTCTTGCTCAGTTTTACTTCCAAGCTCTGTTTTCTTAAATCTTTGTAGTCGTGGCCACATTTATAAACTCAAATGTGACATTAAACGGCATCTAATTTGACACTAAATAGTATGCTTAGTAGTTTTTGCTATCATTAAACTGTGTTTCTTGGGGTTCCACAAACAGCCTGCTGACCTCCCATCCCCCTAGCAGGAGGCTGGAGGATGGGGCCTCCCCGCAGAGCCTGGAGCGTCCCAGGGGCTTCTTCTGGGACCTGTCCTCCTGCTTCCCCGCTCCTTTCAGGCCGCCCTGCCACCTGCCCGGCCTGGGGGATGAATGGGAGCTGTCAGCCTCTGGGCAGAGTTATGGAGGCCCACGGGCCACTGGTTGCCTAAGGAACCGGCCCAGGCGCCTCTCATCCCTCCGGCGTCCTCGCTCCCAAGTCCCTTCAGCTCCCACTTGAGTCTTTGTCTCTCTCTCTGGACACCCCAGGCCACAGGCCGAGGTGAAGATCCTGCCCCTGGTTCTGTTGTTCTCAGTGGGCGCCGCCTTCTCGGCCCCCTCCCTGGCCCAGATGACAGCACTTAGTGACCTTTCACACGAGCACTTCAGGCCTTTGTGTGGGGCAATTGGGCTTCCTGCTCTTTCTGTGAGCGGACACGGATGACAGCATTACAACTGTCAGCCCGCCGGGGCGCAGCGGGAGCCATGGGCCGGCAGGGCAGCCCGGGTCCACGCGGCGGCAGTCACAGCCGCAGCAGGGGCGGATAGAGGAAGCTGGGACCATGGTTGGCCCCCTCACGCCCAGCTCGGGGTGACTCAGGCCTCAGGGGAGCGTGTGCATGGAGGCTCTGGAGAGCAGCACCCCCACCTCCAAGGAGGAGCTGTGCATATTCAGTGCCACCTGCCTGTTGCAGAGGAAGGCCACATGTCCCAAGGTGACTCCTGCCCACCTCTGTGGACACAGACTCGGGGCTGCTCCTGGTTATGACTTAGGTGTGCGACTCCACAAGGAAGTCATCTCATCTCTTTATGTATTTATTTTTCTCTCTATATATATTTTTGAGACAGTGTCTTGCTCTTTTGCCCAGACTGGAGTGCAGTGGCTGCGATCAGGGCCACTGCAGCCTCAACCTCTTGGGCTCAAGCGATCCTCCCACCTCAGCCTCCCAAGTAGCTGGGATTACTGGTGTGTGCCACTATGCCAGGCTAATTTTTGTTGTTGTTGTTATAGAGACAGGGTTTCACCATGTTGCCCAGGCTGGTCTCAAACTCCTAGGCTCAAGCAATCCTCCCTCCTTAGCCTCCTAGAGTGCTGGGATTATAGGCGTCAGCCACTGTGTCAGGCCCATCTCATCTCTTTTGACAGTTAGTCGCATAGTTTTCCTTGTTCCAGGTCTATTAGGAAGGAAATATAAAATACCTTCAGCTCCCTGGAGAAAAGCCCTATGTGGAATCCAGACTACAATAAATACAAACTAGAGTGCTACTACTGACTGCATTACTCCTACTATGATTATTACTATTCTCAGAATTCCTCAGAGCCTTGCATTTCCTGATGCTCTGATGGAATATTAAAACTAAGGGAAAGGAAATGGAATAATACAGCCCATATAATTCCAGCTACGTGAAAAATCGAGTTGTGTGTTCGATTATATATGTGTAGAATAAACAACGGGAAGGAAGCACTACTCACTGTTCACAGTCATTATCCCTGGGAGGTGGGTTATACATGACATAGAGTTTCTTTTTCTATTTCAGTATGTATTTGAATTTGATATGAACCTGCATGTCTTTTATAATCAGAAAGAAACAGTAAATGTTTTAAAAATATGCTCATTTGGGAGAGTAGGGAAGGGGGAATAGTTAATGGGTACAAATATTAGAATAAATAAGACCTAGTATTTGCTATCACATCAGGATGGCTACAGTAAAGAATAATTTAATTGTATGTTTTTAAATAAAAGAGTATAATTGGATTGTTTATAACACAAAGGATAAATGGATACCCTATTTACCCTGATGTAATTATTATGCATTGCAGGCCTGTATCAAAATATCTTATGTAATCCATATATACACCTATTATGTACCCACAAAAATTAGAAATAAAAGTTTTTAAAATGCTCATTTATATTTTGTGTGATTGTAAAAGACCCTAGGAATGTTCTGTATTTCTCTTCTGTTTGCTTGAAAATGAAGCAATTGCTGCCTTCCTAGAAGCCGAGGGTAGGTTGTTTAAGAGAGGAAGTCTGACCTGACGTACACATCCACCTTCAAGAAATAACTTCAAAAAGGGCTAAGAGGCTGGTGCGGTGGCTCACGCCTGTAATCCCAGCACGTTCAGAGGCCGAGGCGGGTGGATCACCTGAGGTCAGGAGTTCGACCAGCCTGGCCAACATGGTGAAACCCCGTCTCTACTAAAAATAGAAAAATTAGCTGGGCGTGGTGGCGAGCACCTGTAATCCCAGCTACTCAGGGAGGCTGAGAGGGGAAAAATCACTTGAACCTAGGAGGCGGAGGTTGCAGTGATCGGTGATCAGTGTGGGCAACAGAGCGAGACTCCGTCTAAAAAAAGGGCCAAGAAAGGAACTGGAGTTTGCTCTCCTCCTACCTAAGGTGATGAAAGGCAGACATGGCATATTTTCTGTGCCTTATCCTGCCTTGGAATAATCTAGCAAGTTGTTTTGCAGGGGGCAATCTTTTTCTTTCTAATTTGGTGCTAAGGGAATGGGCAGAATAAGTCCCCGTGTGAGTGCAGATGCCTCAACTTTGTGCAGTTGCCATTCGTGCCCCGAGAGTGTGGTCTCATTGCATCATCACCAGGAGGACCCCTCTGCCCAAGGGTGCCCCAAGAAGCACATACTGAAGGCACGTGTGGAACTCTGGTTAGCATCACTTCCATTTCTGGTAAATAAGAAACCTGGGCCCTTCTGCTGTTTCAGGCAACCCTTAGTGAACTCACGGGCATTTTTTCCTTTTTTTTTTGAGACAGAGTGTCACCCTGTCCCCCGGCTGGGGTACAGTGGCACGATCTCAGCTCATTGCAATCTCCACCTCCTGGGTTCAAGCGATTCTTGTGTCTCAGCCTCCCAAGTAGTTGGGATTACAGGCACATGCCACCATGCCTGGCTAATTTTTGTGTTTTTAGTAGAGACGGGTTTTCACCATGTTGGACATGCTGGTCTCGAACGCCTGATCTCAGGTGATCCGCCTGCCTCGGCCTCCCAAAGTGCTAGGATTACAGGCGTGAGCCACTGTGCCCGGCCAGAATTTTTTGCATTTTAGTAGAGATGGGGTTTCACCATGTTGTCCAGGCTGGTCTCGAATTCCTGAGGTCAGGCAATCCACACGCCTCGGCCTCCCAAACCGCTAGGATTACAGGAGTGAGCCATCGCACCCAGCTGCGTTTTTTAAATCTTCGTCTCATACATCCTCCTCAGTCTTCTAAGAACGTAGACGGGCAATTTGCAATCAACTGAAATCAAAAAGTCTCGTTTTAAGTGTCATAATGATACGGTGCAAACCTAGAAGGCTATCGTTGGGGAGTATTTTTCTTGGTCACACTGGATGTTGGGCAAGTTACCAAGGCCCCCAGACACTTCAGCTTGTCCGACCTTAGAGCCTGCATTTACATTGATTAGTGAATCGCTCAAAAGAAAGCCACAGGCCATTGCACATTAGCTTTGTCTGGTGACAGAGGAGTTGATCCATGCTCTACCTCTCCCTCACAAACTCACCTCTCCCAGCCTTTTTCCTCGATTGGATTGGTTTGACATCTGATTGCAACGTCTTTACAGATGATCAATCTATTCTTTTCAAGGGGCAAATCAAACTCAGAAAATCTCTGTCAACGCAAGAAGGCAATGACAAAAAAGGAAGAGAAATGCTTTAAACCCAAAAGTAGGACTTTGAGAAAAGGCAAGTTGCAGAAGCAAGTGGTCCCGGGACCCAGGCTCATCAGGACGGGGTGAGATGCCTGTCTTGCAGAGGCCCAAACACCAAAGATTTATGATACCTTTTCCTTCATTTTGGCCTCAGAAAAATCCCCTCTTCTCCCTTTAAAGTCATTTCCCAAATGCTCACCAAAGCCTCTCAAAAAATTTTTTTAAAAAAATAAAATAGAGATTTTATTGTAAAAGCAATTTGTGTTAATTGTAAAAAAAAAAAAAAAAAAAAAGTCAGTTAGTACCAAGGAAAAAATAAAAATCAACCAAGTCCCACCATTTGGAGAAAAATACTGTTAACATTTGGCTGACATTTTCTCAAACATTTCTCTTTTTACACATTGAATTCTACAAATTGCTATAGGCTTCTTTCTGTATCTGTCTCTCTAATCAACTAAAGCTCCAGATCATTATTTCAAATCATTTCAGATTATTTCAAATTCAGATCATTATAATGATTGCATAGTATTTCATTATAAGTTCATAGCAAAGTTTGTTAAGCTTATCCCATAAGGATAGTCATTTTAGCTAATTCCTATTTGGTTTTAACATTAAAAGAAACTGGCCAGGTACAGTGGCTGAAGCCTGTAATCCTAGCACTTTGGGAGGCCAAGGCAGGAGGATTGCTTGAGCCCAAGAGTTTGAGACCAGCCTGGGAAACAAAGCTAGACATTGTCTCTACAAAAATTTTTAAGAATTATCTGGGTGTGGCTGGGTGCGGTGGCTCATGCCTGTAATCCCAGCACTTTGGGAGGCCGAGGCGAGCGGATCATGAGGTCAGGAGATCGAGACCATCCTGGCTAACACGGTGAAACCCTGTCTCAACTAAAAATACAAAAATCAGCTGGGCATGGTGGTGGGTGCCTGTAGTCCCAGCTACTCGGGAGGCTGAGGCAGGAGAATGGCGTGAACCCAGGAGGTGGAGCTTGCAGTGAGCCGAGACTGCAGCCACTGCACTCTAGCCTGGGTGACAGAGCAAGACTCCATCTCAAAAAAAAAAAAAAAAAAAAAAGAATTATCTGGGTGTGGTGGGGCGCATCTGTAGTCCCAGTTGCTCAGGAGGCTTAGGCAGGAGGATCGCTTGATCCCAGGAGCTCCAGGCTGCAGTGAGCTATGATTGTGCCCTTGCACTTCAGCTGGGCCGCAGAGTGAGACTGTCTTGGGGAAAAAAGGAGAAACTTTGTGATGAATGTCCTGATACAAAGATCTTTAAGCTCTTTTGCTATGCCTACGAAGAATAAATTATTTGAAGAAAGATTGTAGGTTCAAAGGCTGGGCTCATTAATCATTTATATAATATATAATGTATATAATATATAATACATTATCTATTATAAACTAGAAATACATAAAATTTGCAAGGGACTTTTATGGACCCGAAAAGTTTAGATGTATTCAGTCCTTGGGCATTGGACAGAGGCCAGCATGTCTTTTAGTTACTATACTTAATTTTTACATTCAACCTGTGGGTACTGGAAATTCCCTGGGGACCCACTCTCAGTAAGTGCCTCAACCCCTCTAAACCCTGCAACAGGCTTCTATCCCCCAAACCTCTTAGGAGAACTGCCTTTTCGGTGGGGAGCAAAGAAGGAAACAAGCCTTCATTAACAAAGAAGGAAAGAGGAACTGGCTTGTATTGAAAAACAGCTCGGCTGGGCTCCATGATGGTGGCATAAATCTCCACCCGAGGAGGGGGAAAGCTGCCTTTCCCGGGAGCGAAGTTTAGACCTCAAGAGCTGAATTCTTAAGTTGAAGGGAGAGAAAGTTAGAAGACACTGTTCACTCTAGAAAGTTTTGTTTGTTTGTTTTGTTTAATTGCTTTTCTTCTTTTTCTTTTTTGGTGACAATCTGATTATAACTACTCTGTTCTTATTGACCCTATGAGGCTTTTTTTTCACAATTTGGAAGAATTAACAGTTATAGCCTCCATGAATAAATATAACACTTAGCTCCTTCTTACTAACTAAATGCAATTGGGGAATAAATACAGTGAGTGTTCACACACACACACACACACACACCCACAAAAGAAAAAAAAAGAAAAAAAGAAAAAGGTGAAGAATAGAAAATTGTTTAAGTGGCCAAAGAAACTTTATCCTATTGTGTTGCAGGCCAAGCTATGCCAGCTATATGTAAATGTAAGCAGTGGCCTGTGTTCCTGTGTCCACTTTGAAGTTGCCATCTGAATTTAATTCTGCCTTTGTGATTAAATCAGGCCATTACGTTTAATCTCACTTAATAGTAAGAAACGTCCTTTGTTGTTTTCTATAGGCAACATATTCTGCCCCTAACATATACAGCTTGGTATTCACACTTTACTATTAATCCCCGATGGCTGATAATTGCTTCATCTCCAAGCCCTCTGTCCAATTCACAAGGGGCTGATTGCAACTATTCTTCCCCTATACATTAATGCACTGTTTGGGTCTTGCTTCTTTGGCTCAGTGAACCCTATCAAGCTGTCCACATTTTCTGGGCATGTGGGTGTATTGTGAGATGTTAAATTAAATTCCGTGTTGACCTCCCTAAACACCAGAATCTATTAGCCCCTGCAACGTAGCTGATTGACAAGTGGAACTACTTTTCCACTCAAAATCCTGCAATAAGAAACAACAACAACAGGCTGAATATTTTGTTTCTAGGCAGAGTCTGGGGTCTTCTTATTGCTGTCTTGTTATTTACATGTTCATGACTACGGCAGGACCAATTGCATTATTGCCACGATGTTGCTTCATTGATCTTCCATTTGTCTGCCTTATCATTTCTCTGGGAGAAATTCTTAGACCCCCCAGAGAATCACCATGCATTGCTTTAAGGTTTGAAATTATTTTCTCTTCTTTGGTTTTTTTCCAAAACTGTTTTGGATGGTGAGTCTTAGGGCCTTCACTGTTATCTGCGACTTGAAGAGCTCAGGCATAAAGATCTCAGAGGCAAAATACCAACTGGAACAGGGTTTCTTCCGTCTTTGCTTTTTGCACCAAAGGTAACAGATGCAGCTAATTTTAATGTTAAGCTTTACAAAAGAAAAGAAGCTTTTCTTTCTCTTACCCATTCATTAGCTCGGGCAATAGTTACCAGGCTTTTCATTGTGCTAAATTAGGAATGCTATCATTATCAATTTGACTTTGTGGTTCTAAAAGCACTATTAGCTGCTCATGCCTAGTCCATATTAAGCACATATAGTACCTCCAGTGTGAACGATACCCAGAGCCCGTGCATAGCTGCCTCCTCCTGCCAATAGCTTTGCCCGGCTTTACACACTCTCAGCCTCACAGCTGCTGGTGGGACTCTTGGAAAATCCACGTGGCTATTTTAAATTTTTTCTGATTTTAAAAGCAATCTCATAAAAGTAATTTTATTTTTATATATTATATAATATAATGTATATACTACAGAATTATATAGGTAATAATTATAGAAGAGTTTTCTTATAGGAAAATCTTAAAAGTTTGGAAAAACTAAAGAAAAAATAAAAATCATTCTAAATCCCACAGATATAGCTGTTGTTATTATTTTGGTGTATTTTCTTTTCTTTTCTTTTTTTTTAGACGGAGTTTCGCTCTTGTTGCCCAGGCTGGAGTGCAATGGTGCGATCTCGGCTCACTGCAACCTCCGCCTCCCTGGTTCAAGCAATTCTCCTGCCTCAGCCTCCCAAGTAGCTGGGATTAGGCAATGCGCCACCACGCCCGGCTAGTTTTGTATTTTTAGTAGAGACAGGGTTTCTCCATATTGGTCAGGCTGGTCTCAAACTCCCAACCTCAGGTGATCCGCCTGCCTCGGCTTCCCAAAGTGCTGGGATTACTAGTGTGAGCCACCGTGCCCGGCCTGTTTTGGTGTATTTTCTAGAATAGCTTTCTTCTATAACTTACATGTGAATAGACTTGTAATACAGATAAAAATACATACGTAATTTTTTTGGATTTCCAAAGTGTTTTATTAAATTAAATGTTAAATAATTGAGGCCCTGAGAAATGTGTGCCCTACAGTGAATAAGTTCCCTTATTTTAAAATAAACCTTTTATTTTGGAATAATTTTAAGTTTACAGAAATGTTGCAAAAATAGTTCAGAGAGCTCCCCTATACTCCTCACCCAGTTTTCCCTATTGTTAACAGCTTACCTAACTACAATACATTTGTCAGAACTAAGAAACACATTAATTTATCATTATATATATTATATATAATTAGGAGTGTACATTTTCTTAATCTGCTTCCTTCACCATGTAAATAAACATTTTTCTATGTCACTAAATATTCTTATTATCATTTTTTAAAAGAAGAAACTAAGATAATAAGTATGACCGTCCAATCAGTTAGGTTCCAGGTAAAATACAGTGTCTAATCAGGAAGTGTCTGTCTAATCTGGTAGCGTCTCATCAGAAGGCTGCTTCCAGCAAAGCCCTGGTCATGGGGGCACCCTCTGGAGGGGAGCTTTACCCAGGGGCACCCCGTCGCCAGCCAGGAACCTGCCCCGGTATCCATGCCAGGGTCTACTGAACACCTTTGGCGGCATCAGCCGTGAGCCTGGGTCTGGCCTTTGCAAAGGAGATTCTGAATGTGAGCAAAGGGAGTCCAGGCATTATCATTTCCAGCTTCTCTTTTTAAACATTACATTGAAGATAGAATGTTTTCATTAAAGAAATTTTAGAAAATGTATATAGAACAAAAGAAGCAAACATAAAGCATTCTTACACAACCACTCAGAGATAACCACTGTCAACAAGTAGTTAGGTATTTGGAATCACACTGCTTTATAATTTACTTTTTCACTGATATTAGAATCATTTTCCTCTAACATTTAATATTCTTATAAAATTTCACCCCAGGGGGTGGCATAGAATTTTATCCTATGACTTTATCTTAATTATTTGATACTATCTTACATTTTTGGATATTTAGGTTGTTTCCAGCTATTTCCTATTATAAAAGGTACTGTGATTTTTTCTCATTATATTATTTTTTCCTTTGTATATTTTTTCATTTTATATATATTTTCCTATTATAAAGGGTGTAACTAGGTAACATGCCTTATTATTTCCTCAGGAAAGATCCTCAAAGGTAGGATTAGTGGGTAAGATAGAGGTTGCCCAGTTGGTGCGTTTCCTGAGTGCTGTTTTCTAAGAGCTTCAGAAAAAAACAAAAACAAAACCAAAAAAAGACGCTGAATTTCACTGCATTTGGTGGGGGAAACACTGTGAAAGTGAGATTCTCAGAAGAAAACACCAAACCCTCATCACGGCTTTGGAAAACTGATTAGAAAGTTCTGTCTGGTCAACTGTGACGCTACCCAGTGGATCCCACGCAAGCAGACGGGTGTGTACAGGAGTGGGGGAATCAACACAGACACCAGCACCCCAAAAAGCCTCCCAGGACCTGGCAGAAAGACGATCAAAATAAAAAATAAGGGCTGGACGTGGTGGCTCATGCCTATAATCCCAGCACTTTGGAAGGTTGAGGTGGGTGGATCACTTGAGGACAGAGTTCGAGACCAGCTTGGCCAACATGGTGAAACCCCATCTCTACTAAAAATACAAAAATTAGGCACGGTGGCACGTGCCTGTAATCCTACCTACTTCGGAGGCTGAGGCAGGAGGATCACTTGAACCTGGGAAGCGGAGGTTGCAGTGAGTGGAGATCATGCCACTGCACTCCAGCCTGGGTGACAGAGCGAGACTCCATCTCAAAATAAATCAATAGGAGGAAAAAAAAGAAGCAATCACACATTGTCATTTAGTGGCTCAAAATCACATTACTGCTGTGAATTATCACATGTTCAAGATACACACACAAGATCAAAGCTTGTGTAAGTTACATCAGGCTCTTCACTTCTTCATGCAGAGCTGGGACTTGTTACTGCCCATATTACTGCTGTGTTGCTGGGCTCTCAATTCCAGGATACTTTCGAGCTTGAAGCCTGTGTGAATTTATTACAATTGAATGTATCTGAATTATCTATACATGATGATGGTTCTGCTACCTTATTGAATGGGAATTGCTGATTTTAGTTTTAGTTTATGCGAAGTTAAATATGGGATTAAACGTATAATTCTTTTTTTTTTTTTTTTTTTTTTTTTTGAGACAGAGACTCACTCTATCATCCAGGCTGGAGTGTAGTGGCACAGTCTCAGCTCACTGCAACCTTGAGCTCCATGGCTCAAGCGATCCTCCCACCTCACCCTCCCGAGTAGCTGGGACTACAGGCACACGCCACTATGCCTGGTTAGTTTTTGTGTTTTTTGTAGAGATGGGGTTTCACCATGTTGTTCAGGCACATCTTGAACTCCTGATCCTGCCCACCTCAGCCACTCAGACATATAATTTTTAAGAAAAGGTTTCTAAAGCATTTTGCCAAGTATAAAAGAGGAATGTTTTAAAGTTGTGCTGAAAAATAGAAGAAAAATGCTAAAACTATCTCAGCCTCAGATACATTTCTTGTAACACTGTGTTAATTAAAAGTAAGTCACCAGTTCTATAAAAGTCACAATCCTCTGGCTGGGCGTGGTGGCTCACACCTGTAATCCCAGTACTTTGGGAGGCTGAGATAGGCGGATCACCTGAGGTCAGGAGTTCGAGACCAGCCTGGCTAATATGGCGAAACCCCGTCTCTACTAAAAATACAAAAATTAGCCAGGCATGGTGGTGGGTGCCTGTAATTCCAGCTACTTGGGAGGCTGCAGCAGGAGAATCGCTTGAACCTGAGAGGCGGAGGTTGCAGTGAGCTGAGATCGCGCCACTGCACTCCAGCCTGGGCGACAAGAGCAAGTCTCCATCTCAAACAAACAAACAAACAAACAAACAAAGTCACAATCCTCAGCAAACACCATCTATAGTAGGAGTTGATTTTAAATGGATTGAGTGGGGCAAGCTCCACAAAGTGTTTGTTTTAGTTCAGGCATGGCCTATCCTTCACCCCTAATTCCTGGGAGAGAGAAGCCAAAGAGTGAATATCTTAATGAAATAAGAGCAGATGCCAGGAAATAGAAAGATGAATTATATGTTCATAAAATAAGAAGACTAGAGCTTCCTCGGGCACCCATGTGGCCTGTGGAACTGGCCTTTCCTGTGTTTGAAATGCACATTTCTTTTGCATTTTGTAGCCCTGGGTATCCCTAAGCAAAGCCCTCACATCATTTATTTATTTCACAGCATAAGATTGGTAGCCAGAGGAGCTATTGGCATTGTGTTCTCAAAGTTTCAATTCCATTATATAAATTCTTCAGAGATCTGGGAAGGAGTTTACTTTTTGGAATGGTCTTGTTTTCTATTTGAATACACAATTGAAGCAGTTAGATTAAGATCGCATTCTGCTACCTGACTCTAATAACCTGCCTTCCTCTCTGTCTTTCTCACTGCATCCTCTGTCCTGCCTTATCTTCCTTCCCCTGCTATCTCCCTCTCTCCTCCCCATGTTTATCCAGGGTCTGCCCTATTTTCAGGGTCCCTGGAGGGTGCAAGGTGAAGTGAGATCTCACCCCTGCCCTGGAGGACATGCAAGGGAGAGGGAGGTTGCCTCTGCCTAAGTGGTCAGAGAGGCATGGGGCCGGCATTGGAGCCAAGTCTGAAGAGTTTGTAGGACTCTTTTGGAGGGACAAAGGGGGCACAGGGAGGCTGACTGGATGGCGGAAAGAGTGGCAGTGTGAGCAGCTGTGAAGGCAGGAGAGTGGCAAGTGCGGTGTTGGCAAATGCAGTGCCTGAGGGAAGAAGGGGGAAATAGAGCAAGCTTGGGGGCAAGTTGAGGGGGTTGGTCTTGGGTGACTAGCCACCGGTTGGGAATGGGAATTTCTGTGTTTTTGATATCCTATCCTACAGGGATTTTGCTCACCAGACTGATAAATGTTAATCAAAAGCACTCAGCAGGCTGGGTGCAGTGGCTCACGCCTGTAATCCCAGTACTTTGGGAGGCTAAGGTGGGCGGATCACTTGAGATCAGGAGTTCGAGACCAGACTGGCCAATATGGTGAAACCCCATCTCTACTAAAAATACAAAAATTAGCCAGGTGTGGTGGCTCACCCCTGTAATCTCAGCTACTCAGGAGGCTGAGGCAGGAGAATCACTTGAACCCGGGAGGCAGAGGTTGCAGTGAGCCAAGCCAAGATCACATCACTGCACTCCAGACTGGGGCAATAGATGGAGACCCTGTCTTTAAAAAAAAAAAAAAAAAAAAAGCACTCAGCAGAATGCAACACATGTATTGGGTAGTGTGATGGTTAATACTGAATGTCAACTTGACTGGATTGAAGGATGCAAAGTATTGTTCTGGGTGTGTCTGTGAGGCTGTTGCCAAAGGAGATTATCATTTGAGTCCATGGACTGGGAGAGGCAGACCCACCCTTAATCTGGGTGGGCACCATCTATCTAATCAGCTGCCAGGGAGGCTAGCATAAAGCAGGCAGGAGAAGTTAGAAGGACTAGAGTGGCTGAGTCTTCCGGCCTTCATCTTTCTCCCATGCTGGATGCTTCCTGCCCTCAAACACTGGACTCCAAGTCCTTCAGCTTTTGGGCTCTTGGGCTTACACCAGTGGTTTGCCAGGGGCTCTTGGGCTTTCAGCCACAGACTGAAGCCTGCACTGTCAGCTTCCCTATTTTTGAGGTTTTGGGACTTGGACTGGCTTCCTTGTTCCCCAGCTTGCAGATGGCCTGTTGTGGGACTTCACCTTGTGATCTCATGAGTCAATTCCCTTTAATAAACTCCCCTTCATATATACATCTATCCTATTCGTCCTGTCCCTCTAGAGAACCGTGACTAATACAGGTCATATGTCTACTTTTTTGAGAGGTTCCCCAGCTCCCGCTGGAAGATGGAGAAGCCAGCTAGGTATAGGCATTAGTCACATATTTCATTCAGCCAAACAGTCTAACAACGGTTGAAACACACGGTTGAAACCCTTCACTTCTACCAAACTCGAAGATTATTTTCAACAGATAACCTTGTGCTATCATGAATCTGTTTATGCCAATTTGAAATGACATTGCATAATCTAGTCTGCTTTGATGATATAAATAATACCTGCTTCCCTAAAGGAAACTGTCCCTGGGCCCACAGGGAGCCTGGCATGCTCTTATAGGGGTTGTGCGGCTGGAACCCCATGTGACAGCTCAAGATGGAATCAGAAAGTCTCCTGGCAGGCCGCTTCTCACTATGGCCCTGCTATGGACCTGCAGAGAGCCGCTATGGAAGCTCCCGCCACAGGTGGCCTGAGGAGATGATCAGTCTTTAGGACAAACATGCGTGTGTTTATGGGATTACTGTGCAGGCCCACAGGCCAACTGTGAGCACTGTGCTGACTTTAGGAAGCGAGCTAAGAAGTTTGAGGCCCATTGGGTTTTGAAGCGGAGGTATCTTTTCTACCGGAGCTGCCCCTCCAAACTGAAGCGACTGATTTTTCAGGCCTTGTGTCTGTGGTCCCTGTATGTCTCCAGGTCAGACGGGAAGGCAGCATTGGGATCTCATGTTAAAAGGGTGATAGTTGAAAAATAAAAATTAGAAAATGGATACTAATGTCCTCACGGCCTCCAAATTCCCTCCTTTTTCTCCTTCTTTTTAAATCTAGAAAGCCTATGGGAAATGATTAGAAATGATGTAATTTGAGAGGAAAAAATAGCATCGTCAAAGAGAGTCTGAGACTTGGCATCATGGCTCTCCCGCCCCCTGGGAAGTATTCCAGCTATTCCTGGCTGAGCCCGTTGTGAATATTCCCAGGGTAATTCCCTGAATACAGGCTCCCAAATCAGGAAGGAGCTTCGATGATCACCCTTATTGATGGGGTTGAGATCATTGTGCAGTGGCTTGAGGGAGCCCCATATTTTGCTTTTCAAAAAAAAAGGACTCATGATTTTTATATCCACTCTCCCAACAACCCCCGCAAGCCTCCATCACCTTCTGCCAGCCAAGATAAATCTGAGTATTCCAGGTTTCTTTGAAATGGAAACCTCAGTAAATAAGATCCAAGACTGACTTTATGAATTTGTTTCAATGCTGACGCCTGTTAAATCAACAAAGAATAAAAAATAAAGAAGAATTTAAATGTTAGAGTGACAGCCCATGTTTACAGTTTAGCAAAACAGCGTTGCTTCAGAAATCAGTGACAAAATTAAAGCGAGGATTGGGCTTTTGGTATCTGTCTGTATTATTTTGGCATTTGTAACTCATACTATTTATTTATCCATTAATCTGGGCACGATTTTGTAAGCTACTTGAAGACAGAAGCAGAGTTTAAAGGGACTGGAGCTCTTGGCACAGGTCAGCTTGCTTATTTCAAGTGTGAATCACAAACCTAGAATGTCGGAGAGCAGCTGAGGTGGGCTGGGGTAGTGCAGAAGGGAATAGAGGAGACTGAGGCCCGAGGCGGTTATCCTCCCTCAGCTCTAACTTACTGGGCCATGTGGAAGCTGGGCCGGTGCGGCCATGTCTTCTAATTTTTCTAGAGAAATTCAAAATCTGCATTTGTCATGTAAAATCTTCCAATTTGCAAATGTTGATGACTAATTCATTTAGTTGATAGAGTTCAACTTAGTTGAATTAGTTCAACATACACCTGCAGCTGCTTTAACCCACAGGCACTTGAGGCTGCCTTTGGTTTAGAAACTAGTCTAGAAACTGGAGACTCTCAGGCAGCACAGCCATTGACACTGGACCCTCTCGAGTCAAGTCGTTCCATCCCTGGGCAGCCATGCACAATTGGCTGTTCTCGCCCGTGGAGTTTTAGAAACTGCATACCCACCCAGCGTCAATCCCAGCTCAAAGTTCTTCAGGAGTGGAAACTAGATGTGTGCCTGTTTTTATAAAATTATTATTCTTATGATTTTGAGGCAGCATTTTGCTCTCTCACCCAGGCTGGAGTGCAGTGGTGTGATCAAAGCTCACTGCAGCCTCAAACTCCTGGGCTCAAGGGATCCTCCCCATTAGCTGGGGCTACATGTGTGTGCCACCATGCCCAGCTAATTTTTTTTTTTTTTTAGTAGAAATTAGGTATTGCTGTATTGCCCAGGTTGGTCTTGAACTTCTGGGCTCTAGTGATCCTCCTGGGCCTCCCAAAGTGCTGGCATTACAGGTGCGAGCTACTGTGCCCAGGCTGAAATTATATTTTGCTGCGGTAAAATATTCATAAGTAAAGCTTACTGTCTTAACCATTGTTTAAGCGTGCAATTCAATGACGTTAAGAAGATACACATTGCTATGCAGCCATCATCACCATCCATCTGCAGAGCTCCTCTCATCTTGCAAAACTGGAACTCTGTCCCCATTAAACAGCTTCTCATTCCCCCCAGCTCCTGGAAACCACCACTCTATGTTCCCTGTCTATGAATTTGTTCTACTCTAGGAACATCATGTAAGCAGAATCATGCAGTATCTGTCTTTCTGTGACTGGCTTATGTCACTTAGCATAATGTCCTCAAGATTTATCTATGTTGTAGCATGTGTCAGGATTTCCTTTCTTTTTTTTTTTTTTTTTTTTTTTTTTGAGATGGAGTCTCTCTCTGTCGCCCAGGCTGGAGTGCAGTGGCACAATCTCAGCTCACTGCAAACTCCGCCTCCCGGGTTCAAGTGGTTCTCCTGCCTCAGCCTCCTGAGTAGCTGGGACTACAGGTGCACGCCACCACACCCGACTAATTTTTGTATTTTTAGTAGAGATGGGGTTTCACTGTGTTAGCCAGGCTGGTCTTGATCTTCTGACCTCGTGATCCACCAGCCTCTGCCTCCCAAAGTGCTGGGATTACAGGTGTGAGCCCCCTCACCCAGCCCTTCCTTCCTTTTTAAGGCTGAATAATATTCAATTGTATAGATACACCACATTTTGTGCATCCATGTATATGTCAGTGGACACTTGGGTTGCTTCTGCCTTTTGGCTATTGTGAATAATGCTGCCGTGAACTTGGATGTAGAAATATCTGAGTCCCTGTTTTCAATTCTGGACATGCCTGTTTTTAAAGGTGATGATTCTAATGAGCCCTCTGCTTTCAGAACGTCTCTCACCTGGCGGTAGCCGGTCCCTTCTCTGCACTGCATTTCAGCCACATCGCCTGTTACATCACCTGACTGTTACAGGTAAATGCCTAGTGCAAGTTTCTGACTCTAGGTGACCTAGCAGAAAAGGAATCAATGGAGGGAGAGTGGCCAGCTCATCAACTCAAGGTGGAGGCTGAGGAACCTGCTTCAGGGGTAACAAGGACAAGTGAGATCCTGCTGCAGGAGTAGTCTACCTTGGATGCCACCACTGTCCCCATTGCCACGAGACAGTAGCTGCTATCACAGCTGGATTCCACCACTGGACTCTAGCCCCGGTGGTCTCCACTACCCCCCACAGGTGCTCATCTCCATTCCTCTGAAAGCTTGAGTCTGCTGCAGCCACCACAGATGTTCTCAAATAAGCCCCCTGCCTGTCCATCAACCCCTTGAGATCCAACATCCTGGGTAGGAGCATTTGATTGGCCTCCCATAGCCCATGGGCCCAAGCTATAGGTGTCCAGGGTTGGGGGGAGGAAACAGATGCCACCTTTGGCTTCCAGAGGGGCCATGGGAGCCCTGCCTTTTGTGTGGCTGGGAATTCATAAGAAGAGGACTCATAACCCATGGTGTGCTGGAGCTGGCAGGACCCACTCACCAGAACGCTTGTCTCTTCCCAGTTCCAGGTTCAGGGACATCATATTGGCAGCCTGGATTTGGCAGTGATGGGAGTATTTACACCACAGAAATGGGCAAAAATGACAAACTGGGGCTTTGCTGTTCCTTCAGAGAGCCATTTTGCCAGCACACCGTTGGTTCATATACCAGACAGCCAAAGTGACAGGTGTCATCTTTGAAATAGTCATCTCTGCAAATTAGATTGTTGAACTGAGTTGAAGGAATGAAGAGAGAAAGAGAGACAGAGAGAGAGAGAGAGAGAGAGAGCAGAAATAAGCACACACACACAAAGCCTCGATGTATATCTGCAGCTGTACAAACAACTTAGAGCAATGCCACCCAGTAGAAATAGAATACAAGCCACATATGTAATTTTAAATGTTCCAGTAGCTATGTTAAACAATGAAAAGAAACATAAAATTAATTTTAATAGTGTGTTTCATTTAACCAGTATTTCTAAGAGGTTACCATTTCAGCTTGTAATCAATACAAAAATTATTGAGATAGTTTACTTTTTTTTCTTCCTATGAAAAAGTATGTATTTCTAGTATGTATTTCACACCTGTGGCACATCCCAATTTGGATGGACACATTTCCAGTGCTCAGGAGTTCCATGTTCCTAGGAGCTGCCATATTGGACAATGTAGGCCTGATGTATTTCAATAATGCTGTATGATGGTCTTTAAACCATCTCCCAGTGGTGGGTTATGAAGGACCAACTGTGTTCCTCTCTTACAGAAGTGGAAAATTAGAAATTCTCAAATTGTATGAAAGTGAGTTATGCATCTGCCTGTCTGCAATTGGTTGATCTGGGTAGAGGGTGGGTCATTTAATGCTGATCCTATCTTATGAACAAATCATAAATATTGCTGATGGTGTCAAGCATAACCTTGCAAATGTATATGTGTGTGAGATGAGGTGGAAGACGGAGAGAGGACAGGGCACCGTAACCTCAGGTGAGTGAAGATGTCTAAGGGATCCTCGCAGAACTACTAGGTTGGTTCTCCCCACTTTCCAGAAAATATATCTACAGGGTGAACACATGAAGGTGCCAGAGGAAGGGGCACCTGGAGACAACGTAGGAGCTCTGGGGCCCTCCTTCATGCCATGCCACTGTCCTCCTTCACCTGGATCCTTTGCAATATCCTTTATCATAAACTGGTAAACATCAACAGAAAACATGTCTACCACATATGCCTGCTAAGTGAACAGCTAATCCCTGTTTAAAGACCCTGATGGAAACAGGTGCTTTCATTATTGTTGGCAGGAATGTTCATTTTGGAGGGCAATTTGACAACAGCTATGGGCATTTCAAACACGCAAACTCTTCAGCACTAGTGTTTTTCTAGGAATGATCATAGATAGGAAGTCCCATGCACATGCCAAACTATGTGAGCAAGTATATTATTGCAAATACTGAAAATAATGAAAATGGCCCTCCACGAGGGACAGGTTATGTCCATTCTGTGGAACATGTAGCAGCCGCTACAAAATGGGGCCTATGTATAAATGATGTGGAAAGAAAACCACAGCCTATGTGGAAGTACACAAAGAAAAAGGCAAGTTGCCAATCTTAATAATATACTATTTTTGTGGCAAAACGAAATTCTTTTTAGTGTGGGCATTGAAAGGAAAATTTGGAAGAAATACAATCAGGTTATATGCAGGTGTGGAACTAGGATAGGAGAACTCAGGGAGGGAATTTTACTTTATATACATTGATAATGTTTGAAATTCTACAATGATCTTGCATAGGTGCTATAATCATAGAAAGATATAAAATAATAAATAAACACAAAAACATAATTTAAAAGAAAAACACCCGCTGGGCACAGTGGCTCATGCCTGTAATCCCAAAACTTTGGGAGGCTGAGGCAGGCAGGTCACCTGAGGTCAGGAGTTCAAGACCAGCCTTGCTAACATTGCGAAACCCCATCACTACGAAAAATACAAAAATTAGCTGGGCATGATGGCAGGTGCCTGTAATCCCAGCTACTTGGGAGGCTGAGACAGGAGAATCACTTGAACCGAGGAAGTGGAGAGTTACAGTGAGCCGAGATCGTGCCATTGCACTCCAGCCTGGGCAACAGAGCAAGACTCCACCAAAAAAAAAAAAAAAGAAAAACACCCAGTGCTGCCAAGGCCACTGGGTCACACGTTCTCGGGTTCTCCAGGTGGGAGTGTAGATTGATTCTGCCTTGCTGGAGGGACCTACTTGACGACATACATTTGCTGATTCTACCCTAGAAGTTAATCCAAGGAGAAACTGATTTAGAACATATCTATGTATGTGGAAGGATGTTCATTACTGTCTGATTTATATAAAAATGTTGAGGGGGGATGAAATGTTCATTTATAGGGAGATATTTCAATAAGTCACAGGGTAGGCCAGGTGTGGTGGCTCAGGCCTGTAGTCCCAGCTACTCAGGAGGCTGAAGTGGGAGGATCGCTTGAACCCAGGTGGTCGAGGCTGCAATGAACTATGATTGTGCCACTGCACTCCAGCCTGGGTGACAGAGTAAAAACTTCTCATAAATAAATAAAATCACAGGATAGCATACATTGAGATCCTCAGTTGAAAGGGTTATATAAGGGTACATTTATTGGCACTGAAAGGTATCACAATATATTACTAAATGAATAAAGCCGACTATAAGCCTGCCTGTGTAGTTTAATTCCAATCTGTATCATATATTTGATTATATGTGTGCATATGCAAATAAGAAAACCTGTAACTACCTATATCAGGGTATCATGAGCAGTGGCTTTCTCAGAGTAGTGAGATTATAGAAAATTTTTGTCTTCTGCATTGTTTTTAAAATGGTCTAACTCATTTACAATGAGTACATGTAATCCCTTTACTATTCAAAAAAATAATGGGGCCAGGCGCCGTGGCTCACGCCTGTAATCCCAGCACTTTGGGAGGCCAAGATGGGCAGATCATGAGGTTAGGAGATGGAGACCATCCTGGCCAACATGGTGAAACTCTGGCTCTACTAAAATAGCTGGGCATGGTGGTGCTCATCTGTAGTCCCAGCTACTTGGAAGGCAGAGGCAGGGGAATCGTTTGAACCCATAAGATGGAGGTTGCAGTGAGCTGAGATCGCAACACTGCACTCCAGCCTGGCGACAGAGCAAGACTCCGTCTCAAAATAATAATAATAATAATAATAATAATAATAATAATAATAATAAGGAAGATCTCTATTTCAAAAATTGCTATTGAGAGTAGCTGCAAACTCTCCCTTTCTTTCTCTCCACAACGGTTTCAAGGTAGAAATGGTAAAACCGTCATCCTGGTATCGCTGACTATGAATGCCATGTGTAATGTGTGGACTGTGACCCAGTGTCTGTGAATCTTGTTTTAAAGGCTTTAACACTGTTTCAGTTGTGAATCATGGAATGTCATTTGATCTACAATAGCCAAGCATGATTAACAAATTCTCACATGGGGGCTCTTTTTAAAATTCTGTGTGGTGTGTATGTGTTTAATTTAATTCAAAAAAAAATTTTTTTTTTCAGGCAGAGTTTGGCTCTGTCACCCAGGCTGGAGTACAACGGTGCAATCTCCGCTCACTGCAACCTCCGCCTCCTGGGTTCAAGCGATTCTCCTGCCTCAGCCTCCCAAGTAGCTGGGATCACAGGTGCACACCACCACACCCGGCTAATTTTTGTATTTTTAGTAGAGACAAGGTTTCACCATGTTGGTCAGGCTGTTCTTGAACTCCTGACCTCAAGTGATTCACCCGCCTTGGCCTCCCAAAGTGCTGGGATTACAGGCATGAGCCACTGTGCCTGGCCTAATTTTAAAAGCAAACAAAATCCAAGTTTTTCGGGGAAGGGGATGGAGTTATTCCAGCTGAAGAGGCTGTTTAGGGTTATCAAGGGTCCCCGCGTTCACTCATGCCCATTGTGCCTTTTTACAAGGCCCATGGCAAGCATTTTTCAAATGAATGGATTGATTTTAAAATCTGAGTGTAACACTGAACACACTCCGGAGTCTTTCAGACAACAGCAGCATTAAAGATAAGCTGTCTGTTCCTTGTCTTGGTGAACCATCTCCCAAGACAAGATTTAAGATTTTGGTGTGAGGGGCAGCAGTTTGTTGTGAGCATCAGCCATTGCTTGGAAAACAAAACCCCTTTATTTTTCCAATTCAGGTGACATGGGGCCATGTTCCATGGCTCACTATGTTTGATTTTCAAGGGTGCTGTGATTCAGTGGCCCCAGGAGTCAACAGGCTTCCCAGCCCGGGGTGATATGCTGCCACCTGGTGAGGGGGGAATGGGGGGGTTGGGAAGCACAGAGCCAGGGCTGAAGACCTAGGCCTGGTCGAGGGGGGTGCTTGCCCCCACCCCACACACACCTGCCCACCCTCGCCCAGATGGGGGAAAAGCTGATGTTAGCTCACACCCCAGGCTTCAGACATTGAGGCCAGAAGTTTGCTGGATGGGATGGGCCCCAGGACAACAGCTCACTCCAGCCTCACCACCTGCTGTCTCTCTTGTTGGGCTCAACACAGGCCTTAGCACAGGCCTGGCACTAACTAGCATCCTGAGAAAATGCTCAGCAAAAGTGCTAAGCGCTATTATTGCTACTGCTACTACTAGGACTATTTCTAGAGGTTTGCTTAAAGCAAAACAAAACAAACTCACATATGTGGTATCACAAATCCTGCATTCCTCACGAGGAGCTGCCCCACAGGTCTCCCCAGTAACAGCTGAATGGAATAGGAGTCATTCCCTCAACAGAGGAAATGCAGCTCCCACCCAGAGTGGAGGGGATGAGATTTGCCCGTGGACATGTCTACAATGATAATGGTTCCAGGAGCTCTGCTGAGCCCTTGTGTGCCTCATTGAATCCCATGAGATCAACACATTATCACCCCCATTTTACAGATGAAGATGTCAAGGCTTAAAGAGCTAAAGCACAAGGTAAGGAAGCTAGGAAGGGTGGGACAGGGATTTGAAGGCAGAGACCTCCTGATGCCAGGGCTCTCCACCAGGACACAGCGCCACCCCTGTGACACCCTGTCACACTGTCCTGGAATCAGCCAGCAGAGGCAATGTCTGTGGAGATTTGAATTCGCCCAGTGCCTGGCTGTCATTTCTGTGAGCTAATATCAGCTTTTCCCCCATCTGGCCAAGGGTGTGCAGGGACAGTGGGGCAGCTGTGGGAAACTAGGGGGAGGAGAGCAGGGCGTTTGCTGTTGGAATCTGAGAAAAATTGGTAGCACTGCTCCTGTCTGTATTTAAACATTTTATATTTTGTTCATCATGAATTTCTGCATCAATTTTGATTTTATATATATACACACATATGCGTGTGTATATACGTGTGTGTATATATGTTTATGTGTGTATGTATATATATATTTTTTATTAAAATATATATATATTTTATTAAAATATATATATATTTTAATAAAAAATATATATATTTTAAATTGAGACTGAGTCTCACTCCAGACTGGAGTGCAGTGGCACCATCTCAGCTCACTGCATACCTCCGCCTCCCAGGTTCAAGAGATTCTCGTGCCTCAGCCTCCTGAGTATCTGGGACTACAGGTGCCTGCCACCATGCCCGGCTAATTTTTGTATTTTTAATAGAGATGGGATTTCACCATGTTGGCCAGGCTGGTCTTGAACTCCTGACCTCAGGTGATCCACCCGCCTTGGCCTCCCAAAATGCTGGGATTACAGGCGTGAGCCACTGTGCTCAGCCTTTACAAAAAAATTGTATTAAAATACTCTTTATCATGATAGCTGAGTTTTTTGGTGCCCCCTTCAATTTTGTGCCCAAAGGAAGTGCCTCACTTACCTCATCCTGGCCCTATTTGCTTCTCAAGGCCCACTTTCTCCTTAAGACCCAGGTAGCAAAAAGCAGTTCTAATCTAACTATTGTATTTTACTTTGGGAGACAAACTTAATTAACTTAATCAGAATATTTTTCTGACTCTGTCCTGTCAACCAGTTTGAAATGGCAAATTAATTAATGAGTCTGAACCAAAATATAGTTACTATTTAAAACCTTAACATTAATAAAATCTTGGTTCTCCCTTCCCTTCCCTTCCTTTCCCTTCCCTTCCCTTCCCTTTTCTTTTCTTTCCTTTTTTATTTTAACAAGTGTTTCTGTGTAGGAAACACAGGCTGAAACCTGCTTTGGGTAACATGCTCTGAATTTAGATGACCACAAAATCTATTTTGAGAAATAATCGCTCACTTATTAACCACTCACTCGTGCCAACACCTAGTAGGTGGGCGCTCAATAAGTGTTTGTTGGCCAAAGGAATGACTATTGGGGACGGACCCCAGCCTCACTGGCAGGGAGAGCCTGGCCCCCAGCACCTTGCCGGGGAGGCTCCTCTGGGCCTGACTGAGCCCCATTCAGCCCCCATGTGCAGAGGATGACTCAGCCTGTGACTTCATTCACCCAGCCTGGTGTTTATCCACTCACCACAAACCGGTTGATACTGTTTGGAGCTACCCCGAGGTGACGCTCTGCTGGTGGAGAATGACATGCAGTCAGCTTGTGGCCTCTGGGGCCAAAACAGCTGAAATGCTGTGGCTTCTGAAGAACCCATTGTCTGCTAGTCAAGCGTGAGGACAAGGAAGGTTCTGGTGCTGCCCCCCAGCTCCCTCTGAGAGGCATTTTGGCTTCCATGTGGGTGCGGGACAGACCACAGCAGGGGGCCCTAGCAGGGCTCTGACCCCAAGCGTGGAAGAATGGACCCTGGCATGGGGATCCCTCATAGAAGCCCCTCAAAAAATACTGTGGGGGTCCAGATAGAGCTGGAAGGAGCTGAGGAGTTTAGAAGGCAGCTTTGCTCATTCCAAATGCATTCTTACTTGGTACCATCTGATGCTGTCATGGACCCTCTTAATAGATTGCAAGAGAAGATGGGAATGACGGAGCATACACTGGTGCTTTTTTTTTTTTCTTTTGAGACAGAGTCTTACTCTGTTGCCCAGGCCAGAGTACAGTGGTGTGATCACAGTTCACTGCAGCCTCAGCTTCCTGGACTCAGGTGATTCTCCCAACTCAGCCTCCCCAGTGGCTGGAACTACAAGCACACCACAACACACCATGCCACTAAGTTTTTGTATTTTTTGTAGAAACGGGGTTTTGCCATGTTGCCCAAGCTGGTCTTGAACTCCTGGGCTGAAGCCATCCTCCCATCTCAGACTCCCAAAGTGCTGGGATTACAGGCATGAGCCACCGCGCCTGGCCTCACACTAGTGCCTTTGAAAGCAGCTGTCACAGTACACATCACCATGGAAATAATTTCCAGACAATGGAAAAAATTCTATCAGTGGCAACAAGAAAAGCATTGGCAGGTACAATAGGCACTATGCTTAACGGTTTATCCCACTGCCTCATTTAACCCCCAAGGAGGTGGGTCCTGTTATTACCCTGACCTTACAGAGGAGGAGACTGAGGCACCAGAGCTCAAGTAGCCTACTGAGGTCACACATGAGCCTACATGAGCCATGGAGTGGAGTGACCAACTGGAGGCACGACCAAATCGGGCAACACACAGCCAGGATCTTAAAGGGAAGAGATGACCAGGAGGAGGGAAGACAGGAGGATGGGAGAGGAGATTGGTGCCTGATTGTGTTTGGACACAGTAGGGTTCTTATGAGCGGAGGATGGGAGGGGGAAGGTTGAGCATCCATCTCTCCCATCTCCTGTGGCCAGGTCTGTTACAGCAGCCAGCCCTGCACGCCTTCCCCAACAGCCTCGCTGGGGCAGTTCATGGTTCAAAGCCTACAGCCCTCCATCTGAGTTACTGTGAGTCTGTGTGAATATAAAATACAAAAGGCATCTCTGATGCCCTCACAGCCCCTAGAACCATGGAGACCATGGTCATAAGTGAATTCAAAAGTTGTCTATTAAACGGGGTGCTGTAATGTTCCATTTTATTTTTTCCTACACTGGACACCTGTGCACTGATAGAGACTCATATATAGGCTGTACCTTCTGCCCATGGCTGTGGGGAACCAGGACTGCAGAGGAAGCATGTGAGTGAAGCCACCGGAAGCAAGCAAATGGAACAAAACCAGCACCACGACCACCACCACCACCACCACCACCATCACCACCATCACCACAATACAAATACTCTCTTTGATTGGTCCTCTGGGTAGATAAAATGTTATCAAATCACCTCCAAGCTTTCTTTACTGATTCTTCATCTGCTCAAACTATTTTTTAAGATTTGAACAGAATGACACCTAATGATCACTGTCTGAGGAGTTTAGGGTTTTTATTTTCTTGCCTGTAACACTCAGTGGTGACCAGGACGAGGAGCATGTATGTGTTGAAGGGTGCGGGCTGCGTGAAGCCTCCCTTCTGCCCCATCCGCAATCCCTGACATCTCACTACTCACATTCTTAGATCAGTCTCCGCCAGGTCTGAACATTTTGGAAATAAAAATCAGATAAAAATGAAAAAGTGAAACTGAAAAAAAAAGAAAGCTAAAAGTGAAATGACCTAAAAGAATGACCCCATGGTCTCAGGCTCAAGAAAGAGGAGACAGGGAGTGGCGAGACGTTGACGCCTGGATCATGCATTGGTTAGACATGCAATTAATAGAAGCAGCCACAGCCAGGCATGGGGCGGGCACTGGGGTACAGGTGGGGTTTCCCAGCCTTGCCCCAAGAGCTAAGGGGAGGAAGGAAAATGACCCCTCTCCACATTACAGCAATGACAGAGAGGACAACCCTTGGGGGCTCTCTTTCTTCTAGACAGAGCCTCATTTCTTTCTGTGTCTGGCTGCTACAACTTCCCTGAACTGGCTTCAGCTTCTTCTGTCTCTGTATCTTCATGTTTCTGTTTTCTCATCTGTAAAATGGGGATAACGCTGGTGCCTACAAAATGAAAGCATGCATGTAAAATGCTTACAACCCTGCTTGGTGCCCGATAACACAATGAGCTCTTATCAGCACCATTGTTATTTTTATTTCTGGTAGTAATGCTCTGCCATTTCTGCAGAGTAGCTTCTCCTTCCCACCTGCCTGCCCCCAGGTGAGTTGGCTTTTCTTTTTTCTTTCTTTTTAACCTCACAGACAAGTCTTCTCATCTGCTCTTGTGATTTTGAAGTCTCCAGGTCCTATGACTTTGGCATTCTCTAAGGAGCTACCCACATCACTTAGAAGCTTCTGGGACACAACAGCCCTTATTGAATCCCAGTGCTGGGAGCCTGTTTCCTGGGCCCCATGGCTTGCCTTGGACTGGTGCTCCAGGTACAGGGCCTGTCAGGGGCGTCTGTCCTCTATTTCAGGCCACCACTGCAGAGGGGCCTGTTGGGGAATCACTCGTGTCCATGAAAAACACTCAACAAAAAGATGCCGACGACGTTGACACAGGTTCCAGCAGGGTCAGAATGTCTAGTTTCCACATGAAAACACTGTGAGGCAGCCAGGAGGAGAAAGTCTCTGAAGCTGTGCCTTCAGAAGCCGTTTTCTCCTTGCACCCTGCTGCCCTTGTCTGTCAGCCGTCTGCTTGCTCACTTTCAGAAACTCGAATGACAAACCTGCAACCGTCAGAGGATCTCTCACAGAGGTGGCCTTGCCTCTGCCACTCCCTGTCACCAGTCTGGGCCTCTCTTGGGGCTAGGGGGCGAGGCTGCCGAGAAAGTTCAGGTGACTCAACTGCAGTCAGGTCAGCCAGCAAGGGATTTGTCCTGAGCCTATCTCTCCTGGATGCCACCAGCAGGGCCAGCCTACAGGCTGAGCAGAGAGGCTGGAAGAGACCAGAGGACCGAGATTTTCCAGGGGAGGGCAGAAGAACATGCTCAGCTCTGGGTGGGGACCTCCTGTTGGGATTCCCATTCCTTGTCTCACCAGGACAGACCAAGGAAGCAGCCCGTGCTTCCCCAAAGCAGGCGCTAGTCCCTGGCATTACTGCCTCTGACCACCTGTGTGGCTTTGACTGTGGTTCCCGACCATCCTGGGCCTCGGTTGCCTTATTCAGTAGGGAGAAGAGAGAATGGATGATTTGCAACTGCCTTTGCCTGCCAGCATTCATGAGACTCAGATATGATTTGGTACCTGCGGCCTTTGTCCCAGGTAGTGGCCTACTTGCGTGCTCTGTCCTCGGTGGTCACCGCAGAAGGCTTAGCATGGACGTAGAATGCATTCTTTTTGCTTTCAATCAAGGCATTCCCCCCCCACCCCCACCCCCCCACACACACAAAAGCGTCATGCAGCCTGTAGTGTTTAAGGACTTGGAATATTCAGCTCCTTGTCCTGAGCTCAGAGCCTGGCCTGTCAACAGCAGCAGGAGGGAAGGGGGAGAGTTTGCGGAGAGCTCCTAATCCCGTGTGAGCAGAAAGAATGTGGTTTGGTTTCTTTTCAGGCATGTCAGCTTTTACGCTGGGCTTAGTTAAAAATGACAGAATGGGAACTGCCTTAAGAATGATTTTCCGATGTCTCCATAAATAACGAGACTAGTTTGTGTGCAGGTTTTGAGGAATATCTTGCTACTCCAGTTTTGCACGTTAACTGGATCTTACTTGGAAACAGTATTTCTAACGTCTTTCCCCACACCTAAAAATCTGCTGGAGAAAAGTGAATTCATGTTTTTGAAAAACATGGCATTTTTCACCCCATTGCTTTGTGAGCCTACTTCAGTGAATGTGGTAATCTTCTTATTGAATATTTATTGTGTGTGCAGAAGAGAAAAGAGGCAGTGAAGAAGCAGGAAAATACCTTCTGAGGGAAATATACTTTCCTAGTCAATGCACTGCATACCCAGGGAGCAAAAGTGTCAATTGAATGACTCTTCCCAACCATCACCTTGCTCTTGGCAAGTTCATCAGGTATCCTTCTATGGCAGAAAAGAAAAGCCCCTTTTTTTCCTGGCTGGCTTCCTAAACACAACAGGAGGCTCCAGGGGGTCTAGTTAGCAGGCTGAGGCTCTCTTGTACCCAGCCTCACCTGCGTACCTAAGCATTCAGGAAAGACCAAACACCTTAAAGTGGAGTGCAAGATGGAAGCATTGTCGTTCATCTTCTAAACTTCAGTAAGTGGAAACATTTTCCATGATTGGAGAGGAGCCTCTTCCTCGAAGCAGCCACTTACCCTCTAAGCTGTATATTTCACAAAGTTAAATTTTTATGTCTAGTGTCATCAGTTTCCCTTAGAGGAGAACATCTGTAAGTAGACCATCACTGCGGGCTAGGCAAATCCCATCGTGTATTGATTCTGCCCTCTGTCTACTGATTGCTCACCTGGACTCCAATATATATAACAATATAATTTCTCAGGGCCTTGTGTATTTTCCCATTAGGTTCAGTTTACTCTAATTGCCAGGACCTCACTTTGGTGGTTGGCTGGATGCAGGGAACTTTTTTGGCAGTGAGCCGTGGGTTCCTTCTCATCTTGCTTCTGAGCTCTTAGAGTGCCTTTCTTGAGGAACCTTACTAAGACCCTCCCAGCTGTCCCAAACCCTTCAAAGGCTAGCTTACACTTGTTCCTTCTGAACAAAGCCCACTCCAGCTAAAATCAAGTATGGTGGACAATTCAGCTAGCTCCTTTGCTGGCGTGACATAGCACTGAACATTTCTAAAAGCAGCTCCATGCTCTAGAACACACATGTCTAAGCTTAAACTCTGCATGCAGAATACACTGCCCTGCCATAGACAGATGTTGAGCAGTCTGACTTTGCATTGTGGACACTGTATATAATTACCTTTTATCTGTTTCATCCTACAGGACTCTTCAATGCTTGCTGGTACTATTTTTTAGGATGTAAACTCCTTCTATAGAGCAAGTCTGCTAATCTTGCTTGGCACAACGGCCAAAAGCACGCTACGTGCAGGCAGATAAGTATTTTGATGGCACCCAAAACAGCCCCGTGTGTCCTTGTTAAATTTATTTATAGCCTTTGGCCCTTCTGAAAAGCATGATAGGCTGTGATTTTCTTAGTTAAATAAAAAAAAAATCATACACATATAGTGTTACTTTTCCTATAAGGCATGGGCGGCTTGTTCCCATTTACAGGTAGAGAAGGGCAGACCCATTTTCTGCCCTGTAGCTTTGGGCTCCTTTTAGAGATGATGTCTGGAATGACAGTGGCATCTAGGTGCTGGTGTTGGACAGTGGGAGAAATTGTTTGTTTCTAATCCCTTAGAAGTATTTTTGTTTCAAGGAGAACCTAATTTGCTTTTGATTTCATTGATTTTCACTTTTTTCCCCTACCCCTTGCCAAGATATAAGGTAAGCAAGGAAAGGCATTGAATAAACAGAAGGCCAGAGTTCAAATCTACTTTTTATAAAAGTGGTGACTTTGCTGGTGGCAGAGTCTAGGAAGCATGAGAAATCCTCTTTTGGAATGAGTTGGTGCACAGAGCACCTTCTCCCATGCCCTGTCCTGACTTCTCCTTAAGGAAATAGACACAGCATGGTAGCCGGGCAATGCCATCTCTCCAGCCACCTCCCACCTCCTTCCCCCACCTCCAAAGTGGTGCTCATTTTCTCTAAATGTGTATATGCCTCAGATAAACCAACATGGATAAAATTGAGTAAGTCATCTCTGGGTTTTCTTTAATTTTCCTCAGGTTAAAGGGGACACTACTTCTCTACTACTCCCCTACATTAAACAGTGGTTGGGTTTCATTAATAATTATGCAGTGTTTCATTATTGCAATGTGAGCAGGTCAGCCTTCCAAATTCTTTTTAAGAGCACCAAACAGACAGAAGAGCTTTCTTCACCTCTTAGGTGAAGACAATTCCAACCTGATTTAAATGATAAGGGGTAGGTGGGTGCAGCAGCGGGAAGCTCATGCTTGTGTGGTATTAAGCTTCTGTCCAAGGATATAGAAAAGGTGGATATCCTGGAAGGATGTTGAGCTACAATTTTATGATAAAGGTATTGCTTAACCCATTTTCCAGGGGATGAAGTTGTAGTTAAAAAAGACCTATGCCTGAAGCTTGGCAAAGAATGAATTCCTGGAATTGCCTCTCTCCCTTCTCTATCCCATTCTCTATCCCACCCACCCACTTACCTATAATCCTCATATTTCCCACGAATGCCTGAACTTGAACTACAGTTGCCTGTTCATTGGATTATTTTACAAATCAGGAAGTCACATTTTAAAACCTGGGACCCCGGTCATTTACCTACCTTCACCCCAAGGTTCTAAATCCACTAGGATACAAGGACTTTTTTATTACCAAACAAATCAGACAAAAAATGTAAAAAATCAGACTTTAAATGTTTTATTTTGTTGATTCTGTACACCGTCAGGAAACAAGGTTAGAAGTAAAATAAAGTGCCAGTTAAATTCGGCTACTACCAACAACCAAAACCTTAAACATAGAAAATCAAAGTAAACTGCGGAAAGGTCATAGCATAACCTTGGGTAAAGGAATTTGTTAACGTCTGTAACAAATCGAAACTGACTACGTATGTAGCTCTTCAACTGCAAGACGGCGAGAAGGAAGACCTGCGGGCCGCGCTGGTCAAGGGCCCGGCCCGCTGAGGAACAGCGGAAAGCGCCTTCCCGCCGTCGCCACCGCAGCTGGGATCCGCCGAGCAGCGGGCGGTTCAGGGCTCCCGGTACTCCTGCGTGTTAATGAGAACGTTCATTAGCGCTCTTGACAGGACGGCGACTGTGAGACGCCTGGTTACCTATTTTAGTAAATCGGGAACACTGGATGCAAGGCGGTTGGTTTTCGTTTTTAAGCAAGCTTAAATGTTGGTTACGCTACTTTTGGGGAAAGGGAAACGAAAGGTGAATCTCGAGTTCTAAGTTGCTTTCTAAGAAACCCCCAGGATTTAAGAGCGAAAACTCTCTGCGACAAAACACTGGATACGCGAGTCTTAAATACAGCTCTCCAAACAGCTGGTCTACAAAAGTGGACCCACGTCCCAACCCAGCGCACCCTGCGTTGTCCTCGCCCCTACCCACCGCACCCCGACGCCGACCACCTGTCCGCCGAGGGTCCGTCCGTCTGCCACGTCCCAGACCGTCTGCACCGCCTAACTGGTCTTTTTCTGCCTCTTGAGTTCCGGCAGCCTCCTTTGATAGGACCTGGCCGGCGGGAACAAGGGCGCCCGTGGCCTCTGGCGGAGGAGAAGGAAAAGAACCACCCCTCCGCCCCCGCCACTGCTCGAGCGCAGCCCCTAGTACTGGGAGCCGGCGTGCTCCGCTCCGGGGAGGTAGCGCTCGGGGATGGCCTCTCGCTGCACCCGGGGCGCGCCAACCACGGCAAGGCGCCCTAAGTTCTACATCGGCCCCGCGAAGCGCGCAACTCCAGGGACAAGGAGAGAGATGTGCTGGGTGAGAGCGAGCACTTTCTGCCTAAAGCCGCTGGAACCGACCCAGAACCCCAAACTGCCCCGAGGCGCCATCGAACATCCGCTCTGGTCACTTTAACGTCCCAGGGGTGGGGGCGGGGAAGGGGGTGCCCGACAGTCCCTTCCTCTGGACTGGAAGGTTCGAAATGCTTTCCTTGCTCGGCCTCGCTCTCCCAGACGCAGGGAGCAGGGGCGCGGAGAAGCTGAGCGAAGGGAGGCCGGGCCGAGGTCGCGCCCCAGGCCCAGGCCCGCCCTCACTTGGAGAATTGCGCCTGCACGGCGGCCAGGCCCAGGCTGGCCGGGACCAGGTGCGGGAACTTGCACACGGCGCAGGTGCAGAGGCCGGGGCCGCCTGCGCCGCCGCCGGGGAGAGCGAACTGGCCGCACGGCGGCTCGTCCAGCGCCAGCGACAGGTACTTGGCGGGGCGCAGCGCGTCGGGGGGTCCTACGGCGCCGGGCGCCAGCAGCACGGAGCCGGGCGCGGCGGCGAGCAGGGGCAGCCCGGCCAGCAGCAGGCGCGGCGCGGCGGGCCCGGCGCCCTCGCCCAGCGCGCGGCGCAGCTCCTGCAGCGAGCTGCCCAGCAGTAGGATGTAGTTGCGGGCGAGCAGCAGCGTGGCTATCTTGGAGAGCTTGCGGCCGGGCGCGCCCTGGCAGTGCGCCGCTGAGTAGGGCAGGATGACCTCGCGCAGGGCGTCCATGGCCAGGTTCAGGTCCTGCATGCGCTTCCGCTCGCGGCTGTTGATCTTGCGCCGCAGCTGCTGCTGCTGCTCCTCCTTGGCGTCCGGCCGGGCGCTGCCGCCCGGGTGCGCGCCTGACCCGGGCCCGGGGCCTGGAGGCTCGGCCGGCGCCTCCGGCTTCTCGCGCGCAGCCTTGGGGAGGAGGGGGGCCGTCGTGGAGGAGGAGGAAGTGGAGGAGGTGGAGGAGGTGGAGGAGGAGGAGGAGGAGGGCGGCTGCCTGTAGCCCACCAGCTCGTAGAGGGAGGCCCCGAGCTGCAAGTCTCCGGGCCGCTGTGGCCGCAGCATGGTCCCGGGGACCGCGTTCACGCGCGCCTGGGAAACCGCATAGTACATCTGGGAGGCGGTGGGGGCGGCCGAGGACGCCCTTCAGGAACGCCCTGGGGTGGGCCGGTCGGCAGGCCGCCCCTCCCCGCGGACCTGCGCGCGGGGAAACGATGGTGGGGCCCTGGCCCGCGCCCTACCCCTTTAAACCCGGCTTGGGAACCTGCGGGGCAGCGGGTGGCGGGGCGCAGCCAATGGAGGCGCGAGGCCGGGCGCAGCCGCGTGTTCATTGGCTGCTTGTGCCGGGGCCGCGCGGAGGTGCGGCTGGCACCGCTTTAGGAGGTTATTGTGAGCGCCTGTGCCAGCCGCGCGGGACAGGCCCCCTGAGCGGAGTAAGGGCGCCTTTTCAAGGCAAGCGGGGCTGTTGAAGGAGGACTGGTCGCACTGGTCAGGCTGCAACTCACGTGCCTTCCTCCAGCAACTGTCTACTCAAAAACAACCTCCCTCATATTTTTTTTTAACTGTGATCACATATTCATAACATAAAATTTACCGTCTTATGTTTAGAGTACTGTTCAGTAATGTTATATGCATTAGTGTGCACATTAAATTGATTTAAATTAAATTCACATTGTTGTGCAACCCATCTCCAGAACTCTTTTCAACTTGCAACCCTGAAGCTCCACCCATTAAACAACTCCCCACTCCCCCCGACCCAAGTTCCTGGAATTCACTCTTCTGTTCTGTCTCTATGAATTTGTTCTACTCTAGGTCCCTCATATAAGTAGAATCATACAGCACTTGTCTTTTAGTGACTGGCTTCTTTCACTTAGCATATTGTCGTCAAGGTTTATCCATGTTGTAGCATGTATCAAAGTTTCTTCCTTTTCAAGGCTGAATAATATTCCAGTATATGGATATACCACATTTGGTTTATCCATTCATTCGTTGATGGACATTTGGGGTGCTTTTGGTTGTTGCGAATTATGCTGCTATGAACATGAGTGTATCATGTTTTTTTTTTCTTAAAATACATAATTTCCTGCCAGGTTCAGGTCGCTAAATTTCTGGACTAAATGACAAGTAGCATTAGGATATTTCCTCCCTGCTGCTCCCAACCTCCTTCCCCATCCCTCTGATTGAAAGGTCTTTAGGGACAAAGGAGCCTTTGGGTCGGGTTTCTATCCTCCCCGAAAGGGATGGTCTATCAGCAACTTGACATTTGCTTAAGCAAAAGTCACTCAGAAATTGGCCTCTTATTAGAAACAAAACAAAACACCCACATAGTCCTATCGGTTGAGGGTGGGAATGAATCATTTTATTTGCCAAATAGAATAGCATTACTTGGTGTCTATGGACATTTTCTGCCCCCAGCACCAGTGCATGCTACTATAACTTGTCAATGTCCTGGGGAAGAGGGCATCTTGGTGGCTGTGCTTGCTGGTTTCAGGGCTGCTTTGTTCTGGTTTTCTTCCACCAATATTTGCCACATGGGTTCACTCTGATCTTTGCTTCTGACCCCCAGCTCTGCCTGTAGCATCCTGCCTATGCCTCAGGTTCAGCTCCAACCTTGCTTTCTTCTGGAAGCCTTGGTGATTTCTCCTCTTCCTCCTTTCATGACTCTTGGCAAACCATTGATAGGATTTCTTCATAGCCTATTGTGTTATGTAGATACCATCTCTGCATTTGGCTATGATTGTTTTACGGTAGGGACCACCTGCTCATTTCTCCATCTTCCTGAAGCCTAGCACAGTGCTTGGCACTTACTGTGTGTCCTGGAGGTCTCTAAAGATGGTCTGAAATCTCCCTTAGCTCAGAGGCTCATCCCTTAAATGCACAAACTCCTGGCAATGCTCTAACCCAAGCATTTTCCTAAAGGTTTTATAGAGAGGGAAGGAACCTGGTAAGATCTCCTGCCTCTCAGAGGGGCCTGGCCTGACATGGACGTGGTGCTGGGGGCCCCACTTTGGGAGAGAGAGGGAAGCCTTGGTAGGAAGGAGCTGAGTGCTTAAGCAGAACCATACTAAGCAGGAAGGAGAGAGAGAGACCAAGGGAAGGGTCTTGAATGTTTCAAGCAATTAAGTTTAACACCTCACTAATCATTTCGCCTTCTGTTGAAGCAGCTTGCTTTCAAGTCATTTTTACAGACACTTTCACGTTTGGTTCTCATGGGGCCCCTGTGAGCTGGGCATTTTTGATCCCTTGATGTCCATGATATAACTGAGGCTCCCAGAAGGCAGTAGATTGCTCTGTGCCTTCAGACAGGACAGGCAGAGCGGCCCCACCAAGGACTGGCTTCCTGAATTCCCTCCAGCAGAACCAGGCTTCCAGGAAGCCCAGGAGGGGGCCATGATGGGGCGGGTTGGGGATTGGGTGTAAGGATGGAGGGGCCAGCCTAGACTGTGCCAATATTGATGAGTTGGTGGGTTCCAGCCATGTTCCCCAAGAGAGTGTCCCCAGAATCCTGCCACCATAAACCCTGCTCCAGCCTCTTCGGCAATGCCCACCCTCACTGTCAGGACCCTCTGTCCTGTAGCTGAGGTGCCAGATTGGGGCAGGCCCTGGTGACATCCCCCTCCGGCTTCCTCCCCTGCACACAGCCTAGGTGGGGCCCGTAGGGTCTTACCCTGCCAGCAGAAAGAGGAAGTGAATGGGGAAGATAAAATCTAAAGCCTTGGCCTGTTGCCTAACTTGTACGCTCCCCATTTCCCACCCACAGGAAGGGGCACCCAGGAGTCAAACAGATGGAAACACACACATGCTGCCTTTCCCCTCTAGAAGCACCCCTCTTTCCTGTGGGTGTCCCTGAGGGTTTTCTTTAGACCTAAGTCTCACCTTATCTCCTCCTTGTAAGACTTATCTCTCCCCCAGCCAAGGATACTGTCAACTGGATATGCTGCATATTTCAGTGCCTTGGTAGAGGGCCTCAGAAGAGGGTTCTGGGTGGCCATCCAGCTCCAGCCTGGGCACGGGATTTGGGACTGGTTGGAGCTGGTGACTTGGATGGTCCCTTGTGCTGGGCTGAAGCAGCGGCATGCAAAGTGTGACAGCTGGCAAGGGCCAGCCAGTTACTGTGGCCGCTGGCACGGGCCCCGGGGTCTGTCTCAAGGGGAGGCAGCTGCTGCGGCCTCCCACATTGAGGACATGCTTGGGGAGCAACTTGTGTCCACCATAACAACCGCTCTTTTCTTTGCCTAAAGGGGCTTGTGTGTGTGTGTTGGTGATTCCTTTCACTCTGCAGAGGTGTGTGCCTCAGATTTCCTTTTCCTTGTGTAGAAACCTAGTGTCTCCTGCGCATTCCCCTGTCCCTGCCATCTACTCTTGCTTTGGGTCAAGAAGCTTGGACCTTGGAAATGGCAGACACTGGGGACTCAAAGCCTCAGTGATGTGTGAGTGTGTTTCAGATGTAGCACCATCCTTCTCCTCTGTAAGAACAAAGATGGGGTGTACTGCTGTGAAGCCCCCTGTTGTCCTGCATGAAACCGTCCTCTTGCAGAAGGCCAGCAGAGTGTAAACAGCTGCTAAAATGTGCTGCTTAACTGGCTAGAGCTTAGACCTCTAATGGAATAATGAAGTTCACTTTTTAAAGTGCTACTTACTTCTAAGAAGGTCAATATTCTTTGGAAAGTTTAAATTACCCAGTAGGTGTTGATATTTACACTGTCTCTAGGAGAAGCGGAAGCCTTGTCCGTTGTTTGCCCTATATCAGGTGCCCCCATCCCATCCAAATATAACTCTTCCTGGAACACAAAGGTCAGGGAAGGAGCTGCAAAGCGAGTAGCCCTTAGCTTTGTTCTACATTTCTCCTTTCTGGGTAGAGGAGAGTAGTAGTAGAGAGAGAAAATTGGGGAAGAGTAAATGGATTACCCTTCGGTAGTTGTTCTTGGACAGGGAGGACTCCTTGGGGATGCTTGATCCCATCTCATCTGGGACCAGCTCACCAGAGTCTCAGTCACACTTAGAAGCAGTTCAGGTTAAATAAAGATTCCTGCTGGGAAAATGTGAAAGAAAATGAGTTTTGTTCACTTTGACAGAGAATACAAGTTAAACAAGTTGTTGTAAACTGACACAATGTTTATTGTTGCTTACAATGTTGTGTAGTTGTTGTGTACAATGCAATATAGTTGTCATAGTTGTCTTTATTTCCAATGTGGAAGGACATAGGCAGTTATACAGTGTTCTTGGTTCTGATGACAACACTCAAGATTATCGAATGTCATGGGTTGTGTTTTGCAAATATTATAAGAAGGTTTATTTTATTTTTAATAAATGGCATTGTGGCTTAATACAGCTTATTACTTAAGGTTATTTCTGAGCCTAAATTTGTCTTGTGATGCGTGTGTGTGTGTGTGTGTGTGTGTGTGTGTGTGAAGAAAAAAATAGGAAAATAAATTATCAACTGTGTATTTTGGGGGTTTCCTTTTAATTAAAAGTGTTTTTTTCTCTTTTTTTTTTTTCCTGAAACAGAATCTCACTCTGAAACCCAGGCTGGAGTGCAGTGGTGTGATCTCACTCACTGCAACCTCCGCCCCCCAGGTTCAAATGATTCTTGTGCCTCAGCCTTCCGAGTAGCTGGGATTACAGGTATGTGCCACCACACCCAGCTAATTTTTTGTATTTTTAGTAGAGACAGGGTTTCACCATGTTGGCCAGGCTGGTCTCGAACTCCTGACCTGAAGTGATCTGCCCACCTTGGCCTCCAAAGTGCTGCGATTACAGGCGTGAACCACCACTCTCAGCCTAATTAAAAATCTTGATATAGATTTTGGTGACATAGCTCAAACAGATGGGCATGCCCTCTCTCCCCACACAACACATACACTCTCAGAGTGACCTAACAGATGTGGAAATTTACATTGCTTCTGTGAGCACCAAACAATAAAATTCTACACATTGCTAATAAACATGCATTTTAATATCTCTGACTGTATATGTGAAAAGAACTATTCTTTACAAGAAGTTTCACGTAATCATTGTGAAATGCATTCTAAAAGAGAAATGCATCGTTTGTTTTATAGATGTTCAGAGAGTTTCTGCCACATCAAAACTTGAAAGCAGGTTGGTGGATGGGAGGCAGAGAAATAGAACATAACTGACAGAGGTTCTCAGAGGGAGTGTGATAAGAATAACTGTGAATGAAGATATGGGTATTAGCACATGCAACTCGGTGTCTGAAGAGTTGGTTTGGGGCAGAACAAAAATATCCTCTGAGCCTCCCTGAAGGTAGTAGCTGAAGCCAAATGTTTCCGAGGCTTACACTGATACAATAAAAAGAGACAATTTGCTTGGAAGGCTGTGGCTAATTTATAACACAATGTCCAATGTCATGGTTAGTTTTGTTGCAAAAATTTGGCAGTTTAACCCAGAGTCTCAGGCAGCCTGAAAAGATGCGAGCGGTTCTGGCCGCAGCATCTCTGGCTTGCTGGATGTTCCGAATGGTTCAAACAAGCCCTTTCATAGAGACGCAGGGCCAAGTGCGCTCAAAGGAATGAGGGAAACAAAGGTGGCTCTGAAGTCATTTCCCCGCACTGGGTCCAGCCATCCGGTTTCACTCCTTCCCCATTGAACCGGCAGAATGCAACAGGAAGAGCGGGGATGAAAGAGAACAAACAGGCCGATGTGTTTGGGGAGAGAATGGAGAGAGGCCGCGGCGCTGAGCTGCTAAACTTTTTCATTCTAGGTTTTCAGAAAGGAGTGAATGATGAATTATAGAAACCTGAAAGGTAATAAAATATGGGTCACTGAAGCGCTGAGGCCAAGTTCCTAAAACACCTGCAGAGGCAGAAGGTTCTGGAAGTCAGTGCAGCCCCACAGTTGCCCGGGCAGACACCCTGCCCGAGACACAGAAGGGGACTTGTTCACAAGCTCACCTGTTGTTTTCCCGTTGGCTCCCGGTCCTTCCCCGTCTGTAAGAGCTGACGGCTGGATCTGACTCCAGATTAGACCACCAGGGGAAGAAAGGCCGTGTGAAGACTTCCCAGGGTGCAGTTAAGGAGACCAGAGCTCCAAGGCCACCGCCTTTTTCTCTCGGAGGCGCTCTGACCTGGAAATATTAACTCAGTGGTGAGGACTATCCGAGTTGAACATGCAAATCTTCTTCCCTGCAATATTCTAAGGCTTTTCTGCTCAAAGACATGGACTGTTTATGTCTTACAAAGAAGAGTCCTGATCCCCAGATTGGGGATAACAGCAGCTATACTCATCTGAGCCTCAGTTTCCTCATCTCTAAAATGGGAGTAATAGTATTTATCTCCTAGGGTTGTTGTACAGTTGAGAAGGAAATGTAAGAGAGGGCCAGGAGCAGTGGCTCACCCCTGTAATCCTAGCACTTTGGGAGGCCAAGGTGGGTGGATTGCTTGAGGTCAGGGGTTCGAGATCAGCCTGGGCAAATGGCGAAAACCCATCTCTAGGAAAAATACAAAAATCAGCCAGGTGTGGTGGTGTGCAACTGCTTGGGAGGCTGGGGTGGGAGGATTGCTGGAGCCCGGGAAGCGGAGGATGCAGTGAGTCATGATCACACCATTACACTCCAGCCTGGGCAAGAGAGCAAGACCCTGTCTGAAAAAGAGAGAGAGAGAAAGGAAAAGAAAGAAATGTAAGTGAGATGTCCCACCCAGAGCCTGGCACATAGCAGTATCTCAGTAAAATGATTAACAGTAGCTAATGTTTATCGAGTGCTTGCAATATGCCAGGCACTACAGCTAATACAACCTCTGAGCCTGACTCCTCCCACATATTAGAGTGCAGAGTCTGTGGTTAGACCCTTGGGGCTCCAACTGAGCCCTGTCACTTACTTCATTTATGGTTTCCATTCAGACTAACACAGTGTCCCAGCTCTATTTGTGTAAGTGTGTGCCTTCTCTGCATCCAGCATATGCGGTTTCCAGCCCCTTCTGTCCCTGGGCTCGCTGAATACCCAGGATGTTCCACTCATATGACCCTGTTTCAGGGATGCTGTCCTGGACACACTAAGCCAAAATCCAGCAACAACTTGCTAAAGAAATTGTAGCTGGGCGCAGTGGCTCACGCCTGTAATCCCAGCACTTTGGGAGGCCAAGGCAGGCGGATCACCTGAGGTCAGGAGTTCAAGACCAGCCTGGCCAACATGGTGAAACCCTGTCTCTACTAAAAATACAAAATTAGCTGGGCGTGGTGGCGGGTGCCTGTAATCCTAGCTACTCAGGAGGCTGAGGCAAGAGAATCGCTTGAACCTGGGAGGTGGAGGTTGCAGTGAGCCGAGATCACACCATTGCACTCCAGCTTGGGCAACAAGAGTGAAACTCCTTCAAAAAAAAAAAAAGTAAGAAAGAGAGAGAAAGAAAGGAAGGAAGGAAGGAAGGAAGGAAAGAAAAGAAAAGAAAAGTTGCAGAGATGGGAGCTCAGTGTGATGCTAGACACCCTTGGAGAGAGAAAGCTGTCATGCCAGCTTTGATGTTGGGCTACGCGGGTTGGAATCCTGGCTGCCTCATTTATTAACCATGTGACTTGGGAAAGATGCTTACCTGTCAGTACCTCAGTTTCCTCTATCTGCAAAACAAGAATAAAAATCGAATTAATCTCCTAGGAGGGTGGTGATTGAGTGAGGTGATATCTGTAAAGCACTGAGAACAAAGTGAGAACAGCGTTAGCTGTCATTATCATTTTACCAAGCCTTGTTATGAGTTGATTGTGTCCCCAAAATTCATGTTGAAGTCTTAACCCCCAGTCCCTCAGACTGTGACCTTACTTGGAGATAGGGTCATTGCGGAGGTGATTAGTTAAGATGAGCTCACTAGGGTAGGTTTCTTTTATATATATATATAATTTTTTTTTAAATTATTATTATACTTTAAGTTCTAGGGTACGTGTGCACAACGTGCAGGTTTGTTACATATGTATACATGTGCCATGTTGGTGTGCTGCACCCATTAACTCGTCATTTACATTAGGTATTTCTCCTAATGCTATCCCTCCCCCCTCCCCCCACCCCACAACAGGCCCCGGTGTGTGATGTTCCCTCTCCTCTGTCCAAGTGTTCTCATTGTTCAATTCCCACCTATGAGTGAGAACATGTGGTGTTTGGTTTTTTGTCCTTGCGATAGTTTCCTGAGAATGATGGTTTCCAGCTTCATCCATGTTTCTAATGCAACATGACTGGTGTGCTTATAAAAGGGAGAATTTGAACACAGACACTCACACAGGGAGAAGTCCATGTGAAGATGAAGGCAGAGATTGAGGTGACACTGAGATCAGGGTGACCCTGCAAGACAAGGAAGCTCAAAGATTGCCAGCAACCCCCAGACGCTGAGGAGGGCCTGGAGCAGATCGTCCCTCACAGCCTCCGAGGAACCCGCCCTGCCGACGCCTTGATCTTGGACTCCTGGCCTCCAGAAGTGGGAGACAGGACATCTCTGTTGTTTAAGCCACCCAGTCTGTGGTACTTTGTTGATGTCAGCCCTGGCAAATAGATACAGCCTCTGAGCCTCACTCCTCCTATGTGTTAGAGCACAGGTCTGCGGTGAGCCCTCCAGGGCTCAAACTTAGCCCTGCCACTTCCAAGTTTATCAACTCAGGCGAGTGACTCAACCTCCGTGTGCCTGAGTTAATTCACCTGTAAACGAAGCTCATAATGACACCCAACTCACAAGAGATTTTTAAAGCAAGGATCCGATGCATATCTGGCTAACCATCATGTTCACTGTTCTGTGTAGCTTGTTTTGGTGATTTCTGGGGACCTTGAGTCTGAAGGCAGAACTCTGTTCTAGGTCAGATTACCTGGGGGTCTTGTTCAAGTGCAGATTCTCATTCAGTGGGTTTGAGTGGGGGCTGAGATTCTGTTTTTCTTTTTTCTCTGTTAGAGATGGGGTCTTGCTGTGTTGCCCAGGTGGGAGTGCTGTGACTATTCATAGATGTGTTCATAGCTCACTGCAGCCTCAAACTCCTAGGCCCAGGTGATCCTCCTGCCTCAGCCTCCTGAATAGCTGGGACCATAGGTGCACAACAGGACACCTGGGGTATTTTCAATAAGCTCCCAGATGAAGCTGATGCCGGTCAGAGGACCACACTTTAAGTAGTGAGTAGCGAGGGTCAAGACGACCTCGGCAGGTTCCGTCAGGGATCATGAGACTGAATTTGAATTTTACAAGAAACCTTCCTTCCATATCCATGTCACTTAGGCACATGAATATTTGATGGAGTGCCCAACCATGCTTAAAGAAAAAGCAAAGTCGGCTTTGGAGAAAACAATGAGGAAACAACCACGGGCAGACATCCTACCTCTCGGGAGGGCTGCTCATTGGCGACAGGGACAGATTCGGAGAAGCCTGAGACCTCGGATTGGTCCTGCCCCTGGGAGAGGGGGTGGATGGATGACACATGGTGGGTGCGTGATTACCTGGAATGGGGCAGGGTGAAGAAGCCATGTGCCTGGAACATAGGCCAAGCCCATTCTTCTGTCTGACCTTGGCTCCAACTGTTCCTTCTGCCTGAAGCCTCCATCCAGGTCTTCTCAATGTTGAGGTCTTAGTGAAAATGTGAGCCCCCAGAGACCTTCTCAGACCACCCAACCCAATGGCCACCCTCCAGTCAGTTACTCTGTGGCCACTCCTCCCTGCTTGATTTTCCTCTTGGCACTCAGCAGCAGCTAAAGCCACCTCGGCACCTACTTGCCTACTTGTTTGTATGTGACTGTTCCTCCTGCTCTAGAGGCTTCCATGAAAGCCCTGCTCTCAGCTGGATCCCCAGTGCTTGGACAGGGCTGGTCCCTGAGTAGCTGCTTAATAAAGACTTGGATGAATGAGTGAAGAGGATGAATCTAGACTGACTGATCAAAGTCCTCTGACCCATTCAGGGGTCTTTGGTCAGTCATCTACTATGGTGCAGAGCCCTGTTCTAGGCCCTTGGAGAAAGTGTGGATTCCCTGCCTTCTAATCATTTGTAATCTGTTTGGGGATATGAAGGATGCCTACGTGAACGTCTGCCTAGCAATATCAGGTTACCAAGAAAGGCCAACAGTGGTATGGACGAGGGGTGAAGCCTGTGTGTTAGAGCTAGGGGAGGTCATCGGAGCTGCTGTAGACCTGAGCACACATATGCACTAGTAGATCTTATTAAAATGCAAAGTCTGGAGTCTGGTTCAGTGGGTCGGGGTGGAGCCCAAGGTTCTTCATTTTGATAAGGTGCCCAGGTGGTACTGATGCTTTGGTCTGAGGACCACAGTTTGGAGGACAGCAAGGCTTTACTTTTGAGGGTTGGGTGACGGAGAGTTTGCTGGCAGCTGAAGTGTCTTAGAGGGGGTTTGATAAGCACAAGGAATGGGTGGGTTGGGGGGTCAAGAAAGGGACAGGCAGAGAGGCGGAGTAATGAGACCATTATGTATGGAATAGAGAACGGGAACAGGATGGAAGGACAAGTGAGGAGGATGGGGGAAAGGAAGGGGTAAAATAGGGAAAATTCCCCAGCCACAGCCACTGTGATCTGCACCCTCCCTGCAGTCTTCTGTTTTTAATAGCAGTTTCTAGAAGGATTGAGACACTGGTGCATTGCCTTCCTCTGGTCTGTCAATCAGTCAGAATGTGTTTTCAGAAATGTTGCAACCTGAGATTGCCCAACAGGAGTTGGGCAGGGGCAGAGCTAGCTCAGCAAAAGAGGCTGCTTTGAAGTCCAGGTTTGTGGGTGCATGCTCTGCAGCAGAGGTCTGTGGTCACCTCTAACCAGCTGTGATAGAGATGTTCCCTGCAGAGGAATAGCCCCACACTTATTTTTTGTAAACCACCTTCACATCTGTTATCTCATTTTAGCCTTACAGAACTCCTATGGGGCTGGGCAGACAACTGTTCGTTTTGCAGATGAGGAAGCTGAGGCCAGCCCAGTAACACTTGATGCAGAGCCCTGGCTAAACAGACAGGAAAGAATTGTTCTCTGAGTCTCTCATACTGTGCCTCTTGCCTCAGTGCTCGTACATGTTAACATGTGTGCAGGATTGGACACCCGCAGTTCTTTGATCAGAAAAGCCTTCCCAGGAAGTTTGCAGAATGATGATCTCTTGATCACCAGAATTTTCTTGCCAGGTTGGGATGCGGTCCAGCCTCATGGTGCTAGAATATTCTAGAATCTCCCCAGGGTGGGCTTGGCCTTCCGTCAACTCCCCGCTGATGGGAGGGAAAGCGGTGCAGCTGTGGCAACTGGCACTGCTTCCCACATTGCATGGAGACTAAGGTCAGAGTCAATTTCATGCTCCTTCCTCCCCTATTATGACCTTCATTATCCTGGCGCATGGCAGCTGCTTGTCTCCAAATGAGGAGACAGGAAGTATTATATCACTATTAATAACATTTAAGAAGAGCAATAACACCATTATTAACTCCTGTGATTCTTCCCAATTTGAGTGGTGGATGCTTTTAAGTTCTGTAGAGTGTTTAGGGCAAGTTTTCTTTGCTTTACCAGATCAGGGACTCGCCTGCATTGTTGGACTCTTGCCAACAGAGCAGAATTCATGTGCCCTTTATCAAAGGGAAGAACTGAGGTGGCTGTCACTCTTCAGGTCTAAAATTCTGCGCTGCTGAGAGTATCAGAAGTCAGTATTAGCCTGGATCAAAACCGCGTCTCTGCCAAGGACAGGAGATTCCTGGTGCCTCCTGCCCTGGGCTGGGTTCCAGCTGGCTGGGTCACCCATCACTGGCTGCTTCTTGGTTTCATCTGTTTCAGGCCCTGCCTGCTCTGAGCTGGTGGAACCCAATGGGGCACAGGGGGATTGCTGCTGCTGGAGAGGCTCGCTGGGATGCTCTCGGGATACAACTTTTTTCTGTCACTCCCCAGCCCCGCCTTTATGCCGCCTCTCAGCCCATCTGCAGTAGTGTAGGTTCAGGATCCCTTCATGGGCCTCTGGAGGTTTGCACTGTAAACAATACACTCAACAGACAACTCCAACTCCCCATTCACGTCTTTCTCCAGCATCCACTACCCATGTTAAGTTTTGCTCTCTTTCCACCCTTTTACCTTTCCAATCTCTCTGGCTCCTCCCTGCATTATTACACATATTAATTCAGCACAATCCTGGCCCCAGCCCCCAGCTCCATCCCCCTGCCCACCCGCTAACAGAACTCACCCTCTTCCGAAGATGCATTTTTAACTTACCATACTTTTGCAACTCATCATTCTTTTCCAGTCAAAAGCACTGCTTTTTCTAAGAGGACTTCTGGTGAATGACTTCTCTATGTCTTATTAATCGTAGATGCCGACTGCAGCCCAGAGAAAGGGAGGCATCGTGAGCTGGCGACAGCCCATATTGTGCCCACTCTGCAGGCTCTTTGGATGTTCACACCCAGCCTCCTTCCCTGGCCTCCCCCAGCACTGTACTGCAGATGGGTTCTCCACCCTGGCCAAGAACTCCTGGGCAGGCCTCTGAGCCCACCCATTTCCCACACTGCTCCCTGTTCTTACCCTCCCTGCTCTCTTGTTCTGGAAGCCATATGGATGTTGCAAATATCCCTGATGCTGAGGCCACACCGTGGCTGCATGTCTGTGGGAGACTGTGTGCTGAGTGGGGAATGCACTGATCATCCTGATTACAGACTGACAGTGGATGCCTGGTGCCTCCTGTTCTCTGTGGTCATGGTTGGAATTAGAGCTGCCCCTGGATGCTCCGACTCAGCCACCTGCCCTGGGCCTGGACTGCAGAGGCTCCACTCGGGCCCCGACTGGCTGTGCCCCTTTCCATGGGTGAGGAGTACTCAGGGCCATGGGGACCAGTCCACCCAGAGCTTGCCCCCATCCTGTGCACGTGCACGAGGCCCGCAGCACAAGACGGAGCTGGGGATGCGGAGAGGAGAGGGACGGGATACAGGCCATGGGGCCTTATTTCTCTTCTTTCTCCTAGGTCTCACAATATTCGGAGTAGCCTCATTTGACCCTTCAGTTTTTACTTTCTTCTGGATAAATGACCAGTGTCCAAGCTTCCGCTAATATGCATAGGAGGAGACCACCCTGGCTTCAACTCCAAACAAAATGTAAACCAGGCAGGTTGTCTGTTCTCTCTTGAAAGCCTTTGTAGCTTTCTAACATACTGAGGATTAAATCCAAGGGCCCAAAAGATTCTACCCAACCTGACCCCTGAGCTTTTGGGTTTTTGGAAGCAGTGGCCATATTAGAAGTTGGACGGTCTTGCTTGGGGCTACACTGAGAGAGAGAGAGAGAGAGAGGCCCTGAGACTGCACAGGGGTGGAGTGGGGGGAGGGTCTGTCTGCCTCTCAGACTCCCTGTCCTGCCCCTTCTCCATCCCCGCTCCCAGCCCCAGCCCTGCAGTTACCTTGCTCCAACTGCACAGGCCCCATGGACCTTTCTGCAATACCCCAGCCTCGTTCCTGCCTCTGTACCATTGCTCTTGCAGTTTTCTGTCCTTGGAGCACCTGTCCTGTGGAGCCTCAGGGTATACACACTTCTCCAGGTTTCTCCTCCAAAGTCATCTTATCTGAGCTGCCTTCCCTGCCCCAATATCCATGTAGTAACCATCCTTTTCCCTATAAGCTTTGCTTTTTTTCCAGCCTAAAATTATATTGTAAATATTTTTGTCCCCAGGGCCTAGGACTCTGCCTGGGACATATAAAGTCCAGGATAAGTACTTGTTGAATGAATGAAAATCCAGCCATGGATTTTGTTTGGCTGCATAAAGAGAAAATCTCTGCCACACATCTTTATTTTTTATTTTCCATAGAGATGAGGGTCTCACTATGTTGCCCAGGCTAGTCTCAAACTCCTGGCCTCAAGCAATCCTCCGGCCCCGGCCTCGGCCTCCCAAAGTGCTAGGATTATAGGCATGAGCCTCCATGCTTGGCCAACCACACATCTTTTATAGAGGCATCTTGACCTTGGGGAAACAAAACGTCCACAGCGGACATAACAGACTCCAATACCCCACCCCACACTTCCTGTTTATCTTTTCCCATTTGAGGGGAATCCTGTCCACCACTGTCCTTTTGGGGTTACTGCACAGCCTCAGACAGACAGTGTTCATGTGCAGCCAGCCTCCATTTATCACCAGATGCAAATCCCGAGGGAGCTCAACTCCAGCCTGCTGCACAAAGGCTGTCAGATCCTCCGTTCTCCTCTGCTAGATGTGCACAAATGCCCACTAAGAGTCCGTGGAGACCAGGCACCCTCTGCTTTCTCATGTTGGACTTCCCCCTGAGGCTGTTATCAGCCTTGAGCAATTGCTTACATACTGCAAACTGCTTTTGTTCACATTTGCGCAGGGAGAATTTTCCATCCTTGGCTAGATGGTGCCATCCATGTTCATCCATTGCCAGTACTCTCATGTGGCTGAGAATTAAGTCCCCGGGGGGAATGGCAGACCCAGCCTCTCCTGTGCTGTCCTGAGGGGAGCACCACTCAAAGATGGAGACTGATCTGTTCAGCCCTTGCAGGGGCAGAAGGTGGAAAGGGTGAGCTCCTAAGGTAGCTGGCTTCCAAAGATAGCCCCCACTGCAACACACCTCCAGTACCCAAGTCTATGTGTAATTCCCTTCCAAATTAAATCTGGGCTGGCCGCGTGACACACTTTAGTCAACAGGATGCAATAGAAGTGAAGTTATACCTGTTCTGGGCCTAAACCTTAAGGAAGTCTGGCAGCCTTCACTTTTGTGTTTTTGGAAGCCAGCTGCCATTTTAGAAGCTCAGCCAGAGGGGCCACATGGAGAGAGGGAGAGATGTCCTGAGTCTACATGGAAAGAGAGGAAAGGGACCCAAGACCTCAGACCTTAACCCAAGGCCTTGTGAGCCCCCCACCGAGCAGATCCAGCCAACCCCCTCCATTTAAGCCATCCGTGCCAATTATTTAGTGGTGACCCTGACTGATCCTAGCTGAGGCACCAGACACGGGAGGGAAGAAGCCGTCATGGACATCCCAGCCCCGCTCATGGAGCAGAGGGGAGCCATCCCCATGATACCCTCTCCAGACTTCCCACCCTCAGGGTCTTGAGAAATCATGAACTGGTGGTTGTAAGTCACTAAGTTTGGAGATAGTTTGCTCTGCTACAATATAGAATTGAAACAGCCCCCAGCCCTTGTGTGTGCATAACTCTTGCCTGCATTTCCTAACTGTAAAAATGTTTCCATGGGTCTGACTCCCCCTGCCAACCACATACAACAAGAAGAGCTGTCTGCCCCTTTGGGCATGGGAAGTGCGTCTGACTAGGTGTTTCTGTATTGGACATAGGCATATCACATGGAGGTAAACTGCTGAGGAAGCCCCTTGTATTTTTTTATTTTTTACAGACATTTGCATTTAAGCTCTATGGATATTTGAGACATCCAAGGAAATAAAAAGTTCAAAACATTGTAACTGGGGAGGTGGGAGATGGAAGACCTTCAGGTGACTCTGAAATAACCTCACGCGGGGGCATGCCCAGCTTCCATTCTTGTGTCTAAGAGATTTGTAGAGTTATTTTGCATTCACATTAGTGAGATTGATGGTGGCCAGTTGTCACCTTCATTAATAGTAAAGACAAAATGGCTCTATAAATCTCTTAGACATTTGGAATATGCCTGAAAACAATATGTGGCAGTTTTTCAAGCATCCCTATTTTGGGCCCCAAGGCACACATGAGAATGTGGAACAGTGTGGAACAGTCTGGAATAATCTAGAACAGTCTGGAACAGTGAAAGGGATGAGCCTAGTCCAGTGGCAGAAGCCCTGATCCTGGTCTTGGCTCTGCCATGTGACTCTGGGAATCTCTTGACCACATGACCCATGGAACAATATTAGAGTGATAATAACCTGACCTGCTGACCTCATAGACACCAAAGATTATGGAAAACTTTGGTAGAAGCATTCAAAGGGAGCTGCCTCCTTAGAAGGGATTCATGTTCACCTCACAAATGGACCACTGAGTCCTCATCAGACATTGGGGTTTGTCTTCCAGGCTAATTATTTAATTTGGGAGAACCTTTCCAGTTGATACTTATATTGACATTCCATCTATTTTCCTCTGTCCTACCACAGTGGCTATCCACAACTGATGGGGATAAAAAGCTCATTGGAGTGCCCCTAGGCAGCATTCTTAAATTGTTCCTGTTGATCAGTTCTGCCAGCTTATGGTCTGTAGGAGTGGAATGAAGTGATATCTGGGAAAACTAACCATTCATCTACCTCACTTGACAGCTGCTTCCTGATTATTTATTCTCTGAAATAGCTTTGGATAAGAGGAAAATAAAGCTTTGCTTTGTTTTAATTTGTGTAAAACAACTTCCCATTTCTGGGTCCACCATGTGACCAATGCATTTCTGCCTAAGGAGGATAACTAATAAAAATGACCTATTTTAAGGTCAGTTATGTTATTGCTATCAAGAAATGTATATGCATTATTGATGTCCATTCTCATGACAACTGGGAGAGGTAGGAATTTTACAAAAAAGCTGAGGTTAAATGGTGGATGCCAGTCACACTGCTGGTAGATGGTGGTGCTGGTGTTCAAACCCAGATCTGCCAGACTTCAAGAGCCCATTAACTTGCAATTATAAAGAGTATCAATTATCAACTGACCAGGTGGACCTCTTTCTTTGGTGCCTTAATTCTAGATCTGTCCAGTTAGTGGAAGCATTGCGCTGATGCAGGTTGACAGTGTGCCTTTCTATAGTGGTCCAGATGGGGGATTCTTGGATTCCCTATAAAGAGGAGAGAAAAGCCAGTCAAGGGTGCCTGGGAGCTCTCCAGTCTCAGAGGAGTTAAACTGAGGGGTTCCCTCACTAGCTGGCATCAAGACTTCCTACTGCTCTGTGGACCCATCAGAGGAGCTGAATGCTGCCTGGATTCTAGACCCCGTTCTATCACCAACTAGCGTGGTGACCTCAGGCCATTTCCCCTTTGGGCCCATTGCACAGAGGGGTTCAACTCTTCTCTTAGGTCTTTTCAAGTTCTGGCTTTCTTTGAAATAGAATTGGACCATTTTTAAAGACTCAAATTCCACCAGAGTAGCCCCTATGTAACAGTAGAAGACAAAGACAGAGAGGGCCTCTCTGTATTTGAAAGTGGTTTATTTTGCAATGATCTTAGAGGATGGGGTTGATATTTGGCCAGGGGACCTAATATATCTCCAGTCTGGGTGGGGAGTTAGAGCAAGTGGTGCTTTTGTATTAGGTCCCTTAAGAAATGGAAGAAAGATTCCTTTCCCAACATACCTTGGGAATAAGATATGTTGGAATTCTACCACCCAGTACCTCAGAAAGTGACTGTATTTGGAAGTAGAGGTAATCAATTAAAGAGGTAATCAAGTTAAAATGATTTCTTTAGTGTGGGCCCTAATCCATTGTGACTCATGTCTTTCGGCAAAGGGGAAATTTGGACACAGAGACAGATACGTATGGAAGGGAGATAACATGAAGACCCATGGAGAAGACAGCCCTCTAGAAGCCAAGGAGAGGGGCCTGGAACAGATCCTTCCCTCACGGAAGGAACCAACACAATTGACAGCTGGATTTTATACTTCTGGCTTCCAGAACTGTGAGCCAATAAATGGCTGTTGCTTAAACGACCCAGTTTGCTATACTTTGTTATGGCAGCATGAGCTAACGAATACACATTTCCCCAGAGGAGAAAAAAGTCAGGGAGAATTCCTGATCAAAACGGGTTTTCAGCCGAAAAAAGTTGGACTCGGTTCTGAGAAGAGGGTGGAGACAGACTTCTAAGGTGGGGTGTGCAAGAGAATATTGGGGACCCAGGGACATTCTGGTATTCATCCCCTGTTTTCATAGTTTGCCTTTTCCAAAGAGAAGGTGAGGACATGGGCCAAGACTTTTCCCCATTTGGACGCTCCCCTCCACTCCTATTCATTTGAAGGTATATTTAAAAATTGGAACTATAAGAATTTAAGTAGCTTTTAAAATTAGCCAAGCCTATTTTAGCTTCTAGTTGCCTTCCCTTTGACTGTGGGGTGGCCTTCCCTTCTGGACCCACCTAAAACGTGATCTGCTTTTCCACTCTTGCAATTTACAACTCCTCAAATCCATTGTTCTTTGTGTTGGAAAATACAAAGTGCGCCTGGCCCAGCAGACCCAGATCCGCTCGGATCCCGAGGAGTGGAAAAGCCTTTTCTGGCCTGGCAGTTGCAGGTGACAGTCCTAACCAGTCCGGGAGCAGATGAGAAGTTCATAGGCTATTAATAAACTGGAACCAATCGGTGAATGCGGGCTGATTGTGCCGGGGCCGGCTGGGGCCACAGGTCCTTGGGAGAGCTCGCACTTGCGTTGCCTTTATCTGCATAGAGCAGGATCATGAAAGCGCCGGCCGCTGTCAGTGTTTGTCAGAGTGAATGGACATATGTCCCTCACACTAGCACGGGGAATATCTAATTAAGCTACACAATGATTGCTTATGCCCGGGGCTGTTACAAACAAGGCTCTGTCACTCTCCTTGGAGAACCACAAAATGGGAATTCTCTTTTAGTGCATGATAATGAATATATTTGAAATATATTAGAATTGATTTAGATCTCACATTCTTAGCCCTTAAAAAAAAAAGCACACAAATGCTGTTTTCACAAAAATATTTTGTCCTTTTAAGTCCCACAGTGGGAGTGGGGTTGGGGGTGGGGGTGAGGGAAGGCTATCGGTAAATATCAGTGGGTTGATTATGGTGTTTGGTAGAACTTGCTTTCCTGTTGTTCTTAATGAATGAGTTAGGATTTTTGTGCCAGAAATTTATTTCATACATTAGCAGAGATGTTAATGTATACGACGTGGGGAGCCTACATGTTTAAGAGTTTTAAGGAGTGAAGATGTTTTTCTTGTGTTGGACTTCCCTTTCCTTCCTTAGGCCTAGGTAGGACTCATAGGGAAATTTATTTAGGTTGGTGCAAAAGTAATTGCGGTTTAGGCTGGGCATGGTGGCTCATGCCTGTAATCCCAGCACTTTGGGAGGCTGAGGCGGGCGGATCACTTGAGGTCAGGAGTTTGAGACCAGCCTGGCCAACATGGTGAAACCCCGTCTCTACTAAAAGTACAAAAACTAGCCAAGCGTGGTGATGGGCACCTGTAATCCCAGCTACTTGGGAGGCTGAGGCAGGAGAATCATTTGAGCCCGGGAGGCAGAGGTTGCAGTGAGCCAAGATCGCGCCACTGCACTCCAGCCCAGGCGACAGAGTGAGACTCTGTCTCAAAACAAAACAAAACAAAACACAACAAAACAAAACAAAAGTAATTGTGGTTTAATGGCAAAAACCACAATTACTTTTGCACCAACAAAAATAGTTTTCTTTAAAACTGAATCATTTTAGCACATTGGACTGAAGTACTGAATCCCGTTTAAGACTCATGTTGCTACTTTAAGATGAACAGCAATTTTTAACAGGAAAAAATATGATCTTGGGTTAGGACTTAAGAAGTGAGTTTTTTCTGCCTTCCACAGTTATGACCAGGAAAAAACTACGGCTCCAGCCATGGAAGTGGGGACAGTGTGAAGAGAGCCCTGGCTGGGATATGGAAAACTGTGGGAACCACCTCAAGGAGTCTTTCATTACCAAGAGCAAAACCAGCTACATGATTTTTGAGCCTTAGTATGAAATGTAAATATGGGGCCCCCTTATTTAAAAGTCAGGAAGGGCTGACAGCAGAGCATTGACCACGTTCAAGGCTCTTCCAAGCACGGGGTTCTACGCCACTGTCCCAATGGGTCATGCACACCTGAAGCTGGCCCTGCCCAGAGCCATTGTTCTGTACTCCATAAGGAGAAGGAAGGAGGTGGCAAAGGACAATTTCAAGTCCTAATTTCTATACAGTCCATGGTCCCAGAGTAGGTACTCAGATGAGATAGAATGAATTGAAAAATGAACTTCATATTGAACCTGTTCATCGTCATCAGGTGAATTTCAAGAATGAAGGAACCCCACTGACATTGGCAGCTGTGTTTTAGAGACCGTTTTTTTTTGTACTTTTCTCACTTAAAGTGTAGGACTGCCTCCTCTTCACCACCACCTCCCATCCCAAACTCTGCCAGAGTCCATCAGTGCAGAGAACGAGGTCCTTTTAAGAGCTAGGCATCTGGTAGGCCAGGCGGAATTCTGAGAAGAAAATAAAACTTCTGCCATCTTCACAAGTTAAGAAATAAAAAGCCTCAATTAGCATTCACGCAAATGTTGGGATCCCTGGCTGTGATTGGCTTTTGCCTACGGAGCAGGTAGGGTCTAGGGCACATCTGTCTCTTATTGGCTCCATCCCTAGGACGTATGCACAGATGAGGCAGCCTCAAATGTCCTGGCCCCTCTGCGTGGGACCCCTGGCCCACCCCTCACCCCGTCGGCTCTTTCGTGCTGGGCCTGCTACTGGGAAATGGGTCTTTCCTGGCACTGCCCATAAGCCAGTGTGCATGAGAAAATGAGCTTGTTTTCTTTAGGGGAGGGCTGTTGGAAAGACTTGTCAGGTTTTTGAAAAATTGTGGTAAAACACAAATACCTGAAATCTATGATCATAACCTTTTTTTTTTTTTTTTTTTTTTGAGGCGGAGTCTCACTCTGTCGCCCAGGCTGGAGTGCAGTGGTGCAATCTCTGCTCACTGCAACCTCCGCCTCTTGGGTTCAAGCAATTCTCCTGCCTCAGCCTCCCAAGTAGCTGGGATTACAGGCGCCCGCCACCACACCCAGCTAATTTTTTGTACTTTTAGTACAGACAGAGTTTCACCGTGTTAGTCAGGATGGTCTCGAGCTCCTGACCTTGTGATCTGCCTGCCTCGGCCTCCCAAAGTGCTGGGATTACAGGCGTGAGCCACCGCGCCTGGCTGATCACAACCATTTTTAATTACAGCGACTGTTCAGGAGTGTCAACTATATTCATGTCATTGTACAGCATGTCTCTAGAACATTTTCATACCTGTTGGGTTTTTCAGACCCATCACCATGACCCCATAGGCCTTGGATTGCAGATATCCTATGGAAAGGAAGGACCCTTCAACATGGGAGGCACTTAATACTTGTGCATTACGTGAATAGAATGAAATGAAGCTCTGTGCCTAAAGCCTCACATATGACCAGCCCAATTCCCTGGAACCAGACAGAGTTGTGAGATGTTTTTTCTTGTCTCTTCATAACTGTTTATTTACAAAAGGAAGAAAAAGACTTTGCAGTCACTTGGATTCTTCGATCCACTTCTTGAGGCAGCTCTGATTTTGATTCCTAAATCGTTTCCTCAGTCTGTCGTGTTGGATCTGAATACATAAGGAGCCATAGCAACCTCCCAGCCATCTCAGGGCTTCATACAGTGCTTGGTATCCAATAGGTGCTTCATATTTGATGAATGAATGAGTAACTGACAGGTTTTCAGTGTTAGAGGGAAGCAAGGATACATGAAATAAATGTGTGATCTCTAAACCCCACTTAAGCCAGTGGCCTCAGCCCCTTGCCAGAGACCCTTGTCCTAGCAAAGCTGAAGGGATGTCAGGGCAAAGGGCATCAGTGCAGGGGACAGAGGGTGTGCACAGGACCAGGTGGTCAGAGAGCCCTGTCCTGGGAGGAATCATCTTTGAAACAAAAGGTATAAAAATATCTTTGGAAACAGAAAAGATGGGGATGCTCTGGGGGGGACCGAGATGGTGGGTGGGGCAGCTTGTTAAAAAGCAACTGGGAGTTGGTCTTAATGATGCCTGCTTGGGTGCAGTCAGATAACAGAGGCACTGCAAAGTCTTGCAGGAGGACATACAAGTGGGATTTCAGGAAATGATGAGAGGAGCAGGGAGAGGAATTCAAGGATTTAGGAACACAATCCTGTTTTTCTGTTTTGGCTGAAACAGAGCAGAATTTCCATGTTCCCACACATCCTTTCAAAAATGGGAAAATAACCTTGATGCGTCTGCAAGGAATGCCTGTGACGACAGACCGGCCCCTGGCAAGCCTTGAGGGAATGAAATTTGGGTTAAGGGGTTAAGACGGCAGCCCTTTAGAGACAGCGCTTCTGCAGCTGGGGCAGGTTCTCAGGCTGAGTCCAAAGGACCTGCAGGAAAAGGCAAAACTGTATCAGCAGAGTTTTCTTTTTTTTTCCATCCCCTGCTTCACTAAGGACAAATGTTGCAATTCCGGGGTGGTGGAAGAAGCTGCTGCTTTTTCTTCCAGATGAGTGGATTATTAACAATGGAGCAGAGAAGCTGCCATGCACCATTACAACCTTCCGAACCCAGTCGAGGAGACAGAGTCCAGCCAAAGAGAGGTGTAGGGTGACCCTGCTTGCCTCTGCAGGTGGGGTTTCAGAGCACACCCTTCATGGAGAAGTATTGGAGAAATGGTTGGAAAGTCACATCCTAAATGAATTCACAATATATGCCCCATGAGCCAATCACATCCTTTCCCTGGACCTCGATTTCTTCATCTTTGAGATAGGGGTCATTAGATCAGAATCACCTGGTAATTACGAACATACAAATTCGTGGCACTAACCCTTGAAGATGCTGACTCTAGGTTTGGGGTCAGGCCCTGCCATGGATGTGCCAGGGTTTGTGGGCTATGACGATGGAGCACAGGTCTCACCCCATACCATGAGTTGACTTTGCTCTTTCCATCATCAGGATTCTAGAACTCTCTGAGCAGAATCAACCCAAGGGTGGTCTAACTGTTAGCATCCCTCAATTCCCTGCTTCAATCTGATTCATCTATCAGGACCAGTTGAAATCTCCCTCCTTCCTGAAGCCTTCCCTGGCTTCTGGGCCCCTCGTGTGTTCTTTCTCTTCCCCTCTTCTAAATCATCCAGGACACATCTGTTGTCTCCTATGTGTAGAACAACATTATTTGGTGTTATCAGCTACCCTGTTGACTCTTTAGCTGGTCTTTCCAGAGAGAAGGGCACGAACCTCATTGGGAGATCCCTGTCTCCCTCCCGCCCTGACGCTATGGTGACTGACTTAAATTGGACTGCTCTCAGATGGTGCTTGCCAGGTCAGTGAGTCACTGCAGCATGGCTAATCACTACTCCACTTATTGTCAGGTCAGCTAAGTTAGCATCTGCTCTTCGATCCTTTCCAATGGAGCACGATATAGTTTATTAATTTCAGTCACCTTCATGCAAATCTCCCATGCATTTATTTCTTGTGATTTCATTAGCATGAAGGTTATGGTTTGGGTTTGTTCCATGACATGTTAGATTGCTCAAATTCTATGTACTTCTAAAAACTTCGTGCCTCGATTTGAAGAAGATTGGATGCCATCCACTCTCCTGGTAAGAGTCATGCTTTTCTTACCTGCTGTTTATATTATACTCTCTTGTCACAAAAATAAAAGAAGAAATTAACACTTTATTTATTTATTTATTTATTTTGAGACGGAGTCTTGCTCTGTCCCCCAGGCTGGAGTGCAGTGGCGCGATCTCGGCTCACTGCAAGCTCCGCCTCCCGGGTTCACGCCATTCTCCTGCCTCAGCCTCTTGAGTAGCTGGAACTACAGGTGCCCGCCACCACGCCCGGCTAATTTTTTTGTATTTTTAGTAGAGACGGGGTTTCACCGTGTTAGCCAGGATGGTCTTGATCTCCTGACCTCGTGATCCGCCCGCCTCAGCCTCCCAAAGTGCAGAGATTACAGGCTTGAGCCACCACACCCGGCCAAAATTAACACTTTAAAAGAGGAACGTGCATATGGAGAACGGTGGAGATAGAGTTGGGGGGCAGGGAAGGAGGCGAGGGGTAGGGGGATGATGTCACATGCCAGATGGAGAGAGCCTGCTTCCTACCATATCACCTTTCCTTGTTTTCCAGTCTCCTGATCCTGCCCCTCTTCTCTGGCATTGTTTTATAGTCCTTGTAAAAAAAAAATCGTAGCAAATCCCAGTTACCTCTTGGACATGGTGTGGGCAGGAGAATGCATGAGAAGTTTTGGAGAGAGAACTGTGTTGTATGTTATCTTACATGTGTCCCAATCTGGGGCCTAACCCTTGTTTTCTAACAATGGCACTGGATTTCTAAGCGATTCCCCAAGGCACATTGGCAGTGCCTTTAAGTACAGGTTTCTTGCCTGTTGACACTGATGAGGTGGATTCTGAATGCTTACACTGCAGATTTAGAATCAAGTGAGCTCTTTGTAATTACAGAAATGAGGCTTGTTCAGGTTGTGGGCAGGTCTGAAACAGACATGTCTCTTCTATATGCACATACGTGTCTGGCATACACTCCTGTCTCTTCTCTCTCTCTCATTTTTCCCTTGTAAAGTCTTAACCACTCAGCAGCCTAAGTCATACCTGCAGTTAGTCTCCTACTAAGAGGACTTACTAGGCAGATTCTCTTTTCTCTTGCCACTTTGTAAAATGGACCCTTTGCTTCCCTAAGCAGTTCTCTGTGACACTTGTCTTTCTCGTTCCATCCCTTTTCAGGGGAATCGTTATCTGTTGTGTTTTAATTGTACATCCCTTAGGGGGTTCCAGCCCTGTTCCACTCTCAGCAATTTTAATACTTCCTCCCAGTGTGCCATGCTCACCTGATTTCCCCCTTAATCCCATAAATCTCCTTCTACCAAACCTTAATACAGTGGTGATTAGCTTTCTCTGTGTCCATTTTGCACAACAGTGGAATTTTTGTATAACATCTTCCATAGGAGCAGCATCTGTAATTGCTTTGATCTAGAAGGGGTTGTGAGGAACAAGTCTAGTCAACACTATTAAAAATAAACCCCAACTAAATGCAATGTGCTGTCCTGTATTGGATACCCTGTATTCTTCTGCGGAACAAAGGACACTCATGGAAAAACTGGTGAACTCTGAACCAAATCTGTGGTTTAGTTAATGTCATTGTAACCATGTTAATTTCTTTCTTTCTTTCTTTCTTTCTTTCTTTCTTTCTTTCTTTCTTTCTTCCTTCCTTCCGTCCTTCCTTTCTCTCTCTCTCTTTCTTTCTTTTTCTTTTTACAGGGTCTTATTCTGTTGCCCAGGCTGGTGTGCAGTGGCGTGATCACAGCTCACTGCAGGCTCAGCCTCCTGGGTTCAACTGATCCTCCCCACCTCAGCCTCCCGAACAGCTAGGATGACAGGTGTGCACCACCACACCTGGCTAATAGATGGGGTTTTGCCATATTGCCAGGCTGGTCTTAAAGTCCTAGACTCAAGAAATTCACCCCCTTGGCCTCCCAAAGTGCTGTGATTGCAAGCTTGAGGTACCGCACCTAGCCATCCATTTTAATTTCTTAGTTGTGACAAATGTACCAAGGTTATGAAAGACGTGAACGTTAGAGAAAGCTGGGTGAGGTATATACAGGAAATTTCTGTACTATCATTGCAACTTTTCTGTGAATCTAGAATTATTCCACAGTGAAAAGTTAATTTAAAAATCAATGTTTTTAAAAAGAAAATTTAGAGGGGCCATGTATACTTTTTTGGTCTGCCCATACAGCGCAATCCTTATATGCCTGGGATGTTGAATCCCATCTCTGCAACTCACTAACTGCATGATGTCTGTGCTTCCGATTCCTCATGGGTAAAGTAGGAATAAAAATAGTCATTGAATCAGTACACCTGCAACAATGCTTAGCATATGGTAAGAGTGCAATCCATGTGAACTTTTCTTATTAACATTTTATTGAATTCAGTGTACAATTGGCGAGTCATATCAGAGTGCATTGTCTCTTAATTTTAAACAGTTCCCATGTAGGAAACCAAATGAATCAAGCTCCTGGCATTTTCAGATCTACCTTTCTTGGTTCCAAAATATGTTCCAGAGGTATGTAGGCAAAATCACCATGTCCTCCTCTCCTCTCACTTCTCAAAGTTTAGGGCAAAAGTCCATTACTAATAAGAATTCTAAACAAGAAAGAGGATCATGACAGTTAAGGATTCAAATAGAAATGGATGGCTTTGTGTGGCTTTTTCCTCTTCTGCTCTCTTGTCTCAGCTCAGTGTGGATGTTAAATGGAAGTAGAGCAGGGATTTTCAACTGGGGGAGATTTTGTCCCCCAGGGGATGCTTGGCAATGTCTGGTGACATTTTCAGTTTTCCCAACTGGGGACAGGGTATCACTGGCAACTGGCAAGTAGAGGCCAGGGATACTGCTGAACATCCTACACTGCGCAGGACAGCCCCCACCACAGAGAAGTATCTGGCCCCAAATGTAACAGGACCATTATTGAGAATCCCTGAAGAAGAGTCAACAACTACCGTATTAACCCAATAATACTTTTGCAGTTGAGCTTGTGCCAAGTCTATCCTCCCTACCCAAAGAATTTCTTTATCTACAACAGATCTTGGGAAAATTAAATAACTTTCCAGAGGGTCATCAAAGACCTGGGGAAAGTTTTTCTGGACAGTAGGCATACCTTTTAAAACAAAACCTTTGAAACTCCTATCTTCAACTATTTCAGTAGGGGGAGAAATGGGGGCAACTTAATGAGAAAGTCAGTAAAGGAAACATGATGTGCTTTTCTTGGCTGCTGATAAGGTGCTAGTGCTCATGATTTAGGCTAGAGGGAAAAATGGAAAATGAGTTTTATGAAGAAGAAGGATAGAAATAAGAGTTGTGGGTGTTGGGAGTGGGTTAGAGAGGGGCAAGGGTAGTGACGTAAGCTTATCGTCACAGATGTCTACAAGCAATCGGCCAACAGTTCTAACTCTGTGATTCTTCAGAAATCGGATGATCTCAGCTGGTCCAGAATGATGGTTTTTCTTGCAAATGGAATCAATACAAATAATGTTTTGTGGTAAAAGCCATACTTCTCACTTTGAGAAAACCCTCTGCATTTTGAGCCTGGCCAGATTGTATGGGTTTTAGCAGGGGAAATCCAAGATTGATGATGCACCCGGTGAGGTCCAGAGATCCTGTGGCCTCTGCTTGTAGAGCTGCACTGTCCAATATAGTGAACAACAGCCACCTGTGGCTATTGAAGTTAAAGTTAATTAAAATTAAATAAAACTGAAAGTTCAGTTCCACAGTCATACTGGCCACATTTTGAGTGCTTGATGGCCATATGTGGCCACCATATTAGCCAGCGTAGATACAGACCATTTCCATCATCATGGAATGTTCTACCAGACAGTGCTGCCCAAGTCCACAGCCTTTCTCTTGCATGTCTGGGTCACTGCACCAGGACAGGTACTTGCCTAACAGGGCACAATGGAGCTGAGGACCATCAGCTGAGCCCCCTTTAATACTCCAGAGAATCCCTGACCTGGAAGTTTAAGAAGCAGAGGAAAATGGCTGATGGGAAAGATAGTTCTCAGGCTGAACAAGACTTTTCAAAATAAACCTTTAAAAAGCAATGAAAGGGGTGAAGGCAGAGCATGAATCAGGAAAGAAGGAAAGAGCCACAGCCTGGCTTTGTGGATAGAGTCCAAATTGTGATTTGGCAGAAATCCAAAGGTTCCAAGTCATAGTGATTCAGGCACACTGGAATTTCATAGTGATTGGTAAGAGCCCCTTCAAACGCAGCTTGATCCTGGCCATGGTCTTAGATCTTAGACTCCGGGGATGAACTGACATGTCTGTCGTCATAATTCAGCCTCTGCATCTAGCTTCCTTCATCTTGAACTTGGAGGAATTGGATTCCACTTGATTCTGTGTGCCTTATTGGATTATAGGCGTTTTTTCCTTTTCCTTCCTAACACACCAAGAATGAAGATGTGCCTTGCAAAATAAGGCTCACTTCAGTGATAGGCCATGGGGGGAGGTGGAATGAAAAAGATGCATCCCGTAATGAGCAGCTGATTCTGTGTCATGAAGCTACACAAAATATGACTGCCTGTACCCCCTTCAGGGAAGGCACAGAGGTTAGGAGGGCAGCCCCCAAAGGCTGGGCATGAACAAGGGCATCACGTCGTGTTATGATGGTCTTATTCCATGTTAGCCTACGGATGCCTGCGTCAGTGGGACTGAGAGCTTGTCTGGGCTGCCCAGTGGGCTGGGAGTCATTCAGAGACCCCTAGGCTCTGCTCGTTTCCACTGTGGGAGCCTGGGCAAGCCCCCGCCGCCACCTCCTCACCTGTGAAAGGGAAGTTGCGCACATTGCACCTGCTTCTCATTTTAAAGGAGGTAACACATGTAAAATGTAAAAGGCCCTACAGACTAGCAAGTGCTAGAAAAATGGACTATTCTTATTTAAAATTTCCCGTTTCCCCACAGCTCCTATAGAAATTCATTCCCTCTCCCTGAGAATGCAGGTTTCAGTCTGGGTTTGTGTTGTGGGTGGACTGTGAGTCAGAAGCTGTGGATGCAGAGCTCTTTGAGGGGGACCTCCCTTCCTCAGCCTGGTGTGACACAGACTACTTCTTGTCCCCAGTGTCTGCCCTCCCTTTTTAGTAAAGGTTTTAGCTAGCATGTGGCCACCCAGATGAAGCCCACATTTTCTGACCTGTGTTGCAGTTTGATGTGACCCTGTAGCTAGGTTCTGTCCCAGGGAATACAAGCAGAAGTGACGTATGCCATTCTTGGTTTGTACCTTAAAAGGAAGGAGAACTCTCCCTGCTCCATACTCCTTCCCAGAATATGGGCATGATGGCAGGCTTGGAGTAGCAAGATGGAGACTGTGTTGAGGATAGCAGAAAAATAAGAGGGAGGGAATTGGGTTGTTCATACCATGAAGCTTTCAAACCAACCCTGGGCCACCTCCCTGGACTGTAACTTTATCTAAGCTGCTGTCTTGGAACTTTCTTTGTTATGGTACCTAACCTGCATCCTCACCACTACGGCTTTGAAATGTCCTTCCCCATAGCCTACTTGCGATCCTCATGGCACCAGCCCTGTTGATCTCAAGTTCTCCCTCTTTCCTGCCTTCCCTCCTTCCCTTACAGGTAAAATTTACCTTTCCACGCTGTCAGTGCCCTACTTCATGTTATCACTAGTACTTTACAGACTAACCAGTGCCAGTGACTTGCTGTGTATTCCTTCCCAGGCAATGGGCGTTTATAGACTAACCAGTGCCAGTGACTTGCTGTGTATTCCTTCCCAGGCAATGGGCGTTTTGACAGGGCTCCCTGGAGACACTATGCTTATCCACACAGTGGCATCAACAGAAGGCATGCTGAGTGTGACAGACAGGCAGGTGGGGAGCTTCCAGCTTACTATAGACTGGACACCATTCTACATCAGTAATCCACATGCCAGCTTCCCAGTGCTCCTATATGAACACCAGGAAACTTAGACCAACTTTGAAGACCACAAGCCAGCCATACATCTGCTTATCTGTTTCAGAGAGTTGAGCATAGGGGTTGATAGTCCATACTGCTCTGTGTGCCTGGGTGCTTCTCTGTCTCTGCATGTATCTGGGGTGACTCTGGGGTGATGTCTCTGAGGTGCCACTCTCATCTCAGGGGACCTGGCTCCGAGTGAGTGAGTTCCAGTGCCCAGCTCTGGGGTCATGAGCTGGAGAAGCAGGCAGGGCTGCTTGGACAGGTTGGCCTGGCTCTGTAGGTAGAGTCCACAACTAAAGAGAGCCAGTGACCCCCACATTCCCTCCCAGGACATTGGGCCTTGAGCTGCTGGACCAGCCACACCTGCCTGAGCCTTTGCTTCAGGGTGGGATGGGAAGAGCAAACGTGATGGCTAATGTTGGTTTTCTTCTCATTTGTAGGGATACAGGGACAAACATCCCTTTGCAAACATGTTTCCAAAGGAATTTCTCTGTAGCTTCACTTTGTAGTTGTAAGAAAGCCTGGCGGATTTTTTGTTTGTTTTGGTTTGGTTTTGGTGTGGGGGGACAGGAGGGGTTGTTTTGCTTTCTCACTGATTCACTGGGATGCAGGGAAAGATTGAAGAGAAACTTGTCAGAGGGAAGGAAAGAAAAATTAGAACTATACTCAAAACACCACATCCTGGTCATAGGAGAAGACTAAATCTCCCTACCATAAAGACACATGTGTGCATATGTTCATTGCGGCACTATTCACAGTAGCGAAGACATGGAATCAACCTAAATGCCCATCAACAATGGACTGGATAGAGAAAATGTGGTACATATTCACGATGGAATATTATGCAGCCATAAAAAAGAATGAGATCATATCTTTTGCAGGAATATGGATGGAGCTGGAGGTCATTATCCTAAGCAAACTAACACAGGAACAGAAAGCCAAATACCACATGTTCTCACTTATAAGTGGGAGCTAAAAATTGAGTAAATATGAACACAAAGAAGGGAAAAACAGATACCAGGACCTACTTGAGGGTGGAGGGTGGGAGGAAAGAGAGGATAAAAAAAACTACCTATCCGGTACTATGCTTATTATCAGGGTGACAAAATAATCTGTACCTCAAACCCCCATGACATGCAATTTACCCATATGACAAACCTGCACCTGTATCCGAGTCTAAAATAAAAGTTAAAAAAATAAAAACATGAGGTGTGGCTTCTTTCTCTTAACAAAAAAAGATTAAATGTATGAATGAGGCCTGTGAGCTAACATGATAGAACAATATAGCAAGTGTCTCCCATTTTCTGACTTTCAATTGTATGAAAATACTTTTCAATTCTGTAACATGGCTCAAATAAACCCCTGATCATTATTCCCTTGCACCTTTGCCCTTGAATTGGGTAGAACAGACATGGCTGGCCTCCCCCAGGCCAGCCATCGCCTCTCCCTAGAGAAGCAGTGTTTTCATAGCGGGACAGCACTGGAAACAGGCGTTGGGCTCTGCATCCTGACCCAGGCGGGGCAGGCCGGGTGTTCTCACAGCCATCTGTTGCGGCCTGTAATGCATGAGCACATTAGCACATGGCCCGCCAGCAGCCTCAACATTGTTCTCCAGGCTGAGTTAGTTCAGCCAATCTCAACAAAGGGGACAGTTTTGCATTCAGGATAAATACAACCACTGAGGGTTTTTTTTTTTTTTTTAAGGATACTTAATGTTAAGGTTTTCACTGGCTGTCTGAATTGCAAGTTGCAACCACCTCCCACTCCCTCCAATATCATTCCCATTCTGTTAATGACATTGACATGGATGCTTTGTAGGAACTACTAAAGGAGATATTTATATGCTCCTCATTGGAAAGATTCATCCGATAGCATGTTTTAAAAATCCAAGGAGTTTGCTTCACAAAGGATTAGAACAAAGTGTCCAACCATGAATTCATTTAATGTTAAGGTCAGTCTTATGCCTCAAGCTCTGGATTTTTAGTGTGCGCAAAGACTACCCAAGGGACTTTGGGAGGCAGCTTTTGTTCACAGTGGCGAATGTTATATGTCAAGCTTTAGCAAATTTGTTGATAGTAACTGATAAATTATTTCAGAAAATCCCTTGTTTGCCCCACACCCCAGAACCAATAAAAGGCCAGCCTCCAAGATTTGGCAGGTTTTTAAAAAGCATTTTCTGGAAGGAAAATGAAGTTTGATGCTACACTTTTCACAGGATCAGATTTTTGCTTGTATTTTCTCATGTGAGAATCCTAATGAAGCTTTATGTCACTTGCATTCTAGTTACAAAACAGTTCAGTGGCAAAAATCACCTGCATGCATTCATTTCATTAGTTTAACAGATATTTATGGAGCACTTATTATGGGCTGGATACCATTGTACATCAGTGATCAATATAGACAAATATTTCTGCCCAGTGGAGCTTATATTCTAGTGTGGAAGACAGACAATAAACAACAAAATTAATCAGTAATAAATAGCATACGGGGAAAGGGAAATTGAGCAGGGCAAGGGAATTGAAAATGCCAGAGGAAAGTTGGAGTCTTAAAAGGGAAGGAGGGGCTGGGCGTGATGGCTCCCAGCACTTTGGGAGGCCGAGGCGGGTGGATCACCTCAAGTCAGGAGTTCAAGACCAGCCTGGCCAACATGGTGAAACTCCATCTCTACTAAAAATACAAAAATTAGCCAGGTGTGGTGGTGCACGCCTGTAATCCCAGCTACTTGGGAGGCTGAGGTAGGAGAATCACTTGAACCTGGGAGGCAGAGGTTGCAGTGAGCTGAGATTGTGTCATTGCACTCCAGCCTGGGTGACAAGAGCGAAACTGTCTCAAAAAAAAAAAAAAAGGAGGTGAAATTATGATCTCAGTTTACAGAGCCTCCATATTCCAAAATTCTTTTTGGAATAAAAGTTAAAAAAAAAAAACATGAGGTATGACTTCTTTCTCTTAACAAAAAAAGATTAAATATATGAGTGAGGCCCACGAGCTAACACGTTAGAACAATATAGCAAGTGCCTCCCATTTTCTGACTTTCAATTGTATGAAAATACTTTTCAATTCTGTAACATGGTTCAGACAAACCCCTCAAATTCTTTTTGGACTATGGAAGCTCGGTAAATTGTGAGCTTGGTACCTTCCCTACATAAAGTTTTTTCCCCTTTAAGTTCAAGTTCAAATGGAAAAGACAACTTGATCACCCCACTCCAATCAGGGTCCATTTCAAAGCTCTTAAATGTTGAGGACAAGCATGTTTTTAAAGCAGTTTCTCTGTATGTTTCTAACCTGCCTAAAGCAGGGGATGGGGTAATGTGGTGGCCATCAAGTTCAGATGTACCTGATGCAGCTGCTGTCACTGAGTGTTCTCCACATCCACCTGGCACATTAAACGTGTACTGGATAAAAGGCTGAGAAGATGAACTACAGGAGTAAGGATAGCAGTTTTTCCACTACACCTAGCCCCAGATTTATGTGGGATCTTCACTATGTAGTTTAGTGCCCACTTCTTAAAATGCGTCTCTTAACTATATCATAATGAGGATCTGAACAAGTTACAAGTTAGTTGGTCATTTCCTTTCCAAGTCACAACTGATGAAAGTCTGGCTGGATATTGAATAAGGGAATCACTCACAATACACTACCTACTTCAGCCAGGCATCTCGCAGAGATTCTGGCTCCCTAAGACCCAAAGGCAGAGATTTGTTCAGGCATCCTGATCTGCTGGGGGCACTGTGCAAGTTCTGGGACATTTGTTATGGGGTTCTTGACACACACCTGTGGCAGGGAGGACATGAAATACATTCTACAAGTGGCAGGGTGGACTTCAGGGTTGTAAAAAGTCACAGAGAATCGTAACTTGAAATGTCCTTTGCCAAGCTTTTCACTTTGTAGATGAGTAGATAGAGGCCCAGAAAGGTCAAGCAACTCGCTGGAGGATGCTCAACCTGGTCAGAGACGTAGATTTTTAAACTCCTGGAACAGGCCTCTTTTCACTGTGGCAGGTTGTATACCAGGACCTGAGGAGTTACTTAGAAGTGAACGAAATCACCAACAGATGAATGGATAAACCAAATGTGGCAGACACCCACAACAGAATATGATTCCACTGGAAGAAGGAATGAAGTAAGGATACATGCAACAACGTGGCTGAACCTCAAAAACATTATGCTAAGTGAAAGAAGCCAGTCACAAAAGGCCACATATTTTATGACTCCGTTTATATGAAGTATCTAGAATCAGTGAATCCATAGACACAGAAAGTAGATTGGTAGGGGTAGGGATGGGGGAGTGAGGAGGAACTGCTCAGTGGGTCCAGGTTTTACTTTGCAGCGATGAAAATGTTTTGGAATGAGACAGAGGTGGTGGCTGCACGACATTGTCAATGCCCCTGAAACTGTTCACCTTAAAATGGTTAACTTTGTGTGACATGCATTCGACCTTAATTAAAACAAACAAAAAAAAATAGTGAATGAGGTAGGAAGAGCTGACGGGTTAAACACAAAAAGGTGGGTGATGACAAGCAAATTGGCTGTGGAGGGTGGTGAAGGGAGAGGGGCAAAGAAGGCAAGCCCAGGGTGGGGCGGGGGAGTGTGGCCTCCTGGCTGTGCTGGTCTTATGGGCTGCCTGCCCCTGCTGTGGTCGCCTGCCAGCACCCGGCTGCACTAAGTCATTTCCTTCCTGTGCTGACTAAGCCACGCTGTCCTCCAGTGTCTTCATTAGCAACTGCTGCCTTTGCCTGAACAGCCCAGAGAGGTCAGAGCTGGAACTGATGGGGAGCCCCATGCCCAGCTCCCAGGAGGCCCCACCACTCTTCTTCCCGAGGCTCCCAGCTGCAATTCCAGAACAAGCAGATCCTTAGCTCTCCAGCTCACCCCTTACACTGGGCATCTGAGGGGCACAGATGGAGGGAACAGCAGGCCTGGCCCTGAGAGGGGGGACTCTCCTCAATGGGGGGATGGGGGGATGGGACCGTGAGGCTGGGGCTTGGGCTTCACAGGCAACTTTTCCTTCAATCAGTTCCTTTCTGATCCTGGCTCCCTCCTTTAAAAGGATTCAGGTCTGGGCCAGGCGCGGTGCCTCACGCCCGTAATCCCAGCACTTTGGGAGGCCAAGGTGAATGGGTCACCTGAGGTCAGGAGTTCAAAACCAACCCGGCCAACATGGTGAAACCCTGTCTCTACTAAAACTACAAAAATTAGCTGGGCGTGGTGGCGTGCACCTGTAATCCCAGTTACTTGGGAAGCTGAGGCATGAAGATGGCTTGAACCCAGGGCAGGGTTGCAGTGAACTGAGATCGTGCCACTGCACACTCCAGCCTGGGTGACAGAGTGAGACTCCATCTAAAAAAAAAAAAAAAAAAAAAAAAAAAAGACCCAGGTCTGTTTTCCATGTAGAGCATGGGCCCTCCTCGTCCACAATGCAATGCAAAGGATATTCCCAGAGAACTAACCGTGCATCATGCTCAGTACCAGGCACCCCAGGGCATGCAAAGGTGAGAACAGAGGCCTTGCCTTGCGTTGGGGGGGTTTGGGAAGTGGAACCTGTACAGAGCTCAGGGACAGTGCTGAGTTGTTCCTTGGCGCCCCGAGGCATACAGACCCCTTGTGATGCTGCAGGACAGATCATGTCACCCAGAGTAACAGAGACCATACCTTGTAGGACCTCCCAGAAGATTCAATGGGATGACACTCATGCAGTCAGGCACCTTCTTCTGCTTAATTGGATATGCGTGGTGTGCCAGGTTCTCCCTCTCAGGCCAGATGGCCTGTGAAGATGGTACTAGCATCACCCCTACTTTACAGATAAGGAAGCCAAGGCTAAGAAAGCTCATGTCTCTTGTCCAAGGTCACTCAGCTGGCAGAGCTTGGCCAAGGCAGCATACCACCCCACACCCAACTGCCTCTTCATGGTCTCCATGGTGACTGCCCCACTATGACCTACAGATTCCTGGCTGCTTGGGTTGGGGGAGCCTCAGCTGTGGGAGTCCACACCCAGCAGCAGCTGCACTCTGGGCAGGTCCTTGGGCCCAGGGCATCCATTCACTGCTGGCACCATGCAGAGGGCGACTCCTGGGATGTTTCATTTAATCCTCACAGCAGCACAGTTGTCAGGTGCTACTATTAATTACTCTATTTACATAAGAAGAGAGGATCAGGAAGGTCTCGTAACCTGGATCACTGTAGTATAGGGCTTTGGTCTGAATCCAGCTGCCTTGGATAGAATCAAAGTGCTCACCATCCTTTAGGCCTCAGTATCCCCCATCAATGAAGGATTCAGGACTTTTACACTTCCACCTTGTTCCCCACACTCTCCAAACCTCCTGACTTGCACTGTGCCACTCGTTCATTCGTTCATTCATTTTTTTGTGAGTCCTTATATCTAGCAGGTACCCTGAAGGTACAAGGATGTCCAAACCACAGTTTCCACCCTAGGGAAGCCCCACAACCAAGGACAACTCCTTTCTAGAACTGTCTAAACTCCGCTTCAGCAGAGGCCAGTGAATTCTCTTAGTGCACGGAGGACACACGGAGGAGGGCTGTTCTCACCCATCACAGCCTCCCTGCCAGCAGGGGCTCCCAGGACCTCTGCTCTGAGGTGGACCAGGACACCCAGAGGGCTCGGGTATTGGGGCAGAGCCTGATTGGCCCACGGAGCTTCCAAGATCACCCATTATGGCTCTATTCTACAGTTGAAACATGTTCAGAGTTTCAAAGAGGCCACTCCAGCCCTGTTCTGAAAAACAAGCTTCTACTGCCAAATCTGAGGATGAAGGAGAGAGAATTGCTCGTGGTCCTGTTTGGACTGCACTGCACCTGTGGCCCTTGCTCTGGGCTCCAGAACTTTTGCCTAGAAAGCAGAGGTGTCTGAGAGCCGGGCTGGTCTGGGAGGGAGGCAGAGGAAAAGGTGAGGCCAGGCATACAAAGCTTAAAAGATCCCCAGCTCTCAGGTCAGCCAGGGTAGGGATGGTAAACCAGGATGCTTGCGGTCCAAGGACACCGGGTCACAGGGCCTCCAGGACTCAGCAGGGCTCAGTAGGGCTCAGGAGGGCCGGAGGGAGGCGGTCCAGAGAGGCCGCTGCTTTGCAGTTCTAGGCCCTTGCGTGTGCAAGCACCGGTGTGCGTGGATCTGTGAGCGCGAACTCAGGTGCGTGAGTCCCCTGTGCGAGAGCCTGTGCACGTGGACTCAGGTGTTTGGAGCTGATGTGCAAAAGCCCGTAGCGGGTCTGTGATTTTGGGCTCGGGTGCATGGACCTGGGTGCTCCTTGGGAGGCTGTTTGGGCCCCATGCGCATGTAGGCGGTTCTGGAGAGCTCTGCGTGTCTCCTTCTTGGGGGACCTCCAACCGTTCCCACAACCAGTGGACGGATTGTGGCCGCACCGACGCTGCAATGTCGCCAAAGGAAAACTGCGCGCGTCCAAGCCAGCTGCTTCAATCCTGGCGGATGCGGGCCGTGCCGGGGTCTCCAGCCGGTGGGGTGGGCCTGCGCGTCTCCCGTTAGCCTGTGCGGGGTCGGGGAAGCGAGGGCCGGAGAGGACACCAGCGCGCAGTTCAGAGCGGGTTCCTTAAGCAGTCTTCCCCCAGAGCTGCAACGTGGCTGCCCGAGGACCCCAAATAAAGACGCGGCCTCCTCACCCAGAGCCCTGCCAGATCGTCCTGGTGGACCGCGCCCGCTTTCAGGGTTTGCAAACTGAAGGCCCGCTCGCGTGTCTGCAGGGCCCTCGGTGTGCTGTAAAGGAGGGTCTGAGGTCCCCCTGGCAGGAGAGCGCGCACTCGCAGCAGCCGCGGGACTGGCGCAGGTATCATCCTGGTTCCTGCAGGCCTTTCAGTTGGCGACCCTTTTCCTAGTGACTGCCCGAGGTGTGGAAGGCACAACGGGGCAGGGGATGTGGCCCGGGATTCCGGCTGCGGCCCTAGGCCGGCAGGAGCGGCAGCTGTCTTGGCACTAACGACGGTCCCTCGCGGGGCGTGCGGGCCGCCCTAATGAGGCTCCGCCGCGGCTCACCTGCTCCGGCCCTTCCTCCGCCCGCGCCGCGCGCCCACCCGCGCCCGCTAATTGCTAAAGCCTGTGAGCCCCGCCCGCCGCCCAGATGGGGGAGTCGGGGACAGATGGGGTCCAGGCATGGGGGGAAGCACTAGGAGCGCCACCTAAGGGGGCCGGGGTGGGGGACAGGGGGTGGCAGCAGAGGATTCCCGGGGCGGCAGCTGAGCCAGAGTCTGGGGACTGCTGGAGTGCGGGCCAGGTGGCCTCTTGGGGTGGGCCCTGGATTACAACAACCTTGCCACCTTCATTTACTGGCTGTGTCCCCTGAGCAAGTCACTTAGCCTTTCTGTGACTCAGTTTCCTTACTTGTAAGACGGGACAATAATAGCACCCTCCTCAAATGGTTGTAGTGAGAATGGAATGAACTGAGGCTCTTAAAGCTCTCTGTGCCCCGCCTTACCCCGGCTAAACCTCAGTCAACGCTATCCGCCTCCTCTCCTAGCCTCCACCTATTAATATCCTGAGTTCCCTGGAGATTCAGCCCGGCCCTGACTCCCTCCTCCCAGCTTTGCCTCTTCAGTTCCTCGCTGCAGTCCTCCACCTCCAACCTCTTCCACAGACAAACAGCCAGTAGCAATCACTGGGGCCCTAGAGGAGAGATACGGAGTAAGGATGTAGCTGTGGGTGATCCCCATCTCTGCCCTGCCTAGAATGGCCTCCTCACTTACAGGGAGTTGGGGCTTAGCCCTGGGATATAGCCCATGAGCTGCTGGCTGCCTCCAAACCAGGGAGTGGCCATGCTCACCCATGCTGTCCCACGTCCCTCTCCCTAGTCAGGATGGGACTGAATACAGCAACCACTGCTGTGAATAACCTGGCTTTATCCTGGCTTCCCTTACAGTTTTGCGGAGACTAAATAAATGGTCACTCTTGGTGTGGGGCCCTTGTCAAAGACCCTATAACCCCTGCTGGTACTATGGGGGCACTTGTGTGGGGAAGGGGGATACTAGGCACAAAATCTGTAATGCAAGAGTGACTTAAAATGACATGGCAGGTGAAGGGGGACTCCTTTGCCACCTCCTGATGAACTTTTAGGAAGCATCAAGGTGAATACTCAATAGAAGTCCAGACAGATTGCTAGGTAGATTCGGCCCCAATAGGAGACAGACATTTTCCACCACTGGGGTAGTTTTATCCATAAGAGCATCTAGGGGGCTTTAAAATTCAATGCCCTGGCCCAGGGGCTCCTCACTGATCCCAGTCTGGGAATGAGAAGGGCAGGTCCCTGGTGGATGGCTGTCAGAACCCCAAATCACCACGGGTGTCTTTAGTACCCATGTCTTCCTGCGGTCACATTAAAACTCCTGGCCTCACTGGGAGTGTGACACCTCTGTGGGTTCACTTCACTCGTCTGCTCACTGCCTGTCCCCAAGGTGCAGAATTCCAACTCCATGGGCATTAGGGGTTAGTCCTTCAACACTGAGTCCAGGGGAGTGTCATTTCTCTGTGGCTCCTGCCCATATGAGAGAGTGAGGAGCCCAGGGACAATGCCCTGGGGTGCTGAGGCCAGAGGAGGAGGCTCGGGTTCTGCCCACTGGCCCCTCAACCTCTGGTCAGCTGAGCTCCCAAGTTCTTTTTTTATTTTTTCTCTTTTTTTTTAGTCAGAGTCTCACTCTTGTTGCTCAGGCTGGAGTGCAAAGTACAATGGCACTATCTCAGCTTATTGCAACCTCCGCCTCCTGGGTACAAGCACTTCTCCTGCCTCAGCCTGCCAAGTAGCTGGGATCACAGGCATGTGCCACCACATCTGGCTAATTTTGTATGTTTAATAGAGACGGAGTTTCTGCATTTTGATCAGGCTGGTCTCTAACTCCCAACCTCAGGTGGTCTGCCCACCTCGGCCTCCCACAGTGCTGGGATTACAGGCTTGAGCCACTGCGCCCCGGCCAGCTCCCAGGTTCTTAAGGAGGGTTGGGGAGTCTCAAAGACCTGGGGCATGGTGAGTTTCTAAACTCGGAGGCTGACAGCTGGGGTGCTGCAGAGCCACGCAGTGGGGCTGGGGAGGAGGCTGAGCTGCAGTCCAGCCTGTTGAGAATCTCCCAACGAATGCTCCCCAGAGGGGACTGCAGTGTGGCAGGGAAGACTGCAGCAGATCCCGGAAACAGTTACCTCTTTCCCTTCCCTACTTGGTGAGGAGCCCACTGCCAATGAAGAGCCCACCAAAGTCAAAGTGGTTGCACACAGTCTTCTCCTGCCCTACATCAAAGCCCAGCCACTGGCTGAGTCCTCTACCTTGGCCCCCACCAGTCCAGGGCCACCCTCGGCGAGTAGCCACCTGTTCTAGGGGATGTGCACTGTGTGCCAGTGTCTTCCTCCTCCACGTCCAGAGCTGCTCCAGTCTCACCCACCGTGGTCAAGGCCTCCAGCTGGGTGCACAGTTTAGGCGGCTGGCATGGAGGAGGGCCCAAAGCCTGGCTGGACACAGCCCCTCCTTCTTCAGAGGCCCTGGTCTTGCCTGGCCTGGCTGGTGGCTGGTTGCTACTGAAAGCTTGGGTGCAGGGGTGGAGGGAAAGACTTGATTTATTGCCTTTCAACAACCGTCCTTCTATGCAGACACCAAGCACACTCAGAGCCTGCACCAGTACACCTGCCTGGCAGTGGGTGTGGAAGAGCCAAAACTGCAATCAAGACCCCTACCCCCACCGGCCAGGTTCTCAGCGCCCACTGGTCTACGTTCCAGCCTCCTGGAGTCCCTCTGAGTGTGTCTGTGGCTGCAGCTGGACCCAGTTTTGAATTCTTTTCAAGTTTCATTTCAAATGGGATTTCAGAATAAAAACGACTACACCCTGCCCTTCCTTCTTCTTGGATTCACATGGCGCTGTTGGGGTGGTGGGGGCAGGAGGCTTTCCACCCGTCTTCAGCCCCCAGCTGCTCAGCCTCTCCAAATCCCTCCCAGCCTTTGCAAAAAGCCAGGCCCATCGGTGAAAAACTAGGCCTCCAGCACCCAATCCCTGGGCCACTGCTGTTCTGGCCAGCAGTCCGACATTCCCTGCTGGAGGAGCAGGAAGTGCCTGTCCCTTGCTAGGGGACGGAGCAGTCTTTAAGTCTAAGCAAAGGGTGCCTGCCTGTGTGAGCCAGGCTCAGCTATGCGACTCAAGAAATGGGGTTCTGACTGGGGAAATCTTCTGCACCCCCAGTTCCAGGGTGGCCAGTGGCCACCAAAAATATTGTCAGAGAGAGGACCCTGGACCAGGGGATGTTCTTACGGTGCCCGTACCCGCTGTCTTTTCAGGGGCTCATTCTCAGGCCAGCCCTGGGGCACGGAGACTACAACAGGATCTGCCCTGGTCCTTGACCAGGAAGGCCAAAGTATTTTTATTTCCACCCAGAATCTCTCTTCACAGCCACATCCTAAATTTGCATCGCGGGTTTGGATTGTGAGAACCCAATGGCCAAGAGGAGACAGAGGTGACCCCAGGAAAGAGCACAGAGGCCAAAGCGCTGCCAGTGCTCCTCCAGAGGTGCGGAGCACCTGATCCTTTGCAGCTCAAGGCGGGGGTGGCCGCTGGGGGAGGGTAGTGGAGATGGCTGAAAAGGAATGGAAGGGTTAGTAGATTCTGCACCAAGCACTCCCCAAGCGCTTTGCTGGGAACGCTACGGCTCCGCAGAATCCAGGTCCGCAGCTGAAGCCAAGGAAACCCGCAGGGGGAAGGTGGTGACGGGAGACCGCCTCTGAGCAGAAAGGAAATAAAAATCTAAAAATCGAGCAGTAGAGGACTCCTGAGAGCCCAGACCCCCAGCCAAAGGCGCAGCCCTCACCCTGCAAGTCCCAAAGTCCGATGCTCCGGGAAGGAAATGTCTGCTTATAAAGGAGCTCAATACTCAACTGAAGAGAAAGGCAGTTCCGGGTTAGGCGTCAGAAAATAAAAATAAGGACAAGCAAGTTGTGAAAAAGACCCGGAGGATTTGCCCGGAACATGTTTGAAAGATAATGCATGTGTGTCTCTAGTGCCAAACTGGGGGAACGATCCCCAAATCCGGTCCCAAGGTATCGCGTCCTGAACCCCTTTTCGGGGTGGCACACGGATGGAAATCCCCCGACTTTACTTTAAATTTTATTTAAAATCTCAACACTCAGTCATTTATTCCGTTTTTGCAACCAAACAAGTAATAAATATTATTTAGCACTTTGTTTTTACAAAAATAAAACAGATGATACACTCTCTGCGAGGGGCGGTGCGATCAGAGGAAGGGTGTTACACGGCAGACGCTACAAAGCCCAGTTTGCAACGCAGGCAGCGCCGAGGCGGCTTGCACGGAACGCAGGAAGCACGTGGAGGAGTTTACCATTTGTGTTAAACGTGGCAAAAATAAACCAAAATAGAGGAAAGCCGGCTTAGACTCCGATGGGGCTGGCAGTCACGTGAGCAAACAGCTTAGCATTGCGCACTTACCTCATCATTGATAAATTTACACATCCAAAAAAGAAAATTTTAAAAAGCCAACAGAACCCCCAAATAACCCAAACTGTTTCCACAGCAACTGCCTTTTAATTCTGTTACGTTCTCAGGTACCAAAATAACCAAATCACTTTGTGCTTAGAGAAGGAAAGATGAGTCGGTGGGGTAGTTTCTATTTTAAAATAATAACTACAATGCACCCGCCCCTGAAATCGGCAGTTTTGGGTTATTCCAATCCACAAGTGGTTCTACTCTGAATGTCTATAAACTTGCTCATACTGTTGAAGAAGGAACATCCACAGATTTATTAGAAAACCATATTCTCCCAAATCAACGAGAGACAGGGAGGAACGGCCACAGTTCTAAGAGGGTGTGGATTGACCCAGATATTGAGATTGGATATGACCATCAGCGCTTCTGATACCGAACGCCGGCTTCCAACTAACTTGTGGCCCCTGGCCTTGGGCCAGGGACGACCCTGGAGGGCGCGGTCGGGCTGTTGCTTCTGCAGTGCGGCTACCCGGAGTCTCCCACCCGCCAAGAAAGGAGGAAGAGGAGCAAGGCCCCAATGTGTCCCCCTCCCATAACACCCCCTCCCCCCCCGAAGTGCTGCCCAAGCCGAGTCTGCAAGTCAGGCCACGCTCTCAGGGAAAGAAGTTTTTAGAATCTTTTCCCGGAGGTGGGGGTCGGGGGTCGGATGAGTTCTAGTGAGGAATGCACACAGCGGTACCTTTTCATAAAACGATGTCTACTGGACCAGCTCAGGTTAAAGCCAGACAGCGCTCGATCAGGTCCCGGAGAGAACATCCCCTCACTCCCCACTGCTCTGTGGGCGCCCCCATTGCTTGGGTTCGCAGATGCTGGAATCCCCACCATGCCCCACCCCCAGTCCATGGTCCTGCGCCCCTCCTCGCGACAGAGCTCCCGAGCCCAGCGCAGGCCAGTCCTCGCTTCCCCGCGGCCCCTGGCTCCCCTGTCGCCAGAACGCGCCGGCGCCAGTCGGCTCACTTGGCGTCGGAGGTGAGGCGCGGCAGGCTGCCGGCGCCCATAGCCGACACGTGGTGGTGCGGCGGCGGCACCTGGCACATGCTGCAGGGGCAGGGCATGCCGCCCCAGTGCTGGAAGCCCCCGCTCGCCCCACTGCCGCCGCCCCCGCCCCCCAGCGGGGCGGCCGCGGCAGCAGACGGAGACTTGAGTAGGCCGTGCGGTGGACGGATGGAGCCGACCGACGGCAGCCCGGATCCGGGCAGAGAGGCGCTGGACACAGCCGCGGCTGCAGCGGCGGCAGCAGCCGCTGCGGCGGCGGGCGGCAGGATGGGGTGGTGCACCGCGGGGTGATGTGCGGCGTGCGCTGCTGCTGCCGGGTGCGCGGTGGCGGCGGGCAGGGGCGCGGAGTGCGCCAGGCCGCCGCAGGCCGACGGGTGGAAGCCAGCGTGGTGGCCCCCGTAGATCTCGCTCACCAGTCGCTTCATCTCCTCCAGCGAGTTGGTGAGCATGAGGATGTAGTTGCGCGCCAGCAGCAGCGTGGCGATCTTGGAAAGCTTGCGCACCGAAGGGCCGTGTGCGTACGGCATGACCTCGCGGAGGCCATCCATGGCGATGTTGAGGTCGTGCATGCGCTTGCGCTCGCGGCTGTTGATCTTGAGACGCAGCTGCTGCAGCTCCGGCTCTGTCATTTGCTTCTTGTCCTTCTTGGTGGACGACGCAGCCGCCGACGACGTAGACGACGAGGTGCTGGACGAGGATGACTTGAAGCCACTGCCTCCTAGCTTGTCCCCAGGATGCGCGCCCGCAGAGCCCATAGCGCCGCGCAGCTCGGCGCTCAGCTCCGGCGGGCAGTCACTCGGGGTGGACGAGGACACGGTGCCCCCAGTGAAGGCGCTGCCGCTGCTGCCCTTACTCCGGGCCGGCAGAAAAAGGTCATCGGGCTCTGGCGACGACGGGCGGCTGGACACCAGGCTGGCGTCCGAGTCCATGGCCCCAGGGGAAGATAGTCGTCGCAGCTTTCGCAGGGTCCTCCTTCCCTCGGACCCGAAAACTTCCAGGAGAGGAGGAGAAAAGAGAGAGAATGAGAGAGAGAGAGAGGGAGAGAGAGAGAGAGTGAGTCAGTGAGAGACAGAAAAGCTGCTCCCGCCTGCACCGCAGTACCACAGCGCGGGGTCCCGGCACAGGTGGCCCGTGGCTCCTCGTCCCCCTCGCTACTATCTCTGGCCCTCCTTTTAGCTGCACGCGGGTACCTATAATTAAGCTCTCTCTATCTCCCCTCTGCTCTCATGCAACAGGTTATTTCAGGGAGCGTTGGTGACCCTCGGGGTGCGGGTGGCATTCTAGAGGCTTCGGGCTTTCAGTTAGGTGTGGGAAAACTGAGCCCCCGGGCTGGAATAAACGAGTGGGAAGTGAGGGCCTTTCTTTGGGGAGAATGGAGATCTAGATAGAGAACTAATGATTTGGTTCCTCAAACGGATCCACCTTATCTCCATCGACACCACGCAGCAAACACACGCACACGCACATGCACCCAGAGCCGGCGCGGGGCCCAGAGTCCATGTGCTGCATCTGGAGACCACGGGGAGCTCACCAGCTGACTGGGGCTTGGGCAGAAAGAGCTGTTGTCGCTCCGACTTCTCGCTTTTGGTGAGGGAGATGCAGCGGTGAGTGTGGGGAGGACAGAAGAGCAAAGTCGCTCTGGAGAAATGGCCCGCAGAGTAGGGATCCAGACCCCCTGTATCGGAGCATTCTGGGTCACAGCCGAGTTGAGGAGAGTCTGTCCCTGGGATCTAGGCTGCGGCTGCTGTGGGGCGGGGACACTTACTCTGGATGCGATTTGAGGAGCTCGCTCCGAAAAGCCTCAGGGGAGAACCTGGCACCGGGCGCTGGTGTCGCGTCGATCTATAATAAGCATCCGCACCTTTAGGGGCTCGGCCGGTTTTTATAGCCCGGTGGCAGCGGCGACGGCGGCAGCGGTGGCGGGGGCGGGGGCGGGGAACAATGTGCGTGTCCTGGAGGGGCTGCCTCGCCAATGAGCTGGGCCCGCCGGGGGGCTGGGAAGCTGATGTCATCCGGGCTAATTCCGCTCAATGAAACTCGCCAGGCCGGGCACACGCCTCCTCCCTGCGCACAACCAATGGGCGCCCGTGGCCGGGAGATTCTTGGGGAGGGACTGGAGGAGGGACCCGAGGAGGCGAGGGGGAGGAGAAGGGCGGCTCAAGGGGGATGGAGGGAGGGCTGAGCGCGCTTGGGACCAAGGGAGAAAGGGAACGTGGTCAAATTTCTGTAAAAAATACGGCCACCACAGAGTCAGGTTGGGGGATGGGATGGTTTGGAGACTCTGCAGAGTCTAACAAACTAACCTGATGCCCCACGCAGCCGCACCTTTTGGGATGCGCGCGGAAAACCCTGGCGACCCAGGATCCGGGGCTGGGGTCTCCTCCCTAGCTCTTCCTCTGTCTGGTTTCCCGCCGCCTGTTCCCATCTCACTGGTTTCATCAACACGTGGGCATTTGGCGCCCCAAATGTAAACGATGCCCAGGCACAAAGTCCCCACTATCTTGGTGCTCTACTCGCGCGTCTAGGAGATGGCCGTGGCTGCAGCTCCGACGGCAGCCGGTAGCGCCCCCAGCTGGGGGCAGGGACTTGAGGGGTAGAGGGCGGGCAAGGAGGGAGGGGACGGACTCCAGAAGAGTGTTTTGAAAGAATTCACAACTCTCCTTTAGGTTGAGGATGGTGTGGGTACAGGGACGAGTTATTTCCGCACGGTAACCGCGCTAGCACAAGGGCAGGGTCGTGCCTGTAGTTAAACACCCCTCCATTTATTAGCAGGGGAGCCGGATGATAGTAAGTATTTTCAGTGTCGTCTTTGTGATCACCACACGCCTTGGGGCAGGGGCAACGCTGGCATCTGTAGTCCAAGCAGGGCTCCGCTGTAAAAGGTTAGCAAAGAGCCTTC